>NC_000023.11:74583754-74886784 GCF_000001405.40 Homo sapiens | reverse complement strand
TCTGTGAAGAAAGTCATTGGTAGCTTGATGGGGATGGCATTGAATCTGTAAATTACCTTGGGCAGTATGGCCATTGTCATGATATTGATTCTTCCTACCCATGAGCATGGAATGTTCTTCCATTTGTTTGTATCCTCTTTTATTTCCTTGAGCAGTGGTTTGTAGTTCTCCTTGAAGAGGTCCTTCACATCCCTTGTAAGTTGGATTCCTAGGTATTTCATTTTCTTTGAAGCAATTGTGAATGGGATTTCACTCATGATTTGGCTCTCTGTTTGTCTGTTTTTGGTGTATAAGAATGCTTGTGATTTTTGTACATTGATTTTCTATCCTGAGACTTTGCTGAAGTAGCTTATCAGCTTGAGGAGATTTTGGGCTGAGACGATGGGGTTTTCCAGATATGCAATCATGTCATCTGCAAACAGGGACAATTTGACTTCCTCTTTTCCTAATTGAATACCCTTTATTTCCTTCTCCTGCCTCATTGCCCTAGCCAGAACTTCCAACACTATGTTGAATAGGAGTGGTGAGAGAGGGCATCCCTGTCTTGTGCCAGTTTTCAAAGGGAATGCTTCCAGTTTTTGTCCATTCAGTATGATATTGGCTGTGGGTTTGTCATAGATAGCTCTTATTATCTTGAGATACGTCCCATCAATACCTAATTTATTGAGAGTTTTTAGCATGAAAGGCTGTTGAATTTTGTCAAAGGCCTTTTCTGCATCTATTGAGATAACCATGTGGTTTTTGTCATTGGTTCTGTTTATATGCTGGATTATGTTTATTGATTTGCATATGTTGAACCAGCCTTGCATCCCAGGGATGAAGCACACTTGATCATGGTGGGTAAGCTTTTTGATGTGTTGCTGGATTTGGTTTTCCAGTATTTCATTGAGGATTTTTGCATCAATGTTCATCAAGGATATTGGTCTAAAATTCTCTTTTTTTGTTGTGTCTCTGCCCGGCTTTGGTATCAGGATGATGCTGGCCTCATAAAATGAGTTAGGGAGGATTCCCTCTTTTTCTATTGATTGGAATAGTTTCAGAATGAATGGTACCAGCTCCTCCTTGTACCTCTGGTAGAATTCAGCTGTGAATCCGTCTGGTCCCTGGACTTTTTTTGGTTGGTAAGCTATTAATTATTGCCACAATTTCAGATCCTGTTATTGGTCTATTCAGAGATTCAACTTCTTCCTGGTTTAGTCTTGGGAGGGTGTATGTGTCGAGGAATTTATCCATTTCTTCTAGATTTTCTAGTTTATTTGCGTAGAGGTGTTTATAGTATTCTCTGATGGTAGTTTGTATTTCTGTGGGATCAGTGGTGATATCCCCTTTGTCATTTTTTATTGCGTCTATTTGATTCTTCTCCCTTTTCTTCTTTATTATTCTTGCTAGCGGTCTATCAATTTTGTTGATCTTTTCAAAAAACCAGCTCCAGGGTTCACTGATTTTTTGAAGGGTTTTTTGTGTCTCTATTTCCTTCAGTTCTGCTCTGATCTTAGTTATTTCTTGCTTTCTGCTAGCTTTTGAATTTTTTTGCTGTTGCTTCTCTAGTTCTTTTAATTGTGATGCTAGAGTGTCAATTTCAGATCTTTCCTGCTTTCTCTTGTGGGCATTTAGTGCTATAAATTTCCCTCTACACACTGCTTTGAATGTGTCCCAGAGATTCTGGTATGTTGTGTCTTTGTTCTCGTTGGTTTCAAAGAACATCTTTATTTCTGCCTTCATTTCATTATGTACCCAGTAGTCATTCAGGAGCAGGTTGTTCAGTTTCCATGTAGTTGAGTGGTTTTGAGTGAGTTTCTTAATCCTGAGTTCTAGTTTGATTGCACTGTGGTCTGAGAGACAGTTTGTTATAATTTCTGTTCTTTTACATTTGCTGAGGACTGCTTTACTTCCAAGAATGTGGTCAGTTTTGGAATAGGTGTGGTGTGGTGCTGAAAAGAATGTATATTCTGTTGATTTGGGGTGGGGAATTCTGTAGATGTCTATTAGGCCCGCTTGGTGCAGAGCTGAGTTCAATTCCTGGATATCCTTGTTAACTCTCTGTCACATTGATTTGTCTAATGTTGACAGTGGGGTGTTAAAATCTCCCATTATTATTGTGTGGGAGTCTAAGTCACTTTGTAGGCCACTAAGGACTTGCTTTATGAATCTGGGTGCTCCTGTATTGTGCGCATATATATTTAGGATAGTTAGTTCTTCTTGTTGAATTGATTCCTTTACCATTATATAATGGCCTGCTTTGTCTCTTTTGATCTTTGTTGGTTTAAAGTTTGTTTTATCAGAGACTAGGATTGCAACCCCTGCCTTTTTTTGTTTTCCATTTGCTTGGTAGATCTTCCTCCATCCCTTTATTTTGAGCCTATGTGTGTCTCTGCACGTGAGATGGGTTTCCTGAATACAGCACACTGATGGGTCTTGACTCTTTATCCAATTTGCCAGTCTGTTCCTTTTAATTGGAGCATTTAGCCCATTTACATTTAAGGTTAGTATTGTTATGTATGAATTTGATCCTGTCACTATGATGTTAGCTGGTTATTTTGCTCATTAGTTGATGCAGTTTCTTCCTAGCCTGGGTGGTCTTTACAATTTGGCATGTGTTTGCAGTGGCTGGTACTGGTTGTTCCTTTCCATGTTTAGTGCTTCCTTCAGGAGCTTTTTAGGGCAGGCCTGGTGGTTACAAAATCTCTCAGCATTTGCTTGTCTGTAAAGAATTTTATTTCTCCTTCACTTATGAAGCTTAGTTTGGCTGGATATGAAATTCTGGGTTGAAAATTCTTTTCTTTAAGAATGTTGAATATTGGCCCCCACTCTCTTCTGGCTTGTAGATTTTCTGCAGAGAGATCCGCTGTTAGTCTGATGGGCTTCCCTTTGTGGGTAACCCAACCTTTCTCTCTGGCTGCCCTTAACATTTTTTCCTTCATTTCAACTTTGGTGAATCTGACAATTATGTGTCTTGGAGTTGCTCTTCTTGAGGAGTATCTTTGTGGCGTTCTCTGTATTTCCTGTATTTGAATGTTGGCCTGCTTTGCTAGATTGGGGAAGTTCTCCTGGAGAATATCCTGCAGAGTGTTTTCCAGCTTGGTTCCATTCTGCCCGTCACTTTCAGATACACCAATTAGACGTAGATTTGGTCTTTTCACATAGTCCCATATTTCTTGGAGGCTTTGTTTGTTTCTTTTTATTCTTTTTTCTCTAAACTTCTCTTCACACTTCATTTCATTCATTTCGTCTTCCATCGCTGATACCCTTTCTTTCAGTTGATTGCATTGGTCACTGAGGCTTGTGCATTCGTCACGTAATTCTCATGCCATGGTTTTCATCTCCATCAGGTCCTTTAAGGTCTTCTCTCCATTGGTTTTTCTAGTTATCCATTCATCTAATTTTTTTTCAAAGTTTTTAACTTCTTTGCCATTGGTTCGAACTTCCTTCTTTAGCTCGGAGTAGTTTGGTCTTCTGAAGCCTTCCTCTCTCAACTCGTCAAAGTCATTCTCCATCCAGCTTCTTCCGTTGCTGGTGAGGAGCTGCTTTCCTTTGGAGGAGGAGAGGCACTCTGATTTTTAGAGTTTCCGGTTTTTCTGCTCTGTTTTTTTCCCTATCTTTGTGGTTTTATGTACCTTTGTTCTTTGATGATGGTGACGTACAGATGGGTTTTTGGTGTGTATGTCCTTTCTTTTTGTTAGTTTTCCTTCTAACAGTCAGGACCCTCACCTGCAGGTCTGTTGGAGTTTGCTGGAGGTCTACTCCAGACCCTGTTTGCCTAGGTATCAGCAGTGGTGGCTGCAGAACAGCGGATATTGGTGAACCGCAAATGCTGCTCCCTGATCATTCCTCTGGAAGTTTTGTCTCAGAGGAGTACCCAGTTGTGTGAGGTGTCAGTCCACCCCTACTAGGGGGCGCCTCCCATTTAGGCTACTCAGGGGTCAGGGACCCACTTGAGGAGGCAGTCTGCCCATTCTCAGATCTCAAGCTGCATGCTGGGAGAACCACTACTCTCTTCAAAGCTGTCAGACAGGGACATTTAAGTCTGCAGAGGTTATTGCTGTCTTTTGTTTTTCTGTGCCCTGTCTCCAGAGGTGGAGCCTACAGAGGCAGGCAGGCCTCTTTGAGCTGTGATGGGCTCCACCCAGTTCGAGCTTCCTGGACACTTCGTTTACCTACTCAAGCCTGAGCAATGGTGGGCGCCCCTCCCCCAACCTCACTGCCACCTTGCAGTTTGATCTCAGACTGCTGTGCTAGCAATGAGTGAGGCTCCGTGGGCGTAGGACCCTCCGAGCCAGTTGTGGGATATAATCTCCTGGTGTGCTGTTTGATAAGCCCGTTGGAAAAGCACAGTATTAGGGTGGGAGTGACCCGATTTTCCAGGTGCCGTCTGTCACCCCTTTCTTTGACTAGGAAAGGGAATTCCCTGACCCTTTGCACTTCCCGGGTGAGGCGAAGCCTTGACCTCCTTCGACTCACGCACGGTGCACTGCACCCACTGTCCTGCACCAACTGTCCAGCACTCCCCAGTGAGATGAACCCGTTACCTCAGTTGGAAATGCAGAAATCACCCATCTTCTGCGTCGCTCACGCTGGGAGCTGTAGACCGGAGCTGTTCCTATTCGGCCATCTTGGCTCCACCCCACCACATTTTCTTTATCCAGTCTATCATTGATGGATATTTGGGTTGGTTCCAAGTCTTTGCTATTGTGAATAGGAATTTTCTTAGCAAATATGAAAATTTGCTGAGAGAGGAAGTGTGCAAAATGGTTTGGCAGGAAATCACACATGGAAGGGCCCAACTGGGTCACTTTGTGTTTGAACACTACATGGGAGACTATGTTGAAATCCTAGATTTCAACAATCCTAGATTAGACCATCACGGAAAAGACTCACTACTAGGTGGCAGAGGCCCTTTCCTGTTGCTCAGAGGGACTTCTAGTCGTGAAAACCCATAACCTCCTCCTTGACTGTGTACTAGAAGCACTGCTAAGTGAAACTGGTTAATTCTGCATCTATTTTTGTAATGTGGCAATTTACATGCTGATTGGAGCCAGGCTGTGGGAATGTTTTTGGTCTAAGGCCATGGTTCTCATGGTGGAGAATTTTGCCATTTAGGACATTTGGCAATGCCTGGAGACATTTTTAGTCACAAGTGGGTTGGGGGGTGCTACTGGCTTCTAATGGGTAGAGGACACAGATGCTTCCAAACCTCCTAAAATTCACAGGGCAGCTCTTCCCTACACCACACATACAAAAAGAAGTACCTGACCCAAGATGTCAACAGTACCTGGATTGAGAAACACTGGTTTAAGTGAAGAAGCCTGGGTCTCAGAGAATTATTTGTATTTAGTCTCTGCCTTTTTCCCCTGTATTTGCTCTGTGTGTGTGTGTGTGTGTGTGTGTGTGTGTGCATGTGTATGTGTGTGTGTGTGTTGGAATTTATCCATTTAAGTAAATGTAGGAAAGCCCTCAGAGTACCTTAAGAGTATCACTGTGCTATGAAGAAATGATTGTGCTTTACAGTGAACTTGAGGGGAGATTCACTTGGGGTACCAGGCTCCCCAAAGGTTGTAGGTACAGCACACATGCCTGAAAACACAGAAACATCTGCCAACACTCACCTGGGTGTGTCTTTTTGTCTCTATCTTTCTTTTCTCTAGCAATTTCCAAACTTTATAGGCCTCAATTCTTACTTGAGGAGTGAGCAGCAGGGGTTACTGTCAGTTTTAGGGCATACATCTGGCGAGAAGTGCCTCAAAGCTGTCTGCAGAAGTGCTTTTGGGGTTTGAGGATGGCTTGGGTTCTTTCTTTTAAATAGGTGGAGCTGAGATGAAGGATGAGGGACAGTGTTCATGATCGTTGTTTAGGCTCTTCTCCAACTGTCATATTTCTTATGTGTCAAAGGATACTGTGACAAACCCAGTCACTGATGTTGGGAATGTGAGGGATCTAAGGAGAGAGCAGTGTATATGGGAAGAAGAAGTACAGCCATTTGATGTGCAGAAGGAATGTCTGAGCATCTGGGTATGTGTTTGCAGTTTTGTATTTTGGCTCCAATTCAAGCCCCTTTCATTTTGTATGATAAATAATTTCTTTTCTACACCTAATTTCCATTGACTAATGGTGATTAATCTTCAACTTTGACATTAGAGATAACAAGTGATGCTCATTCCATTAGGCTTTACCAAAATGCTGGTATTTGAGTAGAAACAAAGACTGGGATAACAATTGCTTGCATTCATTGTGGCCCTAAAGTAATTGTGAACCCTTGTAAAGCCTCTACTTATGGTGCACAGAATTGTAACGTTTGTAATGTAGGGGTGGGGCTCTGAGAATTACCAAATGTTATAACCAAGGGCAGGTGTTGGTAAAGTCCTGGAAAACTGGCCCCAGTTTCCTCCTTCCCTCTTCTCTTAGGCCATCATCATGAAGTCACATGAAATTCATGAGTGGCACAATGCTGAGCTACGAGTTCCATTGCTGGTGAAAGAGGGTGGTTCAGTCTGTCTGTGGAAGTTATGTTTGATTTCCACCTCTCCTTTGCTCATCCCTCTGACTTTGTGTGGAGTTTCTCCACTGGGGTGTAGAGAGTGTTTATTCACAATAAGTGTAACGTAAGGTGATGTGGAAATGAGTAGTCCTCTAATTATAGAGTGACTTACATAAAAACTATGCCATTGGAAATAGATGCATTTAAGTTCCTAAAGGTCAGGAGGTATGGTTGAGCCTGGCAGCCATTAGCAAATGTGATACAGTTCAATGGTGAGTACTTACGAGTTTATACATGTATACATAATATTGGGGATATGTCATTGGTATGTTAATTAGAGAATGCGTTTGAGTATCAATGTATGATCATTTCCCCATTATCGATGACAATGGAAAAAAGCAGTAGTACAAATAATCCCAAGCGTTAGGTGATTTTAAAATATTTTCTATCAAGTTTGAGTGTTTTATTATGATTTTTTTAACTGAGGTTCACCTATATATGTCAACAGACTATGGAAAGTCATAGTGAGGTTAAAAAGAAAATATGAAGTAATTATATCAAATAGTCCACAAAGGAAAACATTCTGAAAAGTGAATAGTTCAATTAGGTGGCCTATAAATGTTAAGACCAGTGTTCGGCAACAGCTCAGTTTCAGACCCCCATTCCAAATGTCAGTACATTCTTGAAATGGGAGTGGTCTTTACTATGTATGCTTTGTACACCTTTCCTGAAATTTGCTTCCAGGTGTTCTTGTATATTAAATACCACAGCCTTGATCTTTAAATGATGACAAATTGTCCAAATGTATTAACTTTTCCCCTTTATTTTTCTCTTTGCTTTATTCTCAGTAACCTCTTTTCTCTAATTCTTACATTAACATATAAATAAAATAATTCCAGATGAATTCATCATAGATGATAATTATAACGTGTTCAGGTGTGGATCTCTTTGAATCTATCCTACTTGGAATTTGTTGAGCTCCTTGGATGTGTAGATTAATGTTTGTCATCAAATTTTGAAAGTTTGGCTATTATTCAATACAGTCATGCATCACTTAAAAATAGGAATACTTTCTGAGAAATGTGTTCTTCGGAAATTTAACCCTTGTACCAACATCATAGAGTGTACTTACACAAACGTAGATGATTTAGCCTACTACACACTTAGGCTATGTGGTATAGCCTATGGCTCCTAGGCTACAAACCTCACAGCATGTTACTGTACTGGATACTGTAGAAAATTGTAACACAGTGGTATTTGTGTGTGCAAACATATATAAAAAGATAAAAAATAATGCGAGGGAGGAGCCAAGATGGCCGAATAGGAACAGCTGCGGTCTACAGCTCCCAGCATGAGCGACGCAGAAGACGGGTGATTTCTGCATTTCCATCTGAGGTACCGGGTTCATCTCATTGGGAGTGCCAGACAGTGGGCGCAGGTCAGTGGGTGCGCGCACCATGCGCGAGCTGAAGCAGGGCAAGGCATTGCTTCACACGGGAAGCGCAAGGGGTCAGGGAGTTCCCTTTCCTAGTCAAAGAAAGGGGTGACAGACGGCACCTGGAAAATCGGGTCACTCCCACCCGAATACTGCGCTTTTCCAACAGGCTTAAAAAACGGCGCATCAGGAGATTCTATCCTGCACCTGGCTCGCAGGATCCTACGCCCACGGAGTCCCGCTGATTGCGAGCACTGCAGTCTGAGATCAATCTGCAAGGTGGCAGCGAGGCTGGGGGAGGGGCGCCTGCCATTGCCCAGGCTTGCTTAGGTAAACAAAGCAGCCAGGAAGCTTGAACTGGGTGGAGACCACCACAGCTCAAGGAGGCCTGCCTGCCTCTGTAGGCTCCACCTCTGGGGGCAGGGCACACACAAACACAAAGACAGCAGTAACCTCTGCCGACTTAAATGTCCCTGTCTGACAGCTTTGAAGAGAGCAGTGGTTCTCCCAGCACGCAGCTGGAGATCTGAGAACGGGCAGACTGCCTCCTCAAGTGGGTCCCTGACCCCTGACCCCTGAGCAGCCTAACTGGGAAGCACACCCGAGCAGGGGCAGACTCATACCTCACACGGCCGGGTACTCCAACAGACCTGCAGCTGAGGGTCCCGTCTGTTAGAAGGAAAACTAACAAACAGAAAGGACATCCACACCAAAAACCCATCTGTACATCACCATCATCAAAGACCAAAAGTAGATAAAACCACAAAGATGGGGAAAAAACAGAACAGAAAAACTGGAAACTCTAAAAAGCAGAGCGACTCTCCTCCTCCAAAGGAACACAGTTCCTCACCAGCAATGGAATAAAGCTGGATGGAGAATGACTGACAAGCTGAGAGAAGAAGGCTTCAGACGATCAAATTACTCCGAGCCAGGGGAGGACATTCAAACCAAAGGCAAAGAAGTTGAAAACTTTGAAAACAATTTAGAAGAATGTATAATTAGAATAACCAATACAGAGAAGTGCTTAAAGGAGCTGATGGAGCTGAAAACCAAGGCTCGAGAACTACGTGAAGAATGCAGAAGCCTCAGGAGCCGATGCGATCAACTGCAAGAAACGGTATCAGTGATGGAAGATGAAATGAATGAAATGAAGCGAGAAGGGAAGTTTAGAGAAAAAAGAATAAAAAGAAACGAGCAAAGCCTCCAAGAAATATGGGACTATGTGAAAAGACCAAATCTACGTCTGATTGGTGTACCTGAAAGTGACGGGGAGAATGGAACCAAGTTGGAAAACACTCTGCAGGATATTCTCCAGGAGAACTTCCCCAATCTAGCAAGGCAGGCCAACGTTCAGATTCAGGAAATACAGAGAACGCCCCAGAGATACTCCTCGAGAAGAGCAACTCCAAGACACATAATTGTCAGATTCACCAAAGTTGAAATTAAGGAAAAAATGCTAAGGGCAGCCAGAGAGAAAGGTCGGTTACTCTCAAAGGGAAGCCCATCAGACTAACAGCAGATCTCTCAGCAGAAACTCTACAAGCCAGAAGAGAGTGGGGGCCAATATTCAACATTCTTAAAGAAAAGAATTTTCAACCCAGAATTTCATATCCAGCCAAACTAAGCTTCATAAGTGAAGGAGAAATAAAATACTTTACAGATAAGCAAATGCTGAGAGATTTTGTCACCACCAGGCCTGCCCTAAAAGAGCTCCTGAAGGAAGCGCTAAACATGGAAAGGAACGACCTGTACCAGCTGCTGCAAAATCATGCCAAAATGTAAAGACCATCAAGACTAGGAAGAAACTGCATCAACTAACGAGCAAAATACCCAGCTAACATCGTAAAGACAGGATCAAATTCACACATAACAATATTAACTTTAAATGTAAATGGACTAAATGCTCCAATTAAAAGACACAGACTGGCAAATTGGATAAAGAGTCAAGACCCATCAGTGTGTTGTATTCGGGAAACCCATCTCACATGCAGAGACACACATAGGCTCAAAATAAAAGGATGGAGGAAGATCTACCAAGCAAATGGAAAACAAAAAAAGGCAGGGGTTGCAATCCTAGTCTCTGATAAAACAGACTTTAAACCAACAAAGATCAAAAGAGACAAAGAAGGCCATTACATAATGGTAAAGGGATCAATTCAACAAGAAGAGCTAACTATCCTAAATATATATGCACCCAATACAGGAGCACCCAGATTCATAAAGCAAGTCCTGAGTGACCTACAAAGAGACTTAGACTCCCACACATTAATAATGGGAGACTTTAACACCCCACTGTCAACATTAGACAGATCAACGAGACAGAAAGTCAACAAGGATACCCAGGAATTGAACTCAGCTCTGCACCAAGCGAACCTAATAGACATCTACAGAACTCTCCACCCCAAATCCACAGAATATACATTTTTTTCAGCACCACACTACACCTATTCCAAAATTGACCATATACTTGGAAGCAAAGCAGTCCTCAGCAAATGTAAAAGAACAGAAATTATAACAAACTGTCTCTCAGACCACAGTGCAATCAAACTAGAACTCAGGATTAAGAATCTCACTCAAAACCGCTCAACTACATTGAAACTGAGCAACCTGCTCCTGAATGACTACTGGGTACATAATGAAACGAAGGCAGAAATAAAGATGTTCTTTGAAACCAACGAGAACAAAGACACAACATACCAGAATCTCTGGGACACATTCAAAGCAGTGTGTGGAGGGAAATTTATAGCACTAAATGCCCACAAGAGAAAGCAGGAAAGATCCAAAATTGACACCCTAACATCACAAAGGAACTAGAAAAGCAAGAGCAAACACATTCAAAAGCTAGCAGAAGGCAAGAAATAATGAAAATCAGAGCAGAACTGAAGGAAATAGAGACACAAAAAAACCTTCAAAAAATTAATGAATCTAGGAGCTGGTTTTTTGAAAGGATCAACAAAATTGATAGACCACTAGCAAGACTAATAAGGAAAAAAAGAGAGAAGAATCAAATAGACACAATAAAAAATGATAAAGGGGATATCACCACCGATCCCACAGAAATACAAACTACCATCAGAGAATACTACAAACACCTCTACACAAATAAACTAGAAAATCTAGAAGAAATAGATAAATTTCTGGACACATACACTCTCCCAAGACTAAACCAGGAAGAAGTTGAATCTCTGAATAGACCAATAACACGCTCGGAAATTGTAGCAATAATCAATAGCTTACCAACCAAAAAGAGTCCAGGACCAGATGGATTCACAGCCGAACTCTACCAGAGGTACAAGGAGGAACTGGTACCATTCCTTCTGAAACTATTCCAATCAATAGAAAAAGAGGGACTCCTCCCTAACTCATTTTATGAGGCCAGCGTCATCCTGATACCAAAGCCTGGCAGAGACACAACCAAAAAAGAGAATTTTAGACCAATATCCTTGATGAACATTGATGCAAAAATCCTCAATAAAATACCAGCAAACCAAATCCAGCAGCGCAGCAAAAAGCTTATCCATCATGATCAAGTGTGCTTCATCCCTGGGATGCAAGGCTGGTTCAATATACGCAAATCAATAAATGTAATCCAGCATATAAACAGAACCAAAGACAAAAACCACATGATTATCTCAATAGATGCAGAAAAGGCCTTTGACAAAATTCAACAACCCTTCATGCTAAAAACTCTCAATAAATTAGGTATTGATGGGACATGTTTCAAAATAATAAGAGCTATCTATGACAAACTCACAGCCAATATCATACTGAAGGGACAAAAACTGGAAGCATTCCCTTTGAAAACTGGCACAAGACAGGGATGCCCTCTCTCACCACTCCTATTCAACATAGTGTTGGAAGTTCTGGCCAGGGCAATGAGGCAGGAGAAGGAAATAAAATGTATTCAATTAGGAAAAGAGGAAGTCAAATTGTCCCTGTTTGCAGATGACATGGTTGTATATCTAGAAAACCCCATCGTCTCAGCCCAAAATATCCTTAAGCTGATAAGCAACTTCAGCAAAGTCTCAGGATACAAAATCAATGTACAAAAATCACAAGCATTCTTATACACCAACAACAGACAAACAGAGAGCCAAATCATGAGTGAACTCCCATTCACAATTGCTTCAAAGAGAATAAAATACCTAGGAATCCAACTTACAAGGGATGTGAAGGACCTCTTCAAGGAGAACTACAAACCACTGCTCAAGGAAATAAAAGAGGACACAAACAAATGGAAGAACATTCCATGCTCATGGGTAGGAAGAATCAATATCGTGAAAATGGCCATACTGCCCAAGGTAATTTACAGATTCAATGCCATCCCCATCAAGCTACCAATGACTTTCTTCACAGAATTGGAAAAAGCTACTTTAAAGTTCATATGGAACCAAAAAAGAGCCCACATCACCAAGTCAATCCTAAGCTAAAAGAACAAAGCTGGAGGCATCACGCTACCTGACTTCAAACTATACTACAAGGCTACAGTAACCAAAACAGCATGGTACTGGTACCAAAACAGAGATATAGATCAATGGAACAGAACAGAGCCCTCAGAAATAATGCCACATATCTACAACTATCTGATCTTTGACAAACCTGAGAAAAACAAGAAATGGGGAAAGGATTCCCTATTTAATAAATGGTGCTGGGAAAACTGGCTAGCCAGATGTAGAAAGCTGAAACTGGATCCCTTCCTTACACCTTATACAAAAATCAATTCAAGATGGATTAAAGACTTAAACGTTAGACCTAAAACCATAAAAACCCTAGAAGAAAACCTAGGCATTACCATTCAGGACATAGGCATGGGCAAGGACTTCATGTCTAAAACACCAAAAGCAATGGCAACAAAAGACAAAATTGACAAATGGGATCTAATTCAACCAAAGAGCTTCTGCACAGCAAAAGAAACTACCATCAGAGTGAACAGGCAGCCTACAAAATGGGAGAAAATTTTTGCAACCTACTCATCTGACAAAGGGCTAATATCCAGAATCTACAATGAACTCAAACAAATTTACAAGAAAAAAACAAACAACCCCATCAAAAAGTGGGTGAAGGACATGAACAGACATTTCTGAAAAAAAGACATTTATGCAGCCAAAAAACACATGAAAAAATGCTCATCATCACTGGCCATCAGAGAAATGCAAATCAAAACCACAATGAGATCACCATCTCACACCAGTTAGAATGGCAATCATTAAAAAGTCAGGAAACAACAGGTGCTGGAGAGGATGTGGAGAAATAGGAACACTTTTACACTGTTGGTGGGACTGTAAACTAGTTCAACCATTGTGGAAGTCAGTGTGGTGTTTCCTCAGGGATCTAGAACTAGAAATACCATTTGACCCAGCCATCCCATTACTGGGTATATACCCAAAGGACTTTAAATCATGCTGCTATAAAGACACTTGCACACGTATGTTTATTGTGGCATTATTCACAATAGCAAAGACTTGGAACCAACCCAAACATCCAACAATGATAGACTGGATTAAGAAAATGTGGCACATATACACCATGGAATACTATGCAGCCATAAAAAATGATGAGTTCATGTCCTTTGTAGGGACATGGACGAATGTGGAAATCATCATTCTCAGTAAACTATCACAAGAACAAAAAACCAAACACCGCATATTCTCACTCATAGGTGGGAATTGAACAATGAGAACACATGGACACTGGAAGGGGAACATCACACTCTGGGGACTGTTGTGGGGTTGGGGGATGGGGGAGGGATAGCATTGGGAGATATACCTAATGCTAGATGACGAGTTAGTGGGTGCAGCGCACCAGCATGGCACATGTATACATAAGTAATGAACCTGCACATTTTGCACATGTATCCTAAAACTTAAAGTATAATAATAATAAATTAATTAATTAAAAAAAAACCAAAACAATTTTAAAAAAAATAAAAACTAAAAAAATAAAAAATAAAAAAATAAGGCATTGCACTACAGCATTATGGCAGCTAGTGTGTCAGTAGGTGACAGGTATTTTTCTACTCCATTATAATATTTTTAAAAAATTGTTTATTTTTAAATTTTTGTTGACACATAGTAGGTATGTATATGTTTATGGGTTACATGAGATATTTTGATACAGGAATGCAGTGGGTAATAACCACATCAGGGTATATGGGCTAGCCATCACCTCAAGCATTTATCCTTTGTGTTATAATTTAATTATACTGTTTTAGTTATTTTTAAAATGTATAATTATGTACATTTAAATATAGTAAATATTGTGACTGTAGTAAAACATAATTTACTACAGTCACAATATTTACTATATTTACTAAGTGACTATAGTAAATTACTTTTTACTATAGTCAGTCTGATGTGCTAGCAAATACTAGGTCTTATTCATTATTTCTGATTTTTTGTAACCACTAACTGTCATTTCCCCCCACCACCCCCCACCCACACACTACCCTTAACATCCTCTGATAACCATCCTTCTGCTGTCTATCCCTATGTGTTAAATTATTTTGATTTTTAGCTTCCACAAATAAGTGACAGCATGTGAAGTTTGTCTTTCTGTGCCTGGTTTATTTCACTTAATAGAATGACCTCCAGTTCCATCCATGCTGTTGCAAATGACAGGATCTCATTCTTTTTATGGCCCAGTAGCACTCCATTATGTAGATGTAACACATTTTTGTTGCGGGAAGTCAGGGACCCTGAACGGGGGGACCGGCTGAAGCTGTAGCAGAAGAACATAAATTTTGAAGATTTCATGGACATTTAGCAGTTTCCAAAGTTAATACTTTTATCATTTCTTAGGCCTGTCTTTACTGCAGTCTCTGAACGTGAATTGTGAAGATTTCATGGACATTTATCACTTCCCCAATTAATACTCTTATAATTTCTTATGCCTGTCTTTAATCTCTTAATCACATTATCTTTGTAAGCTGAGGATGTATGTCACCTCAGGACCCTGTAATGATTGCGTTAACTGTACAAATTGTTTGTAAAATGTGTGTTTCAACAATATGAAATCTGATTGTGAAACAAGGGTGTTTGAACAATATGAAACCAGTGCACCCTGAAAAAACAGAATAATAGCAATTTTCAGGGAAAAAGGGAAGATAACCATAAGGGCTGACTGCCTGTGGGGTCGAGCAGAATAGAGACATATTTTTCTTCTCACAGAAAGCCTATAGATGGATGTGCGAGTAGGAGAAATATTGCTGAATTATTTTCCCAGCATGGAGTAACCCTCAGGAAGGAATGCATTCCTGGGGGTAGGTCTATAGATGGCTGCTCTGGGAGTGTCTGTCTTATGCGGTTGAGATAGGACTGAAATACGCCCTGGTCTCCTGCAGTGCCCTCAGGCTTACTAGGATTGGGAAATTCCAGCCTGGTAAATTCTAGTCAGACCAGTTGTCTGCTCTCGAACCCTGTTTCCTGTTAAGATGTTTATCAAGACAATGTGTGCACAGTGGGACACAGACCTTCATCAGTAATTCTAATTTTTGCCTCTGCCTTTTGATCTTTTATTGCCCTTTGAAGCATCTGATCTCTGTGACCTACTCCCTGTTCGTACACCCCCTCCCCTTTCAAAATCCCTAATAAAAACTTGCTGATTTTGCAGCTTGAGGTCACCATCATGGTCCTACCAATATGTGATGACACCCCCGGAGGCCCAGCTATAAAATTTCTCTCTTTGTACTCTTTTTGTTTATTTCTCAGACCGGCCGACACTTAGGGAAAATAGAAAAGAACCTACATTGAAATATTGGGGGCTGGTTCCCCCGATACATTTTCTGTATCTATTCATCTATTGATGGACAGGTAGGTTGCATCCAAATCCTGGCTATTGTGAATACTGCTGCAATAAACACAGGAGTACCAATATCTCTTCGATGTACCATTTTCCTTTCTTTTGGGTATACACCCAGCAGTGGGATTGCTAGATTTTGTGGTAGCTCTATCTTTAGTTTTTTGAGGACCCTACAAACTGTTCTGCATAGCGATTGTACTAATATATAATACATTCCCACCAACAGTGTAAGAGGATTCCCTTTTCTCCATATTCTCACCAGCATTTGTTATTGCCTGTCTTTTAGATAAAAGCCACTTTAACTGGTGTGAGATGATATCTTATTGTAGTTTGATTTGCATTTCTCTGATGATTGATGATGTTGAGCCATTGTACCTGTTTGCCATTTGTATGTCTTGTTTTGAGAAATGTCTGTTCAGATCTATGGCCCATTTTTTATTCAGATTATTAGATTTCTTCCTGTAAAGTCGATTGAGCTCCTTATATATTCTGGTTATTAATCCCTTGTCAGATGGGTATTTTGCAAATATTTTCTCCTGTTCTGTGGGTTACCCTTTCACTTTGTTGATTGTTTCCTTTGCTGTGCAGAAGCTTTTCAGCTTGATGTGACCCCATTTGTCCATTTTTGCTTTGGTTGTCAGTGCTTGTGGGGTATTACTCTAGAAATCCTTGCACAGACTGATGTCCTGGAGAGTTTCCTCAAGGTTTTTAGTGGATTCATAGCTTGAGGTCTTAGATTTCAGTCTTTAATCTATTTTGATTTGATTTTTGTATATGATGAGAGATGGGGGGTCAAGTTTCCTTTTTCTGTATATGGATATCCAGTTTCCCCGCACCGTTTATTGAGGATACTCTCCTTTCTCCAATGTATATTCTTGGCACCTTTGTCAAAAATGAGTTCACTGTGGATGTATGGATTTTCTTGAGGTTCTCTATTCTGTTCCACTGATATATGTATCTGTTTTTTATGACAATACAGTGCTCTTTTGGTTACTATAGCTCTGTAGTATAATTTGAGAAATTAATATAATGTGATTCCTTCAGATTTGTTCTTTTTGCTCAGGATAGCTTTGGCTATTCTGGGTCTGTTTTGGTTCCAGATAAACTTTAGGATTTTTTTTTCTATTTCTGTGAATAATGTCATTGGTATTTTGATAGGGATTGCATTGGATCTGTAGATTTATTTGGGTAGTATAGACATTTTAACATTATTGATTCTTGCAATCCATTAACATGGATATATCTTTCCATTTTTTGGTGTCCTATTCAATTTTTTGCATCAACGTTGTATAGTTTTCATTGCACAGATATTTCACTTCTTTGGTTAAGCTAATTCCTAGGTATTTAATTTTATTTATAGCTATTGTAAATGGAATTATTTTCTTTATTTCATTTTCAGATTGCTGTTGGCATATAAAAATATGACTGATTTCTGCATGTTGATAGCATATTCTGCAACTTTACTGAATTTGTTTTTCAGCTCTAATTGTTTTTTGTGGAGTCATTAGTTTTTCCAAATATAAGATCATATCATCTGGAAATAAGGATATTTTGACTTCTTCATTTCCAATTTGGATGCCCTTTAGTTCTTTCTTTTGTCTGATTGCTCTAGCTAGGACTTCCAGTAATATGTTGAATATCAGTGGTGATAGTGGGCATCTTTGTCATGTTCCAGATCTTAGAGGAAATGCTTTCCATTTTTCCTCATTCAGTATGATACTAACTTTTGGTCTGTCATAGATGGCTTTTATTATTTTGACATATGTTCCTTCTATCCCCAGTTTTTTGAGGGTTTTTATCATGAAGGTATGTTGAATTTTGTTAAATGCTTTTTCAGCATCCATGGAAATGATCACATGATTTTTGTCCTGTATTCTATTGCTACAATGTATGATATTGATTGATTTGCATATGTTGAACCACCCTTTCATTCCTGGGATAAATCTCAGTTATAATAAATGATCTTTTTAATGTTTTGTTGAACTTTGCTAGTATATTGTTGAGGATTTTTGCATCAATATTCATCAGTCATATTGTTTTATAGTTTTCTTTTTTGATGTGTCATTGTCTAGTTTTGGTATCAGGGTAATACTGGCCTTGTACAATGAGATTGGAAGTATTTTCTTCTCCTCTATTTATTGGAATAGTTGGAGTAGTATTGGTATTAGTTCTTCTTTAAATGTTTGGTAGAACTCAGCAGTGAAGCCATCAGGGTCATTGGCTTTGCTTTGCTGGGAGACTTTTTATTATGGCTTCGAACTCATTACTTTTTTTTCTAATTTTAATTTAATTTTATTTTATTTTAAGCTCTGGGATACATGTGAAGGATGGGAGGTTTGTTACATAGGTAAACATGTGCCCTGGTGGTTTGCTGCACCTATCAACCCATCACCTAGGTATTAAGCCCCACATGTATTAGCTATTTATCCTGATGCTCTTCTTCCCCCCCACCCCCCAACAGGCCCCAGTGCATGTTGTTCCCCTCCCTGTGTCCATGTGGTCTCATTGTCCAGCTCCAACTTATAAGTGAGAACATGTGATGCTTGGTTTTCTGTTCCTGTGTTAGTTTGCTGAAGATAATGGCTTCCAGCTCTATCCATGTCCCTGCAAATAACATAATCTTGTTCCTTTTTATGCCTGCATAGTATTCAATGGTGTATATATACCACATTTTCTTTATCCAGTCTATCACTGATGGGCATTTGGGTTGATTCCATGTCTTTGCTATTGTGAATAGTGCTGCAATTAACACATGCCTGCATGTATGTTTATAATAGAATGATTTATATTCCTTTGGGTATATACCCAGTAACAGGATTGCTGGGTCAAATGGTATTTCTGGTTTCTAGGTCTTTGAGGAATTGCCATACTATCTTCCACAATGGTTGAACTAATTTACATTCCCACCAACAGTGTGAAAGTGTTCCTATTTCTGCACAGCCTCACCAGTATCTGTTGTTTCTTGACTTTTTAATAGTCACCATTCTGACTGGCATAAGATGGTATCTTATTGTGGTTTTGATTTGCATTTCTCTAATGATCAGTGCTATTGAGCTTTTTTTCATGTCTCTTGGCCATGTGAGTGTCTTCTTTTAAGAAGTGTCCATGTTCTTTGCCCACTTTTTAACGGGATTTTCTGTTTCTTATAAATTTGTTTAAGTTCCTTGTAGACTCTGGATATTAGACCTTTGTCAGATGGAGAGATTGCAAAAAATTTCTCCCATTCTGTAGGTTGTCTCTTCACTCTGATGATAGTTTATTTTGCTGTGCAGAAGCTCTTTAGTTTAATTAGATCACACTTGTCAATTTTTACTTTTGTTGCCATTGCTTTTGATGTCTTTGTCATTAAATCTTTGCCTGTGTCCAAGTCCTGAATGGTATTGCTTAGGTTGTCTTCCAGGTTTTATATAGTTTTGGGTTTTACATTTAAGTCTTTAGTCCATCTTCAGCATATTTTGTATATGGTGTAAGGAAGGGGTCCAGTTTCTATCTTCTGCACATGGCTAGCCAGTTATCTCAGCACCATTTATTGAATAAGGATTCCTTTCTTCATTGCTTGTTTTTGTCAAGTTTGTTGAAGATCAGATGGTTGTAGATGTGTGGTCTTATTTCTGAGATCTCTATTCTGTTCCATTGGTCTATGTGTCTGTTTTTGTACCAGTACCATGCTGCTTTGGTTACTGTAGCCTTGTAGTATAGTTTGAAGTTGGGTGGCATGATGTGATGCCTCCAGCTTTGCTCTTTTTGCTTAGGATTGTCATGGCTATACGGGCTCTTTTTTGGTTCCATACGAATTTTAAAGTAGTTTTTTCTACTTTTGTGAAGAATGTCAATGGTAGTGTAATGGTAATAGCGTGGAATCTATAAATTACTTTGGGCAGTGTGGCCATTTTCATGATATTGATTCTTTCTATCCATGAGCATGGAATGTTTTTTCATGTTTGTGTCCTTTCTGATTTTTTTGAGCAGTGGTTTGTATTTCTCCTTGAAGAGGTCCTTCACTTCCCATGTTAGCTGTATTCCTAGGTATTCTATTCTCTGTAGTAATTGTAAATGGGAGTTCATTTATGATTTGTTTCTCCCCTTGTCTATTGTTTGTGTATAGGAATGCTTGTCATTCTTGCACATTGGTTTTGTATTCTGAGTGTATTAGTCCTTTCTCATGCTGCTATAAGGACATACCCGAGACTGGGTAGTTTATAAAGCAAGGAGGTTTAGTGGACTCAATAGTTTCACATGGCTAAGGAGGCCTCACAATCATGGCGGAAGGTGAAGGGGGAGCAAAGGCACATCTGACATGGCAGCATGCCAGAGCACATGTTCAGGGGAACTGCCCTATATAAAACCAACAGGCTTTTTGAGACTTATTCACTATCATGAGAACAGCATGGTAAAAACCCACTCCCATGATTCAATTATGTCCCACCAGGTCCCTCCCACCACATATGGTGATTATGGGAGCTACAATTCAAGATGAGATTTGCGTGGGGACACAACCAAACCATATCATTCCACCCTTGGCCCCTTCCAAATCTCATGTTCTCACATTTTGAAACCAATAATGCCTTCCTAACAGTCCCCCAAAGTCTTAACTCATTCCAACATTAACTTAAAATTCACAGTCCAAAGTCTCATCTGAGACAAGACAAGTCCCTTCCACCTATGAGCCTGTAAAATCAGAAGCAAGTTAGTTACTTCCTAGATACAATGGGTGTGCAGGCATTGGGCAAATACACCCCTTCCAAATGGGAGAAATTGGCCAAAACAAAGGGGCTGCAGGCTCTATGGAAGTCCAAAATCCAATCAGGCTGTCATTAAACCTTAAAGTTCCAATGTGATCTCCTTTGACCCCATGTCTCACATCCAGGTCACACTGATGCAAGCAGTGGGATCCCACGGCCTTGGGCAGCTCCATCCCTGTGGCTTGGAAGCATATAGCCCCCTCCCAGCTGCTTTCACCGATTAGCTTTGAGTTTCTGTGGCATTTCCGGGAACATGGTGCAAGCTGTCGGCAGATCTACCATTCTGGGTTCTGGAGTACAGTGGCCCTCTTCTCACAGCTCCACTAGGCAGTGCCCCAGTGGAGATTCTGTGTGGGGACTTCCACCCCATATTTGCCTTCCACAGTTCTCTAGCAGAGGTTCTCCATGAGGGCCCCACCCCGGCAGCAAACTTCTGCCTGGACATCCAGGCATTTCCATACCACCACTGAAATCTAGGCAGAGGTTCCCAAACCTCAATCCTTGAACTTCTGTGTACCCACAAGCTCAACAACACATGGAAGCTGCCAAGGTTTTGGGCTTGAACCCTCTGAAGCCATGGCCCAAGCTGTACTTTAGCCATGGCTAGAGAGGCTGGGATGCAGGTCTCCAAGTCCCTAGGCTGCACATAACAGAGGGGCCCTGGACCTGACCTAAGAAACCATTTTTCCCTTCTAGGCCTCCAGGCCTTTGATGGGAGGCTCTGCCATGAAGGTCTCTGACATGGCCTGGAGATGTTTTCCCCATTGTCTTGGTGATTAACATTCAGCTCCTTGTTATTTATGCAAATTTCTGCAGGAGGCTTGAGTTTCTCCCCAGAAAATGGGTTTTTCTTGGCAGGCTGCAAGTTTTTCAAACTTTTATGCTCTTCTTCCTTTTGAATGCTTTGCAGATTAGAAATTTCTTCTGCCAGATACCCTAAGTTATCTCTCTCAAGTTCAAAGTTCCACAGATCTCTAGGGCAGGAGCCAAATGCCACCCATCTCTTTGCTAAATCATAACAACAGTCACTTTCCCTCCAGTTCCCAACAAATTCCTCATCTCCATCTAAGACCACCTCAGTCTGGATCTTATTGTCCATATCACTATCAGCATTTTGGTCAAAGCCATTGAACAAGTCTCTAGGAAGTTCCAAACTTTCCCACATCTTACTACCTTCTTATGAGCACTCCAAACTGTTCCAACCTCTACTTACTAAGCAGTACAAAAGTTGCTTCCACATTTTCAGGTATCTTAATAGCAGTACTCCACTCTACTGGTACCATTTGACTGTATTAGTCCATTTTCCTACTGCTATGAAGAAATACCTGATGGCCGGGTATGGTTGCTCATGCCTGTAATCCTGGCACTGTAGGAGGCCAAGGTGGGCAGATCACCTGAGGTCAGGAGTTCAAGACCAGTCTGGCCAACATGGTGAAACCCAGTCTCTACTAAAAATATAAAAATTAGCTGGAGGTGGTGGTGGGTGCCTATAGTCCCAGCTACTCAGGAGGCTGAGGCATGAGAATTGCTTGAACCCAGGAGGCTGAGGTTGCATTGAGCCAAGATCATACCACTGCACTCCAGCCTGGGCAACAAGAGCGAAACTCCATCTCAGAAAAAAAAAAAAGAAATACCTGAGACTGGGTAATTTATAAAGGAAAAAGGTTTAATGGACTCACAGTTCCCCATGGCTGGGAAGGCCTCACAATCATAGTGGAAGGCAAAGGAGGAGTAAAGGCACGTCTTACATGGCAGCAGGCAAGAGCACATGTGTAGTGGACCTGCCCTTTATAAAACCATCAGATCCCTTGAGACTTATCCACTATTATAACAACAGCATGGGAAAAACCTGCCCCCATGATTCAATTACTTCCAACTGGGTCCCTCCCACATGGGGATTATGAGAGCTACATTCAAGATGTGGTTTGGGTGGGGACACAGCCAAACCATATCACTAAGACTTTGCTGAAGTTGCTTATTAGCTTAAGAAGCTTTGGGGCTGAGACGATGGGGTTTTCTAGATATAGAATCATGTCATTTGCAAACAGACAGTTTGGCTTCCTCTCTTCCTATTTGAATACCCTGTATTTCTTTCTCTTGACCGATTGCCCTGGCCAGAACTTCCAATACGATATTGAGTAGGAGTGATGAGAGAGGACATCCTCGTCTTGTGCCAGTTTTCAAATGGAATGCTTCCAGCTTTCATGAATTGCTCTTATTATATTGATGTATATCCTTTCAATACCTAGTTTATTGAGAGTTTTTAACATGAAGGGATGTTTAATTTTATTGAAGGCCTTTTCTGCATCTATTGAGATAATCAATGTGGTTTTTGTCTTTAGTTCTGTCTATGTGATCAGTTATGTTTATTGATTTGCTTATGTTGAACCAGCCTTGCATCCAAGGAATGAAGCTGACTTGATTGTGGTGAATAAGCTTTTTGATGTGCTGTTGGATTTGGTTTGCCAGTATTTTACTGAGGATTTTTGCATTGCTGTTCATGAGAGATATTGGCCTGAAGTTTTCTTTTTTTATTGTATCTCTGCCAGGTTTTGGTATCAAGATGATGCTGGCCTCATAAAATGAGTTATGGAGAAGTCCCTCCTTTTCAATTGTTTAGAATAGTTTCAGAAGAAATGGTACCAGCTCCACTTTGTACCTTTGGTAGAATTCAGCTCTAAATCCATCTTGTCCTGGGCTTTTATTTATTACTACCTCAATTTCAGAACTTGTTATTGGTCTATTCAGGGATTCAACTCCTTCCTGGTTCAGTCTTGGGAGGGTGTATGTGTCCAGGATTTTATCCATTTTGTCTAGATTTTTTAGTTTATTTGCATAGAGGTGTTTATATTAAATAGTATTCTCTGATGGTTTTTTGTATTTCTGTGGAGTCAGTGGTGATATCTTTATCATTTTTGTTGTGTTTATTTGATTCTTCTCTCTCATTAGTCTAGCTAGAGGTCTATCTATTTTATTATTTTTTTGAAGAAACCAGCCTCTGGATTCATTGATTGTTTGAACAGTTTTTTGTGTCTCTATCTCCTTCAGTTCACTCTGATCTTGGTTATTTTTTGTCTTCTGCTAGCTTTGAAGTTTGTTTGCTCTTGGTTCTCTAGTTCTTTTAGTTGTGATGCTATGGTGCTGATTGGAGACTTTTTTTTTTTTTTGAGATGTAGTCCTGCTCTGTCACCCAGGCTGGAGTCCAGTGGCATGGACTCAGCTCACTGCAACCTCTGCCTCCTGGGTTCAAGTGATTCTCATGCCTCAGCCTCCCGAATAGGGGGGACTACAAGCACATGCCACCACACCCGGCTAAGTTTTGTATTTTTTTGTAGGGACCGAGTTTCACCATGTTAGCCAGGCTGGTCTCAAACCCCTGACCTCAAGTGATCCATCCACTTCAGCCTCCCAAATTGCTGGGATTACAGGCATGAGCCACTGTGCCTGGCTTTCTAGCTTTTTCATATGGGCATATAGTGCTATAAATTTCCCTTTTAACACTGCTTTAGCTGCGTTCCAGAGATTCTGATATGTTATCTGTTTGTTCTCGTTGGTTTCAAAGAACTTTTTGATTTCTGCCTTAATTTCTTTATTTACCCAGTAGTCATTCAGGAGCAGGTTGTTCAATTTCCATGTAGTTGTGTGACTTTGAGTGAGTTTCTTAATCTTGAGTTCTAATTTGATTGTGCTGTGGTCTGAGCGACTGTTTGTTATGATATCAGTCCTTTTGCATTTGCTGAGGAATTTTTTACTTTCATTTATGTGATCAATTTTAGAGTAAACGCCATGTGGCACAGGGAAGAATGTATATTCTGTTGTGTTTTGGTGGAGAGTTCTGTAGATATGTATCAGGTCCACTTGGTGAGCTGAGTTCAAGTCCTGAAAATTTTTGTTAATTTTCTGTCTCGATGGTCTGTATAATATTGACAATGGGGTGTTAAAGTCTCCCACTATTATTGTGTGGGAGTGTAAGTCTCTTTGTAGGTCTCTAAGAACTTGTTTTACGAATCTGGGTGCTTCTGTATTGGGTGTATATATATTTACAATAGTTAACTCTTCTTGTTGAATTGATCCCTTTACCATTATGTAATGTCCCTCTTTGTCTTTTTTTATCTTTGTCGTTTTAAAGTCTGTTTTGTCAGAAACTAGGATTGTCACTCCTGTCTTTTCTGCTTTCCATTGGCTGGGTAAATTTTCCTCCATCCCTTTATTTTGAGCCTATGTGTGTCTTTGCACGTGAGATGGGTCTCTTGAATACAGCAAAGCAATGGGTCTTGACTACCCAGCTTACCATTCTGTGTCTTTTAATTTGGGCATTAGTCCATTTACATTTAAGGTTAATATTGTTATGTGTGAATTTGGTCCTTTCATCATGATGCTAGCTGGTTATTTTGCAGACTTGTTGATGTAGTTGCTTCATAGTGTCATTGGTCTTTGTAATTCAGTGTGTTTTTGCAGTGGCTGGTATTGATTTTTCCTTTTCATATTTAGTGCTTCATTCAGGAGTTCTTGCAAGGCAGGTCTGGTGGTGATGAATTCCCTAAGCATTTTCTTGTCTGAAAAGGACTTTATTTCTTCTTCACTTATGAAGCTTAGTTTGATCAGATATGAAATTCTGGGTTGGAAATTCTTTTCTTTAAGAATGTTGAATATTAGCTCCCAATCTCTTCTGGCTTGTAGGGTTTCTGCTGAGAGATCCACTCTTAGTCTGATGGACTTCTCTTTGTAGGTGACATGGCCTTTCTCTCTGACTGCCCTTAACATTTGTTTTCATTTTGAACTTGGACAATCTGATGATTATGTGTCTTGGGGTTGATCTTCTCATGGAGTATCTTATTGGGTTTCTCTGGGTTTCCTGAGTTTGAATGTTTGCCTGTCTTGTTAGGTTGTGGAAGTTCTCCTGGATGATATTCTGTAGTATGTTTTCCAACTTATTTCCGTTCTGTCTCTGTCTCTTTCAGGTACCCCAATTAGTCGTAAGTTCAGTCTTTTTACATAATCCCATAGTTCTCAGAGGTTTTGTTCATTCCTTGTTATTCTGTTTCTTCTAATCTTGCCTGCCTGTCTTATTTCAGCAAGATAGTCTTCAAGCTCTGAAATTCTTTCTTCTACTTGGTCTATTCAGTTACTGATACTTGTGGTTGCATTATGAAGTTCTTATGTTGTGTTTTCAGCTCTATCAAGTTATTTGTGTTCCTCTTTAAACTGGTTATTCTGGTTAACAGCTCTTATAATGTTTTATCATCGTTCTTAGCATCTTTGCTTTGGGTTAGGACATCCTTTTTTAGCTCCGATTTTGTTTATTTGTGCGTTCTCTCTTTTTCTGAGTTATTCTAACTAAAGGTTTGTCAGTTTCATTTATCTTTTCAAATAGCCAGGTTTTGGTTTTGTTGATCTTTTGTTATTGTTTTCTTTATTTCAGTTTCATTTGTTTCTGCTCTGATCTTTCTTATTTCTTTTCTTCTACTAATTTTGGGTTTGGTTTGCTCTTCTCTAGTTCATTAAGATGCATCATTAGGTTGTTTATTTGAAGTTGTTCTTCTTTTTTGATGTACACACTTATAGCTATAAACTTCCCTCTTAGCACTGCTTTGGCTATATCTCATTGGTTTTTATATGTTGTATTTCCATAATCATTTGTTTTCACTCTATATTTGAATTTTTTCTTAATTTATTCATTGACCATTGGTCATTCAGGAGCATGTTGTTTAATTTCCATGTGTTTGTATAGTTTCCAAAATTATTCTTATTTATTTCTAGTTTTATTCCATTGTGGTGGAGAAGATGCTTGATATAATTTCAATTTTTGAATGTTTTAAGACTTGTTTTGTGACCTAACATATGGTCTCTTTGAGAATGATATTCATGTGCTGAAGAAAAGAATATATATTCTGCAGCCATTGGATGAAATGTTCTGTAAATATCTGTTAGAGCCATTTGGTCTATTGTGCAGAATAAATCAGATGTTTCTTTGTTCGTTTTTTGTTTGGGAGATATGTCCAATGCTGAAAGTGATTTGTTGAAGTCTCTAGATTTTATTGTATTGGAGTCTATTTCTTTCCTTAGCTGTAATAATATTTGCTTTATATATCTGGGTGCTCCAGTATTGAGTGCATATATATTTAAAATTGGTATATCCTCTTGTTGAATTAACCCTTTATCATTTTATACTGACTTTCTTATAGGTGAAGTATGTTTCTTGTAGGTCATAGATCATTGGGCCTTTTTAAAAATTTATTCAACCACTCCTTATCTTCTGACTGGAGAGATTAGTCCATTTACAGTCAATGTTATTATCAATAAGTAGGAACTTACTCTACCATTTTGTTACTTCTCTGCTGGTTGTTTTGTGGCCTTCTCTTTCTTCCTTCTTTCCTTCCTGTCTTGCTTTTGGTGAAGGTAATTTTCTTAGGTGGTGTTATTTAATTCCTTTCTTTTTATTTTTTGTGTATCAATTATATGTTACTTGATTTGAGGTTACCACGAGGCTTTTTAAGCTGACAACAACATAGCATTGTTTCCATAAACAAACAAGCAAGCAAAATGTAAACTAATAAACACTCTACCCCTTAACTTCATCCTCCCGCTTTTTAACTTTTTGTTGTTTCTATTTATATCTTATTGTATTGTGTCTTGAAAAGTTGTTGTAGTTATTATCTTTGATTGGCTCATTGTTTAGCCTTTCTACTTAAGAGTAGTTTACACACCACAGTTATGGTGTTATAATATTCTAGTTTTTCAGTATACTTACTATTACCAGTGAGTTTTGTACCTTCAAGTGATTATTTATTGCTCATTAATGTCCTTTTCTTTCTGATTGAAGTACTCCATTTAGCATTTCTTGTATACAGGTCTGGTATTGATGAAATCTCTTAGCTTTTGTTTGTGTGGGAAAGTCTTTATTTCTCCTTCATGTTTGAAGGCAATTTTCACGGGATATACTATTTTAGGGTAAAAGTTATTTTCTGTCATCACTTTAAATATTTCATGCCACTCTCTCCTGGCCTGTAAGGTTTCTACCGAAAAGTCTGCTGCAAGATGTAATGGAGCTTTATTGTGTGTTGTTTCTTTTCTCTTGCTGCTTTTCGGATCCTTCTTTATCCCTGACCTTTGGAAGTTTGATGACTAAATGCTTTGAGGTATTCTTTTGGTAAAATCTGTTGGGTGTTCTATAACCTTCTCGTACTTGGATGGTGATATCTTTCTCTGTTTGGGGCAGTTCTCTGTTATTATCTCTGAATAAACTTTCTACCTCACCTCTTTCTCTACCTTCTCTTTAAGGTCAATTACTCTTAGATTTCCCCTTTTGAGACTATTTTCTAGATTTTATAGGCATGCATCATTCTTTTCTATTTTTTTCTTTTGTCTACTCTTACTGTGTATTTTCAAATAACCTGTCTTCATTCTTACTAATTCTTTCTTCTGCTTGATCAATTCTGCTATTAAAAGACTGATGCATTCTTCAGTGTGTCCATTGCATTTTTCAACTCCAGAATTTCTGCTTGATTTTTAATTATTTCAATCTCTTTGTTAATCTTATCTGATAGAGTGCTGAATTTCTTCTTTGTGTTATCTTTGAATTTCCTCAAAACAGCTATTTTGAACTCTCTGTCTGAATGTTCACATATCTGTTTCTCCAGGATTGGCCCCTGGTGCCTAATTTAGTTTGCTTGGTAATTTCATGTTTCTCCTGGATGGATTTTAAGCTTGTGGACATTCATCCGTGTCTACTAATTGAAGAATTAAGTGTGTATTGTAATCTTCGTAGTCTGCGTTTATTTGTACCCATCCTTCTTGGGAAAGCTTTCCAGGTATTTAAAAGGACTTGCATGTTGTGATCCATGCTGTATCTGCATCAGGGGGCTCCCCAAACCCAGTAATGCTGTGACTCTTGTAGTCTTATAGAGGTACCACCTTGCTGGTCTTGGATAAGAATCCACAGAAATTATCTGCATTACCAGACAGAGAGACTCTTGTTTTCTTCCCTTACTTTCTTCCAAACAAATGGAGTCTCTCTCTTTCTGTGCTGAGCTGCCTGGAGCTTGGGATGAGGTGACACAAGTACCTCTGTGGCCACCACCACTGGGACTCCACTGGGTCAGACCTGAAGCCAGCACAGCACTGGGTCTCACCCAAGGTCCCCTGTAATACTGCCTGGCTACTGCCTGTGTTTTCTTAAGGTCGCAGAGCTCTACAGTCAACAGGTGGCAAATCGAGTGACAATTTTGTTCTTCCCTTCAGGGCAGCAAGTTTCTCTAGGTCCCAGGCAGCTCTTGAGATGCCATCCAGGCCAGGAACTAGAGTCAAAAATCCTAGAAATCTACCTGGTGTTCTATTATATTGCAGCTGAGCTGGCACTCAAATCAGGCGACACAGTTCTTCTTCCCACTCTTCCACTCTATTCTTTTCACAGGCAGAAGAGACTCACTCCATGGCTTCCACCAGCACAGGCCCACAGGGAGTTCTGCCAGGCTACTGCCAATGTTCACTTGAAGCCCAAGGGCTCTTCAATCAGCTTGTGGCAAATGCTGCCAGGCCTGGGACTCATTCTTCATGGAAGTCAGCCTCCCTTTGGCCCAGGGCAGGTCCAGAAATGCCATCCAAGAGCCAGGGCTTAGAATCGGAGACCCCAAGAGCCCAGTTGGTTCTCTACACCCCTGTGGCTGAGTTGGTACCTAAAGTGCAAAATTCCCTTTACTTTTCCCTCTGTTTTTCTCAAGCAGGAGTCTCTCACTATAGCCACTACAATTGAGAATGTGCTGGGTCTCACCCAAAGCCAGCACATCTCAGAGTCTTACCCAAGGCCCACAGTGTACTACCTGAGTATCACTACTGGTTATTCAGGGCCCAAGTGCTCTTTAGTCAGCAGATGATGGGTCCTTCCAGGACCAGGTCCTTCCCTTGAAGGCAACGGGTACCCTTCTGTTTCAGAATGTGTCTAGAAATGTTGTTCAGGAGCTAGGGCCTGGAACTGGGGTGCTAAGACTCTGACCAGTGCCCTATTCTGCTTTGGCTGAGCAGGGAGCCAAGATGCAAGACCAAGTCTTCTTTACTCTTCCCTCTCCTCTCCTGAAGAGGAAGGAAGGGGTCTCTTTTGGAGCCATGAGCTGTGCAGCCTGGGATTTGGGTAGTGGTGGTGCAAGCACTCCCTTCACTGCCCTGGCTTGTGTATGTTACATGCCCTCCAAGCCCACTAGCTCTAAGCCCAGCTCAGCATACATACTCACCTAGGAGTTGCAGTTCTTGTGTCCTAGACCGCCTTTCAAATTTACTTAGAGCCCAGAGCACTTTAGCAGATGATGGCAAAGCTTGCCAGAACTCACATTCCAACTGCTGGGAAATGGGATTCCCTTCTAGTTAGGGCTGCTCTACATGCGTTCTCCATGGGTAAGTGTCAGCTGCATTCAGTGCAGTTTTGCTTTCCACTGGGACAAGGCAGCACTGAGTTTAATGCAGTCTCACAATTGCTTCATTCTCCTTCTCCTAAGCACAGAGATTCTCTCTCCATGCCACACAGCCACTGCTG
Organism: Homo sapiens; assembly: GCF_000001405.40. Lineage (NCBI taxonomy): Eukaryota > Metazoa > Chordata > Mammalia > Primates > Hominidae > Homo > Homo sapiens. Next base: position 74,856,812 of record NC_000023.11, on the reverse strand, counting down.
GGGGAATGGGGGAGGGGTCATGTCAGTGGTTCAAGACTGTCTTTCCTACCCTGTTTAGTGCCTCTTTCAGAAATATTAAGTTAAAACAGGTACTGTGGGGGCTCACCTGATTTTCAGCTCTTATGAAGGTGCTTTTTTGTGTGTAGATAGTTGTCAGTTTTGGTGTTCCTGTGGGATAGGAGAGATGATCAGTAGAGCCTTCTATTCAGCCATCTTGCTCTGCCCTCTCCCCTCCATTATAATCTTATGTGGCCACTGTTGTATATGTGGTCTATTGTTCACTGAAACATTACGCAGTGCATTACTGTATTCTTTTCGTCCTTTTTCTCTCTCCTCCGCTTCTGGGCATATCATCATGTGTATGTTGGGGCACTAGATGGTTCCCACAGTTCTCTTAGGCTCTCTTTGTTTTTCTTCATTGTCTGTGTTCCTTAGACTGGTTAATCTCAATCAATATATCTTCAAGTTCACTGATGCTTTCTTCTACCTGCTGAAATGTGCAGTCATCTTGCTCTTCTAGTGAATTTTTCATATGATTTATACTTTTGAGTCTAGAATGTCTACTTTGTCTTTACAACTTATGTGTCTTTATTCATAGTCTGTATTTGGTGAGACATTGTTTTCCTACTTTAGTTCTTTAGACATGGTTTCTTTCAGTTTATGAACATATTTATAATAACTGGTTTAAAGTGTTTGTCTAGTAAGTTCAATATTTGGGCTTCCTCAGGAACAGTTTCTATTGATTGCTTTTTTTCTGTGTTTGGGCCATACTTTCTTGTTTTTTGCATGTTTCATAATGGTGTTTTGTTGAAAACTAGATATTTTGAATAATACAATGTAGCATATCTGCAAATCAGATTCTTTTCCTATCTCCCCAGGTCTTTTTGTTGCTCCTGTAGTTTGTTTAGTGACTTTCCTGAACTAATTCTGTAAAGTCTGTATTCTTTTGTCATATGTGTCCACTGAAATCTTTGCTTGGTTAGGTTAGTGGTCAGCTAATGAATGAACAGAGATTTCTTTAAGCACCTGGAACCAATAAATCTCCCAGTCTTTGTGAAGGGACTCTGTGTGCATGTTGGAAGTATGCCTTCAATGCTCAGGCAGGTAGTTGACAGCTTTGCCTTAGCCTTCACTTCCCACTTGCTTAGAACCTCAGGGTCAGTCACAGGTGGGAGCTTAGGCCTTTTTCAGGTATTTCCTGTGCATGCACCCAGCCTCGAGCAACAACACAGCCCTACACATGCATGTGGCCATGGAGAATTCCAGGAATATGTGAGTTTTTCAAATCGCCCCATAGAAATTTCATTCCTCAGCTTTAAGCTATTTGGTTAACCTATTGTTGGCCCCATCTATTATGCATTGCCTCAGACAGCCATGATAATACACAATTGCCACTGATTGTTTTCAGCAAATGCCACTGGAGGGATAGGGATCCAGTTTCCTTCTTCTACATATGAATATCCATTTTTCCCAGCAACATGTATTGAAGAGAGTATTTTTCCCCAATGTACGTTCTTTGTGCCTTCATAGAAATCAGTTGACTGTAAATATGGGCTTTGTTTCTGGGTTCTCTGTTCTATTTCATTTATCTGTGTGTCTGTTTTTATACCAATATCATGCTGTTTTGGGTACTACAGCTTTGTAATATATTTTGAAGTCAGATAGTGTGATGCCTCCAGTTCTGTACCTTTTGCTCAGAATTCTTTTGGCTACTTGGACTACTTTGAGTTCCATATAAATTTTAGGGTTTTTTTTCCATTTCTGTGAAAAATGACATTGATATTTTGATAGGGACTGAAATTATTTTTTACATTGCTTTGTGCAGTATGGTCATTGGAAAAATATTAATTTTTCTGATCCATGAGTATGGGATGTATTTTTATTTGTTTGTTTTCTGTTTCATTTCTTTCATCAGTGTTTTGTAGTTTTCTTTAAAAGAGGTCATTTATCTCCTTGGTTAAATATAATACTAGGTATTTTATTTTTGTAACTCTTTTTTATAACTATTGTAAATGGGATTGCCTTCTTGATTTCTTCTCAGCTAGTTGATTATTTATGTGTAGAAATACTACTGATTTGTGTGTGTTGATTTTGTGTTCTGTAACTTTACTAAGAGTTTTTGGTGAAGTCTTTAGGTTTTTCTAGATACAAGATCATGTTGTCTGCAGAGGTGGATAGTTTGACTTCCTCTTTTCCAATGTGAATGCCTTTTATTTCTTTCTCTTGCCTGATTGCTTTGGCTAGGTACAGAAAGACCTAGCCAAGTGGTGAGTGGTGAAAGTGGGCATCCTTTTCTTGCTCCAGTTCTCAGAGGAAAGGCTTCCAGCTTTTCCCCATATCATTACCTGTGCTCTTTATTATGTTTACATACGGTCTTTAGTATGTTGAGTTATGTTCCTTCTATGCCCAGTTTCTGAGTGCTGTTATCATAAAGGGCTGTTGAATTTTATCAAATATTTTTCCTGTGCCTATTGAGATTATCATATTATTGTTGTCCGTCATTCTGTTGATTTGATGTATTGTGTTTATTGTTTTGTATATGTTGAACCATCCTTGCATCCCTGGGATAGATCCCATTTGATCATGGTGTATTATCTTTTTCATGTGCTGTTGGATTTGATTTGCTAGTATGTAGTTAAGGAGTTTTGCATCTATATTCATCAGGGATATTGGCCTGTAGTTTTTGTTGTTGTTGTATACTTGTCTAGTTTTGGTATTAGGGCAATGGTGCCTCATGGAATGAATTAGGGAGAAATCCATTTGCTTCAATTTTTTTGAATAGTTTGAGGAGAAGTGATGTTAGTTCTTTTTAAATTTGGTAGAATTCAACAGTGAAGCCATCTGGTCCTGGGCTTTTCTTTGTTGAGAGACTTTATTAGTGATTAAATCTCATTATTCGTTATTAGTCTGTTAAGGTTTTCTACTTCTTCCTGATTCAATCTTGGTAAGTTGTATGGGTCCAGGAATTTATTTTTTTCCTCTAGGTCTTCCAGTTTGTTAATGTATAGTTGTTCTTAATAGGCTCTGATGATCTTTTATATTTCTGTGCTATCAGTTGTAATATCTCCTTTTCTATTTGTGATTTTGAGTCTTCTCTCTCTTTTTTTGGTTAGCTTAACTAGTAATACAGGAGTTATTAAGAAATTATTTTTAGGCAGCTAGAAAGGGTGAAAACTCCCAGTGTAATTTTTCTTTAATAAAAAGCAGTCCCCAAACCATTTCTTCTCTAACAGGAAGCAGCCTGAGAAGTCAGGCATAGATATGCAAACTAGGAGCTTTTATATGTAAATGATGGCAGCTGTACCTGGAAGCCAGGTACATTCAATGTGGCATCTCCCATCCTCTTTTGCTTGTCACTATGTTAATGGGTATCATGGCAGCCTCCAGGTAAAACCGTGTGTACAGGCATCATGGCCTCCACCAGGTGGAGGCCGCATTTGCATAATAAAAGACTAGGGTCAGAGGGCCAGTCTTTTTGCAAGCTATGTAAATGGCACACCTGGTAAACCCAATCCCCTGAGCCCTATGTAAATCAATCACTGCCTCCTCAAGCCTCTGTACAAAACCGATTATGTTTTGCCACAAACTAGAGACCCTCTTTTGGGCGACCCACTTTTTCAGCATGAGGAAGCTTTTTTTCTCTTTCTTCTTTTTCTATTAAACTTTCCGCTCCTAAATCCACTCCTTGTGTGTGTCCATGTCTTGAATTCTTTCTCAACTGTGACAAAGAACCAGGGTATATACCCCAGAAAATGGAGCCATTTCACTAGCAGTTTATCAATTTTATCTTTTTTTGAAAAAAAACTTTTCATTTTGTTGATGCTTTGTAAATTTTTTAGTCTCTATTTAATTTAGTTCTGCTCTGATCTTTATTATTTCCTTCCTCCTACTAATTTTGGGTTTGATTTGTTCTTGCTTTTCTAGTACTTGGGGTGCATCATTAGACTATTTATTTGAAATCTCTCTGCTTTTTTGATCTAGATGCTTATTGCTATAAACTTCCCTCTTAGCAGTGCTTTTGTGTGTCCTGTAAGTTTTGGTGTCTTGCGTTTCCATTTTCATTTGTTTCAGGAAATTTTTAAAACATTTTTTCCTTAACTTTTTCTTTAATCCAGTGGTCATTCAGGAGCATGTTGTTTAATTTCCATGTGTTTGTAGTTTCCAAAGTTCCTCTTATTATTGATTTAGAGTTTCAGACCATTGTGATCTTGATATGATTTTGATTTTTTAAAAACTGTTGAGATTTGTTGTGTGGCCTATATCTTGGAGAATGTTCCATGTGCTGATGAGAATAATGTGTATTCTGTAGCTGTTGGATGAAATGTTCTGTAAATGTCTGTTAGGTCCATTTGGTCTAAAGTGCCGTTTAAATCCAATGTTTCTTTATTAATTTTCTGTTTAGATGATCTGTCTTATGCTGTGAGCGGAGTGTTGAAGTTCCCAACTATTATTGTATTGGAGTCTATCTCTCCCTTTAGATCTAAAAATATTTGCTTTACATATCTGGGTGGCCTGGTGTTGGGTGCATATGTATTTGGAATTGTTATATTCTCTTGCTGAATTGATCTCTGTATCATTATATATTGACCTTCTTTGTTTCTTTTTATTGTTTTCAAGTTAAAGTATCTTTTGTCTTATTTAAACATAGCTACCCTTGCTCATTTTTTTATTTCAATTTGCATGGAATATCTTTTTTTCATCCCTTTACTTTCAATCTATATGTGTCTTTACAGGTGAAATGAGTTCTTATAGGGATTCTATACATAGGTCATTTTTTTTTAAATCCATTCAGCCCATCTATATCTTTTAAGTGGAATGCCTCATTTGTTTACATTCAAGATTATTATTAATATGTGAGGGCTTATTCCTATCATTTTACTTGGTTTCTTGTTGTTTGTATATCTTTTGTGTCTTTCTTTCTGTCTTATTGTTTATTCATTATGGTTTGGTGGTTTTCCGTAGTCATAACATTTGAGTCCTTTTTTGTCCTTGTTTGTCTGTTTGCTCTACCAGTGGTTTTATACTTTTGTGTCTTTTTGTGATAGTAGATAGTGTCCTTTTGCTTCCAGGTGTAGGACTACCTTAAACATTTCTTGTAGGATTGGTCTTATGCTGATGAATTCCCTCAGCTTTGGCTTGTCTGGGAAAGACTTTATCTTTTGTTTATGAATGTTAACTTTGCTGGGTATAGTATCCTTGGCTGGCAGTTATTTTTTTTTTTTCCTTTAAGCACTTTGAAGATGTCATCCCATTCTCTTCTGGCCTGTTAAGTTTCTGCTGAGAAACCAACTGTTAGTCTGTTAGGGGTTCCCTTATAAGTGGCTAGATGCTTTTCTCTTGCTGTTTTTAAAATTATCTCTTTGTCTTTGACTTTTGGCAATTTGACTATAATACACAGTGGATAAGACCTTTTTAGACGATATGTATTTGGAGATCTCTGAGCTTCCTGTGTCTGGATGTCTAAATCTCCTGCTAGACTTGAGATGTTTTCAGCTATTATTTTGTTCAATAGGTTTTCTACCCCCTTTGTTCTTCTATTCACCTTTTGGAACACTGAAGGTCAAGTATTTGGTCAATTTGTGGTCTCCTTTATGTCATGTAGGTTTTGTTCATTTTTAAAAATTATTTCTTTAAAAAAAATTTGACTGACTGGGTGATTTCAAAAGACCTGTCGTCAAGTCCTGAAATTTTTTCTTCTGCTTGATCTAGTCTATTGTTGAAGCTTTAGAATGTATTTTTTTTTCATTCAGTGAATTCTTCAGTTCCAGGATTTCTGTTTGTTTCTTTTTTTAATAATATCTCTTTGATAAATTTCTCATTAATATACTGAATTGTTTTTCTGATTTTTTTGTGCTGTTTATGAGGTTCTCTTGTCTCTCACTGAGGTTTTTAATATCAACACTTTTAATAATTTTTCTAGGATTTCATAAATCTCTTTTTTTGGGGATCTTTTGCTGGAGAATAATTATTTTTATTTGGAGGTGTCATATTTCCTTGCTTTTTCATGTTTCTTGTGTCCCTCCATTGATATCTGCACATCTGGTGTGCCAGTTGCTTCTTCCAAAATTTTGGATTTTCTTTCATACGGGAGGACTTTTCCTGAAGATGTATCTGTTGTGTTGGCTGGGTAGGGCACCTTGGCTTTGATTCTGGGTACGTGCAATAGTGTATTCTCTATATGATTTCTTCAGTTGTAAACAGCTTCAGTAGTGTTTGTGATTTCCTCAGTAGCTTAGGGTGTGGTTGTTAGTGAAGGCTGTGGTGAAGCTTTGCTGGGCACTGGGATGCCAGGTAGGAATGTCATCAGGCCCACTGTGGTAATGGTAGGCCTAGCATACCTGTCATTGGGCCTCAGGGCAACATAGGCTGGCAACAATGTTAGTTGGTCCTGGCAGGCCAATGGTTGCACCTCCATGTGGCTCAGGTGCCAGAAGTGGTAGTGGTGGTCCTCGGGTCCCTGGGCAGTGGGCTTGGAAAGAGTGATGGCAGTAGCAGTGGCAGAACAACTCTTTGGCCCCAAAATGGTTTGTGCTGGTGTTAGCAGTGGCTGTGGAAGGCTGGGTGGGCCAGTCTCAGGTCTGCAAGTCACACATGCAGGTGAGTGTCAGCTGCTGTAGTTGTGGCAGGTTGGGTGGGTCTGTCCTCAGGCCCCTGGGAGAAGTGCTCAAGTGCTAATGGTGGTAGATGAGACAGTGAAATCCCCAGGCCTCCAGGTGGCATGCTCAGACACTGGGAGTGGGACAGAGCTGGACCAGGTCATCCTTTCCTCAATCCTCAGTCATATGTGTGGGCACTGGCTGTGTTGGCAGAGCCAGGGTGATTCCAAAGTTTCTAGTGGAATGCTTGGATGGGAACAGCAGTGACTGTGCTGTGGCTCTACTGTTGGAGCGTGCAAGGTTGCTTTCATTGGTAGCAGTAATAGGCAGGAAGCTGTGGAGCACATGCCTTGGTCTCAGGTGGTAGCTGTAGGCAGGGTAGCCTGTCCTCAGAGTCACTACCAGTAGCTCACACTTCAGCCCTGGCAGCATCAGCCAGCAGTGGCAGTGACTGCAGATGGAGAAATCTGTCTTCAGGGAGTGGGAAAATGCACCCTATAGCAGGGTCACGCCAACGGCTTATGGTTCTGCTCTGGATGCACCAGACAGCAGTGGTGGTGGCTACAGATGGATGATGTGAATTCAGCTCCAGGGATGTGGAGATGCAAGGCCTGCTGGGCTCCAGTGCAGGATGCAGCCTGGTGGGGCCTGGCCTTTCAAAATGGAGACATGCTGCAGCTTCTTAGGAGTTGGAGGGTGTGTGGGTCTCAGTGTGATCTCCCTCTCTGGAGCATGCCATCATGCAGTCTCCAGGCAGATCCCTATGTTAGTCTCAGGACCCAAGAGGGTGGATGGGCTCTTTGAAGGCTGAGATTGCAGGAGTCTGCAGTGGGAATGTGGACTGCTGAGGGTTTCTCACATACCCTTTTCCTGCACTGGAGAGCCTCTCTGGGCTCCCACCCAATCTGGCTGAGCAGAGTGCCTTTCTTCCCTCTCCTTCCTTGCCTTAGGTGTTTCCTGTCTCTTCTCTGTTGAATTCTAGTGTTGTCTTTTGGATGATCAATTCAAAGTGTGATTCTAATACTATTTTGGTTCCTCTTTCTGGAGGAGGCAAGTACCGGATGCTTCCAGTCAGCCACCTTGAACAGACATACTGGAAGACCAAGTTGTACCATCTTTATAGGCAGATGTGGCTGAAGAGATGAAATTTATGCCCTCTCTCCATCAGTTTGGGCTGCTATAACAAATCACCACAGACTGGCTGGCTTAGAAACAACAGAAATTTATTTTTCACAATTCTGGAGGCTGGCAAGTCCAAGATCAAGAAATCAGTAGATTCGGTGTCTGGTGAGGGCTCACTTCCTGGTTCACAGACTATGCCTTCTTGCTGTTTCTTCATGTGGTGGAAGAAATGAGAGAACTCTCTGGGGTCTCTTTTATGAAGGCACTAATCTCATTCATGAGTGGTCCACTCTCATGTCCTAATCACCTCCCAAAGGACCCCACCTTCAAATACCATCACATTGGGGATTAGATTTCAGCATATTTATTTTGGAGGGACACAAACTGCTCTTTTAATATTCATTTTTTTTACCAAGACCTACTTATTAATTTCTCAGCTATTTTGATCTTTATAGGATATTCTAATAAGTGTTTTTATGTTTTAAGTATTAATCATTGTAGTGGGCTGAATAGTGGCCCTCTAAAAGGTCTGTCAATGTCCTAATCCCTGGAACCTGTGAATGTTACCTTATTTGGACAAAGTGCCTTTGCAGAGCCTCCAGAGGAGGGTACAGACCTACTGACACTTTGATTTTACAGTCTGGCCTCTCTAACTATGAGAGAATAAATTACTGTTGTTTTATGCCACTGACTTTGTTGTAATTTATTACAGCAGCCATAGAAAACTAATACAATTATTAATGTGTTTTAAATCCATGGTGTTTTGAGAATACAATTCAAATACAGGTTCAATATTAACCATCTGGCTTCCTTGCCAGCTAGCTTGAAATTCATTTGTTTATCATGGAGGAGTAGGTCATTTGTGTTAATTACTAGCTCAACTAGTAGTTTTGCTAAAAGTAATTTTCATTTTTTAAATAAACAAGGACACATTTTTTGACCAAGGAGAAAAATCAAGCATAGAGAATAATCATAACCTTTGAATACTATTCAACAGGAGGGATTTTTTTGTCTATGGGAATACAGAAGAAAATTGGTAAACAAGCAGTCTAGACCAGACATAAGCTGTATGTCAGTGATTATAAGGCAAGTAAATAATTGTGCCTTAGAATTGATCAATTCAGTTAGAAGAAGGGGGAGGAGTCAGCCAAGCCTCTAACTAGATGGTCTGACCATTTACTTGACTAAAGAGTCATTTGATGAGATGAGTGAGATGAATATTTATGCTCAGCAAGTGTCTGACATAGTATGTACTCAAAATTTAATTTAATATTATTATTATTACTATCATTAATTAACTCACAGCCTTGAGTTGACATGGATACTTTTTAAAAATAATGAAGAAGGTGTTAAAGACTGCATGCTGCCACTTGAAAATGTCCTTGCCAACAGGCCCTTATAATTGAGGTAGAGAGACAACATATGTGGGCTGCGATTACAAAGTAATAAATATTTGCTTTAAAAAATCAGTAGTTACATATGAAAATTCATGCTGTCCCTTTCCAAATTGGCTACTTTAGGAAACTTACATTATTTTCACAAAACCGATGTTACTTAAAAGTGTTTTTGAGATCATCTCCAGACCCTCCAGTATGTTGCTTAGAACCTACTTTGAAATGACAGTCCTTTTTCCTTTGAGGGTGGAGCAGCTATGTCATTTGGAACTAAGTTCACATTTTCTAGGTTAACGTCTTTAAAGTAGAATGCTTATATGTATGCATGTACTTGAGTTTGTCTTCTTTTGGGGAGAAACTATATTTATTTTGTTATCAAGGAATCCACTTCTATGACTCGTGAAGCCCAGGCTGAGTTAACAGTGATGAGTTCTAGAGGGACCTACTTCCCAGTCTGAATTTTCTGGTTTCAATTCATCTTCTCTCTTAACCTGAACTGAAAACCCAGACTTATGAAGCCTCAATCCTTGCCCTCTTATTCCTGGAAAATTGCAAAGCCAAATATGTAGGAGGCTTTTTCAGAAGAGAAAATGACTTTGTGTTTTCAGAAAACAAACCCTTCACTTTGCTTTATGAGGCAGATAGCAGCCCCAAACCATGTACAGGTTGGGTCCTGCACAGATCTTAATTGGTTTCTTTTCTAAAGATGAATTTATGTCATTACTTAATGGGCACACCCCATATATCATCAGCATTAAAATGGGACATTTTGAATATTCTAGTTCCATCCCCTTCACCCAGCATGGGATCCTTGCCTCCAACAGTTCTGAGGAAAAGAGCTTATTACTTTATAAGACACACTAGTACATTGTTTGAATCAGTTATACTGTTAGAAAAACCTATTATAGTTAAATGATACAAGATATGGGTATGTGCCCAATATAGCACATAGAACATAGTAAAATACATGATAGATATTTATAACCTGCTCATGTAGCCCTAAAATGTGCTTCCTTCAAACTCTATCTTCTGGAGCAACAAAGGTTAATTCTTAATTCTTCTTCTATATGACAAAGCTTCAATCGTTTAAAAATATATTTACCTAATGTGTCCTTGAAACATCTCCCCTCCAGGCCAAGCACCCTCAAGTTCTTCTGTCATTCTCATATGTCAGGATTTCTAGACAGGATACACTTGAAACAGGTAATAATACTAAATAATATATGATAAGGGAGAAATAAGTGGTATTGAGAGCTAGTTAAATAGTCCATAGACAGGATATCCATAGGCTAGAGTGGTCTTGAGAAGGTTTAGTGGTGGGAGTGGAATTTATGCAAGGCCTTAAAATTCAAGTAGAATTTGGAAGGACTGAGAACAGACTAGAATAGATCTCCTAAGTGAGGTAAAGGGCCTTTTAATTTAGTCCAGTACAGTGATAGGTGTTTTTATTATTTGTTCTATCTTCCTGGAGATGAAGGTTTTAAAACAAACCCTAAACAAAAAGGAGGAGATAAAATTAAAGATGGTTTCACTCTTTAAAGCTGGGCCCTTCGGCAAGTAGCTGTACTAGTTGAGGGTGGCTGGGAGAAGAACCAGTGGTTTCTGACAAAGTAGAGCCTTTAGCATTGGGAAAGAAGATATTAATTACAATGGATGCTAATAGTTTCTATTTGAAAATTATTGTAGTGGTTTTTCTGAAAACACAATAAGTAAGCATTAGGTGGGTAACTAAATCACTGCTGATAAAGAATCTTCTTTACTACTAGTGTGGGAAGACAGTTGCATAAGGAAATGTGCTTGGTGCCTCCATTTCTGTTATACCTTTCTCAGGAGCTGATAATTGGAAATGTTTTAAGAGAGGTTATAATTAGGGCTTGGGGGCTTCATGTATAGTTTTTTTTTTAATTCTCTTGGATTTTTATGTTTATTTTCAAGGCAAATAAGTTGTGGCTCACTTGTAGGAGGAAAGACTCAACTTTTGTCAGTGTTCAAAAAAAGTTGCCATTATACATTGTCCACTTAAATTATTGAATTATATCACAAATAGGTTTGTATATTAGAGTAGCACTATGTATACTGAGAGCAGTAGAGCTTGCTTCACTTGTTATTATTTGACTAGCCATATAAACCCATGTACTTAGCATCTACACTCTCCCTTTCTTTCTTTCTCACTGTCTCCTTTGCACCCTCCCGTAAATATACCTTGAGTTCTTGAACTATATCTATTGTATACCAACATGTTTGAATCTTTTGGTTGGGGTTTCTAACCCCCACCCCAAACAAAGACATAGAATATGAGTTATTTGAACAATGAGAATTTGTTTTTTTGGAAACAGCACCTTTATTTTTGTTTATTTTTGATCCATGTGTATCCTCAGAGTAGACTATTTTCTAAAAAGGGTAAACAACACACAGTATAACAGTGGCAGTGCAAGGTGTGTGGGGTATTTTTTATTCCACAGGGGAGACTATGATGGAGTCATCTTTATTTAAGATGGCTTCTAATACTCTATGTCACTCCTGCCACTCAGCATGTATTACTGAGTCATGCACCTAGTAGATACTCAAATAAGGTCTAATTCAGGGCTTCTGTTTCCTGGAGCCTAGGAGCACCTAATAGTTAAGAAGTGATATATGTACATAATCATTAATTCTCTTTACCAATAGCTTCCCTGGTTGGGTTTGTTTAGTAACATTATTTATTTAGCTAAACCCATTGCTCTATATGTGAACACTAATCAATCAGGGCAAGCCCTAGCCCAGTTAAAAAATCCATGTCTAGTTAGTTTTGTTGAAAAAAATGGTGTTGGATGTATTAATAGATATAATTAAGGGAGTATCCTAGTTCTCTCATGTTTGTATTGCTTCTCACCTTGTACATAGGAGGCTCTCTGAAAATGCTTGTTGAATTATTGAGCTGGATTGCAGGACTTAAGTATCACAATTATTAGCATTACCTCTTCCAAAATGTTTTGCAGTTATGGTACAGTTAAAGCCAAAAGTATAGAGACGATTTGTTATTATGGTTTAGATGAGTAACAGAGGCTCCTTAGCTCACTTAAAGAGAAATCAGGCAAGTCACCTGTGGACTAGAAATCTCCTCAGTCTCTCCTCTCTAGCCCCCCTGTATTAGGTGTTCATGAGGCTCGCCAGGGGAGTTGAGGAGGTTTACTGCAAACAACTGTTCTTTTTTCTTTTGGGGTAAATGGTGGTGCAAGGAGTAAGGGGACCTGGAAGATGGAGAAAGTGTTGAAAACCCAAAGCACAACCCATTAGTTTTGAGAGTATAATGATTAATCATCATTTAAAATCCCAGGTTGGCTGGGAAACATATTTCAGAATATCATCCATGAAAATTTCCCCAACCTTGCTAGAGAGGCCAACAGTGAAATTCAGGAAATACAGAGAACTCCTGCAAGATTCTACACAAGAAGATCATCCCCAAGACACACAATCATCAGATTTTCCAAGGTCAAAATGAAAGAAAGAATGTTAAAGGCAGCTAGAGAGAATGGGCAGGTCACCTACAAAGGGGTTATCAGTCTAACAGCAGACCTCTCAGCTGAAGCCCTACAAGCCAGAAGAGACTGGGAGCCTATATTTAATATTCTTAAAGAAAAAAATCTTCAACCAAGAATTTCATATCCAGCTAAACTAAGCTTCCTAAGTGAAGGAGAAATAAGATCCTTTTCAGATAAGCAAATGTTGAGGGGATTCATTAACACCAGACCTGCCTTACAAGAGATCTTGAAAGAAGCACTAAATATCGAAAGGAAAGGCTGCTACTGGCTAATACAAAAACACACTTAAACACACAGACCAGTGTCATTGTAAAGCAACCACATAAACAAGCCAACATCATAACCAGCTAACAGCACAATGACAGGATCAAATCCACACATATCAATACTAACCTTGAATGCAAATGGGCTAAATGCCCAACTTAAAAGGCAGAGAGTGGCAAGCTGGATTAAAAAAGCAAGACCCGGCTGGGCACGGTGGCTCACGCCTGTAATCCCAGCACTTTGGGAGGCTGAGGCAGGCGGATCACGAGGTCAGGAGATCAACACCATCCTCCCTAACATGGTGAAACCCTGTCTCTACTAAAAATACAAAAAATTAGCTGTGCGTGTTGGCAGGCGCCTGTAGTCCCAGCTACTCGGGAGGCTGAGGCAGGAGGATGATGTGAACCTGGGAGGTGGAGGTTGCAGTAAGCCGAGATCACACCACTGCACTCCAGCCTGGGGAACAGAGCAAGACTCCATCTCAAACAAACAAAAAAAAAAAGCAAGACCCAATAGTATGCTATCTTCAAGAGACCCATCTCACACATAATGACACTTACAGGCTCAAAATAAAGGGATGCATGAAAATCTACCAAGCAAATGGAAAACAGAGCAAAAACAAGGGTTGCAATCCTAATTTCAGACAAAACAGATTTCAAACGAAGAAAGATCAAAAAAGCCTAAGAGCATTACATAATGGTAAAGGTTTCAATTCAACGAGAAAATCTAACCATCCTAAGTATATATGCACCCAACACAGGAGCACCCATATTCATAAAGCAAGTTCTTAGAAACATAAAAAGAGACTTAGATTCCCACACAATAATAGTGGGAGACTTCAACACTCCACTGACAGTATTAGACAGATCATCAAGGCAGAAAATTAACAAAGGTATTCAGGACCTAAACTCAACATTGGACCAAATGGATCTGATAGACCATGACAGAACTCTCCACCCGCAAACAACAGAATGTACATTATTCTCATTGCCACGTGGCACATACTCTAAAACTGACCACATAATTAGACATAAAACAATCGTCAGCAACTGCAAAAGATCCACATTCATACCAAACACACTCTCAGGACCACAGCACAATAAAAATAGAAATAAAAACTATGAAAATTGCTCAAAACCATACAATTACATGGAAATTAAACAGCATGCTCCTGAATGACTTTTGGGTAAATAATGAAATTAAGACAGAAGTCAAGAAGTTCTTTGAAAAGAATGAGAATCAAGATACAACATGCCAGAATCTCTGGGACACAGCTAGGGCAATGTTAAGAGGGAAACTAATAGCACTAAATGCCCACGTCAAAAAGTTAGAAAGATCTCAAATTAACAACCTAACATCGCAACTGAAAGAATTAGAGAAGTAAGAACAAATCAACTCCAAAGCTCGCAGAAGACAAGAAATAAAAAAAATCAGAACTGAACTGAAGGAAATTGAGACATGAAAAATCAAAAGATCAGTGAATCCAGAAGTTTGTTTCTTGGAAAAATTAATAAGATAGATAGGCCTCTAGCTAGACTAATAAAGAAGAAAATAAGATACAAATAAACACAATTAGAAATGATGAAGGGGATGTTACTACTGACCCCACAGAAATAAAAACAACCATCAGAAACTACTATGAACACCTCTGTGCACACAAACTAGAAAACCTAGAAGAGATGGATAAATTTCTGGACACATACTCTCTCCCAAGACTGAGCCAGAAAGAACTTGATTCCCTGAATAGACCAATAACAAGCTCCAAAATTGAATCAGTAACAAATAGCCTACCAACCAAAAAAATCCCAGAACCTGATAGATTCACAATAGAATTCAACCAGATTACAAAGAAGAGCTGGTACTATTCTCACAGAAACTATTCCAAAAAGTTGAGGAGGAAGATCTCCTCCCCAACTCATCCTGTGAGGCCAGCATCATCTTGATTTCAAAACCTGGCGGAGACACAACAGCAAAAGAAAACTTCAGGTCAATATCCTTGATGAACATTGATACAAAAATTCTCAACAACAGACTTGCAAACCGAATCCAGCAGCACGTCAAAAGCTAATTCACCATGATCAACCAGGCTTCATCACCATGATGCAAGGCTGGTTCAACATAAGCAAATCAAAAAAATGTGATTCATCACATAAACAGAACTAAAAACAAAACCCACATGATTATCTCAATAGATGCACAAAAAGCCTTTGATAAAATTCAACATCCGTTTATGTTAAAAACTCTCAATAAACTAGGTATTGAAGGAACATACCTCAAAATAATAAGAGCCATCTATGACAGTCCCACAGCCAACAACATGCGGAATGGGGAAAAGCTGGAAGCATACCCCTTGAAAACCAGCACAAGACAAGGATGGCTTCTCTCACCACTTCTATTCAGCATAGTAAGGGGAAGTCCTAGACAGAGCCATCAGGCAAGAGAAAGAAATAAAAGGCATCCACATAGAAAGAGAGGAAGTCAAACTATCTCTGTTTGCAGACGACATGATTCTACATCAAGAAAACCCCATAGTCTTGGCCCAAAACCTCCTTCAGCTGATAAACAACTTCAACAAAGTTTCAGGATACAAAATCAATGTACAAGAATCACTAGCATTCCTATAAACCAACAACAGCCAGACCGAGAGCCAAATCAGAAAGACAAATTCATTCACAATTGCCACAAAAGAATAAAATACCTAGGAATACAGCTATCCAGGGAGGTGAAATATCTCTACAATGAGAATTACAAAACACTGCAAAAAAAATCAGAGAGGACACAAATAAAGGGAAAAACATCCCATGCTCAGCTGGGAAGAATCAATGTCATTAAAATTATCATACTGCCCAAAGCAACTTACAGATTCAATTCTATTCCTATCAAACTACCAATGACATTCTTCACAGAATTAGAAAAAACTATTTTAAAATTCATATGGAACCAAAATAGAGCCTGAATATCCAAGACAATACTAAGCAAGAAGAACAAACCTGGAGGTATCACATTATCTGACTTCAAACTATACTACAGGGCTACAGTAACCAAAACAGCATGATACTGGTACAAAACAGGCACATAGAACAGTGGAACAGAATAGAAAGCCCAGAAGTGAGGCCTTTCACCTACAACCATCTGATCTTGGACAAACCTGACAAAAACAAGCAATTGGGAAAAGACTTCCTATTCAATAAATAGTGACGAGATAACTGGCTAGCCATATACAGAAGATTGAAACTGGACACCTTCCTTACACCATATACAAAACTAACAAGATGGATTAAAGACTTAAATGTAAAACCCAAAACTATAAAAACCCTGGAAGACAACCTAGGCAATACCATCCTAGACATAGGAATGGCCAAAGATTTCATAACAAAGACACCAAAGGCAATTCCAACAAATGCAAAAATTGACAAGTGGGATCTAATTAAACTTAAGGGCTTCTGCACCACAAAAGAAACTATCAACAGAGTAAAGAAACAACCTGCAGCTGAGCATCCCAGCGGAGCATGGGATGTTTTTCCCTTTATTTGTGTCCTCTCTGATTTTTTTGCAACCTACAGAATGGGAGAACATATTTGCAAACCATGCATCTGACAAAGGTCTCATAATCAGCATCTATAGGGAACTTACACAAATTTACAAGAGAAAAACAACCCCACTTAAAAGTGGGCAAAGGATATGAACAGACAGTTCTCAAAAGAAGACATACATGCAGCCAACAAGCATATGAAAAATAGCTCAAAATCACTGATCATTAGAGATATGCAAATCAAAACCACAATGAGATGCCGTCTCACCCCAGACAGAATGGCTATTATTAAAAAGTCAATAAATACTGGATGTTGGCGAGGTTGTGGAGAAAAGGAAACACTTATACACTATTGGTGAGTGTGTAAATTAGTTCAACTATTGTGGAAAGCAGTATGGTGATTCCTCAAAGAGCTGAAAGCAGAACTGCCATTCAATCCAGTGATCCCATGACTGGGTATATACCCAGAGGAATATAAATCATCCTACCATAAAGACACAGGCATCTGAATGTTCATTGCAGCACTATTCACAATAGTGAAGATATGGAATAAGTCTAAATGTCCATCAATGACAGATTGGATAACGAAAATGTGATACACATACACCATAGAATACCATGCAGAAATAAAAAGAACAAGATCATGTCTTTTGTGGGAACATGGATGGAGCTGGAGGCTATTATTCTTAGCAAACTAACGCAGGAACAGAAAACCAAATACCGCGTGTTCTCACTTGTAAGTGGGAGCTAAATGATAAGAACTTATGAACACAAAGAAGGAAACAACAGACACTGGGGTCTACTTGAGGGTGAAGGGTGGGAGGACAGAGAGGAGCAGAAAAGATAACTATTGGGTACTGGGCTTAATACCTGTGTGATGAAATAATCTGTAAAACAAACTCCCATGTTACAACCTCCTATGTAACAAACCATCACATGTACCCCCAAACCTAAAATAAAAGTTTTTAAAAATCCCAATTTGGGCAATTAAAAATGCTACAGTTGTAGTTAGAAGGCTCTTCTAGTGATACCACCTAAGGAAGAGTATGGGTCTGGGATATTTCTCTCATATCTCTAGGAAAGGACCAAATGTCATTTTTAAGTAGGCATTGAATACCTACAATATGAAAAGTTCTGTGTGGAATGCAGTGATGAACTGGATTCCCACCCTTTTTCCACCTACTGGTTTATAGTGTTTTAGGTAAAGATAAATAAAGGAACAATGGAAGGCAGAATGTATTAACTGTTCTAAGTGGTACAAGGTGCGAGAAGAGGAAAGAGTGATTTGTAATGATTCAGTAAGTGAGATTATCACAAGGTAGGGGATGCATGTTTACTTTTCCAGGGTAATTATTTTTAATGGCAACTGAACTTAGTTCACACTGACAATTGACAGCACTCCTTTGAGAAAAGGATAATAATTTATATCCTAAGTAAGGACTGAGCAGATTACTAGAATTTTACCATAAAACTATAAAGAGGAATTAAAATTGTAGGCTTATACTCACATATTTGCAGGTTTTCATTATATATTTTTCTCATTCTATGTTTTCTTTATACCATAATGATGTACAAGGATGATAATAAATGATGTATAAGAATCATGTTTTCCTTATAACTGGGGATGGTAGGGTGCAGTTTGATGGGGAGAGATCTTCAGTTTCAGCAAGACTGAGTGGTTAAAGCAGAGCCTTAAAAACCAACAATTTAAATAAAAAGAAGGGACCTTGGAGCACAGCAAAAGCTGTGTACACTGCCTGAAGTTTAAAAAGACATCCCTGTATTGTTACCATATGTTGTTAATAGCACTCATTCAAGGAAAAGCCCATTGGCAAACTGGTTGATGAGGCTGGCCAGTTCAAATATAGAGGAAACTTCACAGGGAGCATAATAAAATGGTAATCAAAAGATATTATTGTATGCTTTAAAAACCTGATTTAAAAAATCAAATTTAATGTAAATTTACCCCACTTTGATTCAGTTGCTTCAAACTAATTTTCTATTTAACTTAATATCTAGTAATATCAGAATTTTTCTTTGGTAAAAAGCTCAATTTAAAATGTTTTTAAATTAAAAGTTGGGGGTTCTAAACCCTTTGCTTTCCCCAAGTTCAGGGTAGTTAGAATTATCACCCAGATTGTTTGGATCAGGTTCGCCCATATACAGGCTTAGCACATTGTACATACACACATACCTACATTAAGTCATGAGGATTTTCTGGATTCAATATTTTATTCTTTTAATAAAAATTTGTAATTGCTCAGATTCCAATTTATTCTGGACTGAAACTAGTTTTTCCTTCAGGTTCAGGGCTTGTAAGTCCAGGGCACTTGCTGTTTGAGGCCTATTTTTATTATTTCCTCCATCCACAATGGGCACTATGTTCTTCTTTTTCACCACTTACTTATAAAAGACACACATGCATGCACACACACATACATAGAAACATACGTATTTATAGACAGGAAACTGCTATGCCGTTTAAATAAGAAATCACTGCGCCTTTCTCATAAGCTCAGTTTTTTTTCCTTTTGATGCCTGATTTATTCTTTCTTATAAGAATCTGAGCTGTTAGTTACATATAACAATTGTCCCCCTTGATGACTACTTTCTGATAGCCTGACCCTTTCATTTTCAGACCTGTATTGCTGTTCTTGTTTTCTTTTACTAACAGTGGTCTCTTCTCTTCAGCTCTTCTCTGGTGTTTGCAGTTCTGCCTTTGTAGATGACAAAGAATCTTGGAAAAAATGCAGAAATGGTAGGAATAAAGAGGAGCAGGACAAGATAGTGAAGAGATTCTTATTCTGCTATTCATTACTCTTCTGTTGGAGGGGCTGAATTGTAAAATGTGACAAAAGCAGGGAACAGGAAAATTATAATGATACGGTCTTCTGTTAGGAGGTAATATTTACTTATTGGGTAACCAAAATGAGTATCTGGTTAGTGTAAGGAAGATGAGAAAGACAGTCCTTATGTTTGCTGGTATATAAAACTATTGGGAGGGGCAGAACAAGATGGCAGAATACAAACCTGCAACGTTAGTACTCCCCACAGGAACACCAAATTTTAACAACTATCTGCACACAGAAAGCACTGTCACAAAAAAACAAAAATCAGGTGAGCAATCACAGTACCGGACTTTATATTGTTGAAAGAGGTATTGAGGAGGGTCAGAGAGACAGTCTTGAATCACCAGATCCACCCCTCCCCTATCCCCCAGCAGCAGCCATGCAGCACAGAGTGTCTGTGCACTTTCAGGAGGGAGAGTGAAGTGACTGGGGACATTATATTGATTTCAGTGCTACACTGTCACAGTGGAGAAAAAAGCCATGCTGGGCTCAGTCAGCACCTGTGCACAGAGGGGGCATTTGCAGCAGCCCTAGCCAGAGAGGGATCAATCATCCATCCCATCAGTCAGAACTCCACTCTCTCAGCAAGCCTCACCACCACAGGCAAAAGAGCTCTGGGGTCCTAGGTAAACTTGAAAGGCAGTCTAGGACACAGTGACTGCAATTTCCAGGTGGCCCTTAGTGCTGGGCTAGGCTCAGAGCCAGAGGACTAGGGTGGCACGTGACCTAGGGAGACACCAGCCAGGGCAGCTAAAGGAGTGCTTGCCCCATGCCTCCCCCCAACCCCAGGCAATGCAGTTCACAGCAACGAAATTGTCTCCTTCCTTCTGCTTAAGGGGAGGAAAACAAAGATGAAAGAGGACTTCGTCTTGCATCTTGGATACCAGCTAAGCCACAATAGGGTAGGGTACCAGGCAGAGTCGTGAGGCCCTTATTCCAGGGCCTAGGTCCTGGACAACATTTCTAGCTATACCTTGGTCCAAAAGAGAAACTGCTGCCTTGAGGGAAGGACTCACTCCTGGCAGGATTCATCACCTGCTAACTAAAGAGCTCTTGGGACCTGAATAACCAGCACCAATACCCTAGTAGTATGCTGTGGGCTTTGGGTTCTAAGACGTTCTGACCACAGATGTGATCCAGCACATTCCCAGCTGTGTTGTCTACAGTAAACAACTCCTTCTGTATGAGAAAAGCAGACAGAAAAGTAAAGGGGACTTCGTCTTGCACCTTAGGTACCAACTTGACCAAAGTGGGGTAGAGCAACAAGCAGGCTCTTGGGTTCCCTGAGTCTAGGCCTAGGCTCCTGGATGGCATTTCTGGACCTGCCCTGGGTCAGACCATAGCCCTGAAGGGTGAGTCACAGGCCTGGCAGTATTCAGCACAAGCTAACTGAAGAGGCCTTAGGCTTTAAGGGAACATTGGCAGTGGCCAGGCAGAAGCCCGCCCTCCTCCTTCCCCCACCATGGGCAAGTGGTGGTGATGGTGACAGGGAGAGGCCTCTCTGCCTGTGGAAAGAAGAAGAAAGAGTGGGAAAGACTGCATGTCATGGTTTTAGCACCAGCTTAGCCACTTATCTATTTAGTAGGATA
The DNA here is from genome assembly GCF_000001405.40 of Homo sapiens. NCBI lineage: Eukaryota > Metazoa > Chordata > Mammalia > Primates > Hominidae > Homo > Homo sapiens. The sequence continues at coordinate 74,835,945 of NC_000023.11, read as the reverse complement.
GAACATCAGGCTAATTTCTGATGTTTTTTTAACTCCAATCCCTGGCACCCAGACAACATCTCCTGACCAGCTTGTGGCATGGAGGAACTTGTCACCCTGAAGGGAAGGACACCAAACAGTCTGACTTTGCCACCTGCTGGTTGTAGAGCCCAAGGACTTGAGTAAATGTGGGTGGTAGCCAGGTAGTGGTTTCAGCAGACCTTGGGTAAGATCCAGTGTTGTGCTGGCTTCAGGTATGAACAAGTGCAGTCTCAGGGATGGTGGCCACAGGAGTGCTTCCATCACCATACCCCCACCTCCAGACAGCTCAGCTCAGAGACAGAGACTGTTTGTGAGAAAGTAGGGACAAAAAAAAACAAGAGTTCCTTTCTGGTCATCCAGAAAATTCTTCCAGATTTTATTTAAGACCACCAAGGTGGTACCTCTTATGAGTCTGCAAAAACCACAGAAATATTGGGCTTGGGGTCCAGTCTCTTAAAATACTTGTAAAGCCTCCTCAAGAAAGGCAGAAGCAAATAAGCCCAGACTGTGAAGACTACAATAAATACCTAACTCATCAATGTTCAGACACCGGTGAACATCTACAAGCAGCAAGATCATCCAGGAAAACATGAGCTCATCAAACGAACTAAATAAGGCACCAGGACCTATCCTAAAGAAACAGCGATATGTGACCTTTCAGACAGAATTCAGAATAGCTGTTTTGAGGAAACTTAAAGAAATTCAAGGTAACACAGGGAAGGAATTCAGAATTCTGTCAGATAAACTTAACAAAGAGATTAAAATAATTAAAAAGAATCAAGCAGAAATTCTAGAGTTGAAAATGAAATTGACGTACTGAAGAATGAATGCATCAGAGTCTCTTAGCAGAACTGATCGAGCACAAGAAAGAATTAGTGAGCTTGAAGACAGACTATTTGACAATACACAGTAGACGAAAGAAAAAAGAATGAAAAACAATGAAGCACACCTACAATATCTAGAAAACAGCCTCAACAGGGCAAATCTAAGAGCTATTGCATTTAGATGGGGGATAGAGAAACAGATAGAGGTAGAAATTTTATTCAGGGGGATAATATCAAAGAACTTCCCAAACCTACGGAAATATATCAGCATTCAGGTACAAGGTTATAGAACACTAAGCAGCTTTAACCCAAAGAAGACTACCTCAAGGCATCTAATAATCAAACCTCCTAAAGGTCAAGGATAAAGAAAGGATCCTAAAAGCAGCAAGAGAAAAGAAACAACATAACATACTATGGAACTCCAATACCTGTGGCAGCAGTCTTTTCAGTGGAAACCTTACAGGCCAGGAGAGAGTGGCATGACATATTTAAAGGGCTAAAGGAAACATATTTTACCCTAGAAGAGTATTTCTGGTGAAAATATCCTTCAAGCATGAAGCAGAAATAAAGACCTTCCCAGAGAAACAAAAGCTGGGCATTTCAACACCAGACCTGTCCTACAACAAATGCTACAGGGAATTCTTCAATCTGAAATAAAAGGATGTCAATGAGCAAAAAGAAGTTGTCTGAAGGTACAAAACTCACTGGTAATAATAAGTACACAGAAAAACACAGAATATTATAATGATATAATTATGGTATTTTAACTACCCTTATCATAAGTAGAAAGATGAAATGATGAACCAATCAAAAATAATATCTACACTACAACAACTTTTCAAGACATAGACAATACAACAAGACACAAAGAGAAACAACAAAAAGTTAAAAAGTGGAAAGGATGAAGTTTAAGCGTAGAACTTTTATTAGTTTTCTTTTCTTTTCTTTCTTTTTTTTTTTTTTTTTGAGATGGAGTTTCGCTCTTGTTGCCCAGGCTGGAGTGCAATGGTGCAATCTTGGCTCACCGCAACCTCCGCCTCCTGGGTTCAAGCAATTCTCCTGCCTCAGCCTCCCGAGTAGCTGGGATTACAGGCATGCACCACCATGCCTGGCTAATTTTGTATTTTTAGTAGAGATGGGGTTTCTCCATGTCGGTCAGACTCCCGACCTCAGGTGATCTGCCTGCCTCGGCCTCCCAAAGTGCTGGAATTAGTCATGAGCCACCGCACCCAGCCTTATTAGTTTTCTTTTTGTGTGTTTGTTTGTTTACGTAATCAGTGTTAAGTTGTTATCAGTTGAAAACAATGAGTTATAAAATCGTATTTGCAAGCCTCTCAGTAACCTCAAATCAAAAAACATGCAATGGATCACACAAAATAAAAGGCAAACAATTAAATCATACCACCAGAGAAAATCACCTTTACTAAAAGGAAAGGAAGGGAAGTAGGAAGAGAAGACCACAAAACAACTGGAAATCAAGAAACAAATGACAGAAATAAATCACTACTTATGAATAATACCAGTGAATGTAAATGGACTAAACTGTCCAATCAAAAGATATAAAATAGCTGAATGGATGAAAATACAAGACCCCATGATCCATTGCCTACAAGAAACACATTTCAACTATAAAGATATACATGGACTGAAAATAAAGGGATGAAAAAAGATATTTCATGCCAATGGAAACAAAAAAGGAGCAGGAATAGCTATAAACACTCTAAGAAGACACAAAGAACATCATTATATAATGATAAAGGGTTCAATCCAGTGACAGGATAGAACGATTGTAAATATATATGCAACAAACACTGGAACACACATATATAAAGCAAATATTATTAGAGCTAAAGAGAGAGATAGACCTCAATACAGTAATAGCTGGAGACTTCAACACTCTACTTTCAGCATTAGGCAGATGTTCCAGACAATCAACAAAGAAACATGGAACTTAATCTTCTCTATAGAACAAATGGACCTAATAGATATTTACAGAACATTTCATCCAAAGGCTGCAGAATACATATTCTTCTCAGCACATGGATCATTCTCAGGGATAGACCATATGTTAGGTCACAAAACAACTCTTAAAGCATTCAAAAAATTAAAATAATGTCAAGCATCTTCTCTCATACAATGGAATAAAACAAAAAATTAAGAACAAAACGAATTTTGGAAACTATACAAACACATGGAAACTAAACAATGTTCTTCCTAATGACCAGTGAGTCAGTGAAAAAATTAAGAAGGAAATTGGAAATTTTCTTGAAGCCAATGATAATGGAAACACAGCATACAAAAACATGTGGGACACAATGAAAACAGTACTCAGAGGGAAGCTTATAGCTATAAGTGACTACCTCAAAAAAGAAAAAGAACTTCAAATAAACAACCTACCAATGCATCTTAAAGAATTAAAAAAGCAAGAGCAAACCAAACCCAGAATTAGAAGGAAAGAAATAATGATCGGAGCAAAGATAAATGAAAATGAAGAAAACAATACAAAAAATCAATGAAACCAAACCTTGGTTTTTTTTATTTTGTTTTCATTTTGTTTTGTTTTGAGAAGATAAAATTGACAAACTGTAACCCAGACTAACTAATAAAAAAAGAGAGAAAGTCCAAATAAATAAAATCAGAGATGAAAATGGAGACATATAACTGATACCACGGGAATGTAAAGGATCACCAGTGGCTACTATCAGCAACTATATGCTAATAAACTGAAAAATGTAGAAGAAATAAATAAATTTTGAGACACATACAACCTACCATGTTTGAACCAGGAAAAAATTCAAAACCTGAACAGACCAATTACAAGTAATGAGATCAAAACCATAATAAAAGTCTCTTAGTAAAGAAAAGCCCAGGAACTGATGGCTTCACTGGGGAATTATTCCAAGTATTTAAAGAGGAACTAATACCAATCCTACTCAAACTATCTGGAAAAAAAGAGCAGGAGGGAAACTCATTCTGTGAGGGCGGTATTACTCTAATAACCAAAACAAACAAAGACACAACAGAAAAAGAAAACTACAGGCCAATATCTCTGATGAATATTGCTGTAAAAGTCCTCATTAAAATACTAGCAAACTGAATTCAACAATACATTAGTATGATCATTCATTGTGACCAAGTGGGATTTATCCCAGGGATACAAGGATGGTACAGCATACACAAATCAATATGATACATCATATGAATGGAGTGTAGCACAAAAACCGTGTGATCATTTCAGTTGATACTGAAAAAGCATTTGCTAAAATTTGAAATTCCTTCATGATAAAAATTCTCAAAAAACTAGGGATAGAAGGAACATATCTTGATAAAATAAAAGCCATATATGACAGACCACAGCTAGTATTATAATGAATGGGATAAAACTGAAAGTCTTTCCTTCACCCAAAGGATTATAAATCATGCTGCTATAAAGACACATGCACACGTATGTTTATTGCGGCACTATTCACAATAGCAAAGACTTGGAACCAACCCAAATGTCCAACAACGATAGACTGGATTAAGAAAATTTGGCACATATACACCATGGAATACTATGCAGCCATAAAAAATGAAGAGTTCATGTCCTTTGTAGGGACATGGATGAAACTGGAAACCATCATTCTCAGCAAACTATCGCAAGGACAAAAAACCAAACACCGCATGTTCTCACTCATAGGTGGGAATTGAACAATGAGAACACATGGACACAGGAAGGGGGACATCACACTCCGGGGACTGTTGTGGGGTTGGGGGAGGGGGGCGGGATAGCATTAGGAGATATACGTAATGCTAAATGACGAGTTAATGGGTACAGCACACCAACATGGCACATGTATACATATGTAACAAACCTGCACATTGTGCACATGTACCCTAAAACTTAAAGTATAATAATAATTTTAAAAAATGTTCATTATGGGAAATTTGGAAAAATATATAAAAGTTGAAGGCATAAAAAAAAAGAAAGTCTTTCCTTCAAGATTGGAAAAAACAAGGATGCTGACTGTCTCCACTATTATTTAACATACTAGTGGAAGTCCTAGCTAGAGAAAGGTATTAAAGGCATTCAAATTGGAAAGGAAGAAGTCAAAGTATCCTTGTTTGCAGATGATATAATCTTACATTTGAAAAAAAACAACGATGCCACCAAAAAACTATTAGAACTGATAAACAAATTCAGTAAAGTTGGATGATACCAAATCAACATACAAAAATCAGTAGCATTTCTATATACCAAGAGTGAATAATCTGAAAAAGGAATAAAAAAGTAATCTCTTTCATAATAGCCACCAATAAAATCAAATACCTAGGAATTAATTTAACCAAAGAAGTGAAAGATCTCTACAATGAAAAGTACAAAATGCTGATGAAAGAAATTGAAGAGGACACCAAAAAATGGAAAGATATTCCATGTTCATGGATTGGAAGAATCAATATTGTTAAAATGTTTGTAGTACCCAAAGCAATCTGTAGATTCAATGCAATCCTTATCAAAATACCAGTGACATTTTTCACATAATTTTTTTTTAAAACCTAAAGTTTATTTGGAACCACAAAAGTCTCAGAATTGCCAAGGCTATCTGGAGCATAAAGGACAAAACTGAAGGAATCACATTACCTGAGTTCTTCAAGTTATACTATAGAGCTATGGTAACCAAAACAGCAAGGTACTGGCATGAAAACAGACACATTGATCAATGGAACAGAATAGAGAACCCAGAAATAAATCCATACACCTATGATGAGCTCGTGTTCGACAAAGATGCCAAGAACATACAATGGAGAAAGGACTGTCTTTTCAATGAATGGTGCTGGGAAAACTGGATATCCATATGCAGAAGAATGAAACTTGATCCCCATCTCTTGCCATATACTAAAATGAAATCAAAATGGATTAAAGACTTAAATCTTAGACCTCAAACTATGAAACTACTACAAGAAAACATTGGAGAAACTCTCCAGGACATTGGTCTGGGCAAAAATTTCTTGAGTAATACTCCACAAGCATAGGCAACCAAAGCAAAAGTGGACAAATGGGATCATATCAAGTTAAAAAGATTCTGTACAGCAAAGGAAACAATCAACAAAGTGAAGAGACAACTCACGGATTAGGAAAAAATATTTGCAAACTACCCATCTGACAAGGGATCAATAACCAGAATAAGAAGCTCAAACAACTCCATAGGAAAAAAAATCTAATAATCAGATTTAAAAACTGACAGAAGATTTGAACAGACATTTCCAAAAAGAAGAAATATAAATGGCAAACAGGAATATGAAAAGGTGCTCAACATTATTGATCATCAGAGATGATCAAAGGTACAATGAGAAGATATCATCTCACCCCAGTTAAAATGGCTTTTATCCAAAAGACAGGCAATAACAAATGCTGGTAAGAATGTGGAGAAAAGGGAACTCTCCTACACTGTTGTGGGAATGTAAATTAGTGCAAGCACTGTGGAGAACAGTTTGGAGGTTCCTCAAAAAAATGCAAATAGGGCTATGATATGATCCAGCAATTCCACTGCTGGGTATATACCCTAAAGAAAGGAAATCAGTATATCAAAGTGATATCTGCACTCCCACGTTTGTTGCAGCACTGTTCACAATAGCCAAGATTTGGAAGCAACCTAAGTGTCTATCAACAGATGAATGGAGAAAGAAAATATGGTACATATACACCATGAAGTACTATTCAACCATAAAGAAGAATAAGATCCTGCCATTTGCAACAACGTAGATGGAATTGGAGGTCATTTTGTTAAGTGAAATCAACCAAGCACAGAAATACAAACATCACATGTTCTGTCACTTGTTTGTGGGATCTAATAATCAAAACGATTAAACTCATGGACATAATTGCACATTTAAAAATAACTAAGAGTATAATTGGATTGTTTGTAACACAAAGGATAAATGCTTGAGTGGATGGATACCCCATTTACCATTATGTGATTATTATTCATTGCATGCATGTATTAAAATATCTCATGTACCCCATAAACATATGTACCTACTATGTACCCACAAAAATTTTAAAAATTTAAAAACTTGGAATGTGTAGAAGAATGGAGGAAAATTAATTTGTCCTGCTTAGACCTATTATGTATCGCCTTTTCTAGATAACTGTGCAAGGTGTATTCCCAGCATGTGCAGGTGTTGTCGGTCATGAGTGCTTTAGTTTTAGATGCAAAGCAGTAAATGTGGCCCCTAATAAGGTTTGTTGACTGCTGATTCCGTAGCACAAATGAGCAAAGAAGAGATTAGATAAGGGAAGATTTCAGAGGCTGTAGTGAAAATGAAATTTTCTTTGCTTTTTTAAGGCTAGGATGACAAAACCTCAAAGTAACACTGCTTTCAAGCAGTGACTTGTTGCCCTGAGTGATTTCAACTTAATTTGTTGTTTCACGGTTGCCTGGTAGGCAAGAAGACCACTAAAACCAGAAGCTATCATAGGCTATTTTATCAATAAGATACAGCATATTCCTATTGCTTAAAGTCTGCTATTTTTGAGAAGGCATCCTATGCCAAGAAGCAAGGGACTGACCTGAGATTGCACAGCAAGTTGGTAACATTCATTTTATGACAACACCAACCTAGACTTCCACTTTTTTCTTATTGAAACCTTGGATAGGTTGATCAATTTTATGGTTAATTATATGATAATAAGCATGAATATTTTAACTTTTACTGGATACCTGTAGCACAGCAATAGAGTTGGAGTCTTTGAAGTGTTGTAGTACTTGGAACTTTATGTAGTGTGTATTCCTACAACTGCTGTATCATGTATTCAAACATAATACTCCAAATACCTTCCACTGCAGTTTAAGCCCTGTTTTCTTTTCCAATTCCCCTTGGAGATTATTCGCTCATCATACTCCCTCCTCTTTTCCTTTTGTCTCTTCCTAAACAAATGAACAGCCTTTCCAATTAAATAATGATTTTTCTCTCTACAAACCCACCCATCCACCTTCTTTCTCTACTCCATGCTGAAAGATGCCAGTAATTTAGACCCATCTTCATCCCTTGTTTCCATTATCTTTGTAGTTTGCTTTCTCTCTTCTTAACTCCTTATTGATGTGGTATGGGGCATGCTATTTTTTCCACTACATAATTAGGAAACTATATGCACCAATTTTATGGGATATCTGTTTTCATCTGGCTCCTGTGCTCTCCACCCATGAAGGCAACAAGACAAAAATATCTTGGGAATCACTTTTCTTTCTCACAGGGATGGGGTGGGTTGGAGAGGGGTCTTTTCTGATTTGTTTCTGCTCTATATCCAGTGGTGTACTAGAATTGGTTTGCATTGGCTTTTGACAACTAATTGTACACATCTCTTCCCAACTTCAAGTTCATGTTTAGTGATTGGTAGCTTGAAATTGACCATGGTGGAATTGTTTAATCCATGGAAATCAGCAAAGCTAACAAATAAGGGCTCCCCACCCATCAGGCTTGTTGTTAAACATTTACCAGCATATTACTGCCTGTTTCAAAATTAGTCTTGATAAGAAAGTCTATCTTAAGTACCTGTCCAGTTGGAATCAACTAGGCAAGAACCTGGGCAATGAAACTAAGGCATCATGGTAGATCAGAGGAATACTATATCTGTTTTGGTTCTATGCTTCTGAGTTCTCAGTCCAAGAATACTTATTTACCCTACCTAGGGGATGAAATGACCCAACAACTGGAATGGAGTTGGGCCCACCTGCTGGAGCTTGACTTTAGCTGTGGGAATTAGAAGGTGGTAGTGAGGTGGAAATCAGGACTGACTGTACCCTTCAGCAGCCAGATTCTCTTGTTACATGTTTCAGGCCTACCTCCCTTGTTGATTTATCAAGCAACTTGCTGGTAGAGGTTGGTGCATCTGACCCTTCACAAGAACTAGATATGAAATATGCAAACTAGTATTTACTTCAGCTTTAGTGCTGACAGGCTTGGGGGTCATTTAGGTTGTCTGAGCCTCAGCTGTTCTTGTCAGTGAAAGGGAAAAGCTAGAGTGGACATTAATTTGCATTTATGTAAAAGTGATTACTTATAATTAGTGGGTAGATAAGTAGAAGCTATAGTCTGTAGTGGCAAAGATGTGACTTAGCTTTCTTGGCAAATAAGTCCCTGTAGGTCAAGGTCTATGTCTTTGACTAATTTTATACTGTACCATATTTGGAGAGGGATTTATTAAGTATATTTCAAGAGGAATTAATCCTCCCAACAATAAATTTAATATTAGAATCATAACACTTCAGAATTGAAAGGAACCCTTAGAAATTCATCTAGTCCAATATCCTTTAGTTTAAAACATGCATGGCTATAAAAGTCAACTCAAAATGGAATAAAGACTTAAATGTAAGCCTGAAACTATAAAATTACTTGAAAAAAACACAGGGGGAAACTACAATACATTGGTCTGGGCAGTAATTTTTTGGATTTGACCCCAAAAGTGCAGACAACAAAAGAAAAAAGGACAAAGGGGATTGTATCAAACTAAAAACTTTCTTCACAGCAAAGGAAACAATTAACAGTGTGAAGAAACAACCTACAGATTGGGAGAAAATATGTGTAAGCCATACATTCGATAAGGGGTTATTATCCAAAATATATAAGGAACTCAGACAACTTAGTAGCCAGGAAACAAATGACCCAATTAAAAAATGGACAAGAAACAATGCATCTGACAAAGGTCTAATGTCCAGAATCTATAAGGAATTTCAACAAATTTACAAGAAGAAAACAAACAACCCCATTAAAAAGTGGGCAAAGTATGTGAACAGACACTTTTCAAAAGAAGACATACATGTGGCCAGCAATCATATGAAAAAAAGCTCAATATCACTGATAGAGAAATGTAAATCAAAACCACAATGAGATGCCATTTCATGCTAGTCAGAATGGCTATTACTAAAAAGCCAAAAAATAACAGATGCTGGCAAAATTTTAGAGAAAAAGGAACACTTATACACTGTTGTTAGGAGTGTAAATTAATTCAATCATTGTAAAAAACAGTGTGGCAATTCCTCAAAGAGCTAAAAACAGAACTACCATTCCAGCCAGCAATCCCATTACTGGGTATATGACCAAAGGAATATAAATTATTCTATTATAAATACACAAGTACACCTATGTTCATTGCAGCATGTTCACAATAGCAAAGACATGGGATCCACCTAAATGCCTATCAGTGGCAGATAGGATAAAGGAAATGTGGTACATATACACTATATGCAGCCATAAAAAAGAACAAGATCATGGCCGGGTGGTGGCTCACACCTGTAATCCCAGCACTTTGGGAGGCCAAGGCTGGTGGATCACGAGGTCAGGTGTTCAAAACCAGCCTGGCCAACATGGCAAAACACCATCTCTACTAAAAATACAAAAATTAGCCAGACATGATGGTGGGCGCCTGTAATCCCAGCTACTCGGGAAGCTGAAGCAGGAGAATCACTTGAACCTGGGAGGTGAAGGTTGCAATGAGCCGAGATCATGCCTTTGCACTTCAGCCTGGGCGACAAGAGCAAGACTCTGTCAAAAAAAAGAACAAGATCATGTACTTTGCAGGAACATGGTTGCTGGAGGCCATTATCCTTACCAAACTAACACAGGAACAGAAAACCAAATACTACTTGTTCTTACTGATAAGTGGCAGCTAAATGATGCAAACACATGGGCACAAAGAGGAACAACAGACACTGAGGACTTCCAGATGGTGGGGGGTGGGAGGAGGGAGAGGATCAGGAGAAATAACTAATGGGTACTAGGTTCAATACCTGGGTGATGAAATAAACTGTACAACGCAACCCCATGACACGAGTTTACCTATTTAATAAACCTGCACATGTATCTCTGAACTTAAAGTAAAAGTTTTTTTAAATGGGCAAGGGACCTGAATAGGCAATTCTCAAAAGGACTTGTAAAAATGGCCAACAGAAAAGATATGAAAAAATGCTCAATATTGCTAATTGTTAGGGAAAGCCAAATTAAAACCACAGTGAAATATAACCTCATATTCATCAAAATAGCTATTATCCAAAAGATGAAAGTTAACAAGTATTGGTGAGGATGTGAAGAAAAGAGAACCCTTGTATACTGTTGATAGGAATGTAAATTAGTACAGCCATTATGGAAAACTGAATAGGGATTCCTTAAAAAACTAGGCCGGGCTCGGGGGCTTATACCTGTAATCCCAGCACTTTGGGAGGCCGAGGTGGGCGGATCACGACGTCAGGAGATAGAGACCATCCTGGCTAACACGGTGAAACTCTGTCTGTACTAAAAATAAAAAAAATTAGCTGGGCGTGGTGGCGGGTGCCTGTAGCCCCAGCTGCTGGGGAGGCTGAGGCAGGAGAATGGCGTGAATCCGGGAGGCGGAGCTTTCTATGAGCCAAGATCGCACCACTGCACTCCAGCCTGGGCGACAGAGTGAGACTCTGTCTCAAAAAAAAAAAAAACTAAAAGCAGAATTACCATATGATCCATCAATCCCACTTCTGGGTATTTACCCAAAATATTTGAAGACAGTTTGTCAAAGAAATGTCTGCACTCCCATGTTCATTGCCAAGTTATAGAATCAGCCTAAGTGTCCATCAAGGAATAAATGGCTAAAGAAAATGTGGTACATATACACAATGGAATGCTATTCAGCCTTTAAAAAGAAGGAACTGCTGTCATTTACAGTAACATAGATGAACCTGGAGTTATGCTAAGTGAAAGAAGCCAGGCACAGAAAGACAAATACCGCATGTTTTCACTTGTGGAATCTAAAACAATCAAACTCATGGAATCAGATAGTAGATGGTGGTTACACAGGCTGGGGCTTGTGGGGAATGGGGAGATGATAGTCAAAAGACACAAAGTCTCAGGTAAGAGAAATACAGGTTTTTTTGAGATCTATTGCACATCATGGTGATTATAGTTAATAATAATATACTGTGCATTTCAAAATTGCTAAGACACATACATCTTAGATTTTATTGTTCCTTGGAGAGCTGTTGCATCTTGAACAGAACACTTTTTTCATACTGAATATAGAAACTTGCCCTGAGACTTGAATGGTATGAGGACCAACTGGAGGGGAAGCAATTAAACTTTGGTCGAGAAGACTGAATATTTCTCTAGATATTCAAATACAGTCTCTGAAATACAACTCTAAATGTATACAGTTGATATAAGTTGGTTTTCCTTTAATTTTTAATTTTGAAATAATTTAGGACTTACAGAAAATTTGCAAGAATAAATTGTAAAACGAACTCCTGTATACACCTTCCCCAGATTTCCCAAATGTTAACGTTTTTTACATTTACTTTATCCTTCTCTCCCCCATCTATTTTCTCATTCATAGTCTTACACAGTGTTCATTTTGCCCTATCTATCTATCTATCTATCTATCTATCTATCTATCTATCTGTCTTTCTCTGTCTCTTTCTGCTTCTCTCTCTTTCTCTCCTTTTTTTTCTGAAGCATTTGAGAACAAATACATAGTGTCCCCAATACTATAGTGTATATTTCCTAAAAACAAGATAATTCTCTTTCATAACAACGGTACTACAATCAAAATTTGGAATTTCATCAATTGTCACAATTATGTTTTTATAGAAAATGAAAAGCTCAAATTGTGTTTAGCATTCAGATGTCACAATGTTTTAGTGCCCTTTAACTCAGAATAGTTCCTCAGTCTGTCTTTTAAGGCATTGACTTTTTTGAAGAGTATAGACCAGTTATTTTTAGCAGCTTTATCAAGATGTAATTAGCATACTATACAATTCACTCGTATAAGGCATTTAAGGCATACAGTTCATTGTTCTTTAGTATATTTTCAGGACTGTGCAACCATCACCACAATCTAATTTTAGAATATTTTTGTCCTCGATAAAAGAAAATCATTACTCATTAGCAGTTACTCCCCACCATTTCTGATCCTAGGTAACCACTAATTTACTTTCTGTTTTTATATATTTGCCTATTATGGACATATTTTATAAATGGATCTGTAGCAATATGTGGCCTTTTGTGTCTGGCTTCTTTTAGTTGGCATAATGTTTTCAAGGTTCACCTATGTTATAGTGTGTACTTCGTTCCTTTTTGCAGCGGAATAATATACCATTGTATGGGTATGCTACATTATTTATTTATTCATAATGTGAGGAACATTTAGGTTTTTAACACATTTTGGCTATTGTGAAAAATGCTGCTATGAACATTCATGTACAAGTGTTTCTGCGGACATATGTTTTCAACTGAGTGGAATTGCTGGGTCACATGGTAACCTAACTTTATAAGAAATTACCAAACTGTTTTCTAAAGCAGTTGCACCATTTTACATTCCCACCAGTCAGAGGGACCAATTTATCTACATCCATGCCAACATTATTATCTTTTTTATAATAGCCATCATAGTGGGTATGAAGTGGTATCTCATTGTCATTTTTATTTGCATTTCTCTGCTGACCAGTGATGTGAAACATCTTTGCATGTGCATATTGGCCATTTGTATATCTTCTTTGAAGAAATGTCTATTCAGACTCTTTGCCCATTTTTAATTGATTTACTTGACTTTTTTATTGTTGAGTTGTAGGTATTCTTTGTATATTCTAGATACATGTTCCTTATCAGATATATGATTTACAAATACCTTATTACATTCTGTGAGTTGTTTCTCCATTTTTGGTGGTGTCTTTTGCAGCACAAAAGATTTTACTTTTGGAAATAATTTTCTTAAATACCTTATTGAAACTTCAAAGAAAAAGGTTTTAATTTTGAAGTTCAATTTATCTATTTATACAGTTGGTGCTTGTGCTTTTGTTGTCATATCCAAGAAACCATTGTCTAACCAAGATCAAGAAGATTTACTTCCATGTTTTCTTCTGAGGGTTTTGTAGTTTTAGCTCTTCCGTTTGGGTCTTTGATTCACTTTGTGTTAATTTTTAAGTATGGTGTGAGGAAGGGGTGCAACTTTATTCTTTTGCATGTGGATATTCAGTTTTCCCAGCAACATTTGTTGAAAAGACTCTTCTTTCCCTCATTGAATGATCTTGGCACTCAAAAAAATCAACTGAGACCGGGTGTGATGGCTCACTCCTGTAATCCCAACACTGGGAGGCCGAGGCGGAAGGATCTCTTGAGCCAAAGAGTTCCAGACCTGCCTGAGCTACGTGGCAAAACCTCGTCTCTACAAAAAAATGCAAAAATTAGCCGAGCGTGGTGGTGCATGCCTGTAGTCCCAGCTACTTGGTAGCCTGAGGTGGGAGGATAGCTTGATCCTGTTAATTAGCTTGATTAAACCAGAGGTGGAGGCTGCAGTGAGCCAGGATTGAGCCACGGCGCTCCGGCCTGGTTGACAGAAATCTTTGTCTCAGAAACACACACACACACACACAATTTTCAACCCCTTAAAATTTTATTAACTTTTTTGTTTTTATTATTCCTCTGTCCTTGCTTCCAGTTAATCTTGCTACTTAGGTAAAAGAGGGAAAGGGAGGAGATTGAAAACTAATGAATTAAATTAAGTTTTGATGCAGTCGATATTATTCATTTTCTCTCTGTCCCCCATCTTAGGATACTGAAAATTGTTCATCTATAGGAGTAATGGAAAACCTGATAGTGCTAAAGAAATATCCCATGGCAGAAACAAAGGACTTTTTCCCCTTTCAGGAATCATTGACCCAAAATTCAGTCTGAGACAAAATAAAAGTCAAAAAGAACCTATTTGAGTTATAGGTTTTTGTGATTTTTTTCCCTCATAAAACCTCCACAGGGACAAACTCACCTGATTTTTAAAATATAGAACAGGAGTCAAGGTGAGTATAACAAATAATTGAAATGTTCTTTACTTTTATGTCATGGGTAGTTAGAGGATAGAGAAGAAAAAGAAAAGGGTGAGAGAGAGAAAGAAGATAATGTTGGAAAGGAATGGGAGAGGTATAAGAAGAGAGGGCAGGAAAGGGTCCATCTCAGAAGAGACAAACAGTTGTTTTCTACTAAAGTATGAGAGATTTTTTTTTTCTGGACAGCAGCCTGGACAACATAGTGAGACTCTCTCTGCAAAAAAAATTACTTATTTCTTATTTTTTTCCTTCAAAGTTTTATTTTAGGTTGAGGGGACACATGTACAGGTTGGTTACATTGGTAAATTGCATGTGGCTGGGGTTTCAGTTGCCAATTATTTCATGTTCACCCAGGCAGTGAACATAGTACTCGATAGGTAGTTTCTCAATGTTCACCCTCCTTCCACCCTCTGCCCTCAGGTAGGCCCCAGTGTCCATTGTTCCCGTCTTTATGTCCATGTGTTTAGCTCCCACTTGTAAGTGAGAATATGTGGTATTTGGTTTTGCATTAGGAAATTAGGAACAGAAATGTTCCTGCATTAATTTGCTTAAGGTAATGGCCTCCAGCTGCATCCACGTTGCTGCAAAGGACATGATTTCATTCTTTTTTATGGATGCATAGTATTCCATGATGTACAGCACAGTTTCTTTATCCAGTCCACCGTCGATGGACACCTAGGTTGATTCCTTATCTTTGCTAAGTGAATAGTGCTATCATGAACATACTCATGCATGTGTCTTAATGGTAGAATAGTTAATATTCCTTTGGGTATATACCCAATAGTGGGATTGCTGGGTCAAATGGTAATTCTATTTTAAGTTCTTTGAAAAATCATCACATTGATTTTCCAATGGCTGAACTAATTTGCATTCCCAACAACAGTATATAAGCTTTCCCTTTTCTCCACAACCTTGCCAGCATAGGTTATTATTATTATTATTATTATTATACTTTAAGTTCTAGGGTACATGTGCACAATGTGCAGGTTTGATACATAGGTATACATGGGTCATGTTGGTTTGCTGCACCCATCAACTGGTCATTTACATTAGGTATTTCTCCTAATGCTATCCCTCCTCCAACCCTCACCCCCCAACAGGCCCCAGTGTGTGATGTTCCCCACCCTGTGTCCAAGTGATCTCATTGTCCATTTCCCACCTATGAGTGAGAAAATGTGGTGTTTGGTTTTCTGTCCTTGTGATAGTTTGCTGAGAATGATGGTTTCCAGCTTCATCCATGTCCCTGCAAAGGACATGAACTCATCCTTTTTCATGGCTGCATAGTATTCCATGGTGTATATGTGCCGCATTTTCTTAATCCAGTCTATCATTGATGGACATTTCAGTTGGTTCCAAGTCTTTGCTATTGTGAACAGTGCCGCAATAAACATATGTGTGCATGTGTCTTTATAGTAGCATGATTTATAATCCTTTGGGTATATACCCAGTAATGGGATTGCTGGGTCAAATGGTATTTCTAGTTCTAGAATCTTGAGGGATCGCTACACTGTCTTCCAGAATGGTTGAACTAATTTACACTCCCACCAACAGTGTAAAAGCATTTCTATTTCTCCACATCCTCTCCAGCATCTGTTCTTTCCTGACTTTTTAATGATCGCCATTCTAACTGGCGTGGGATGGTATCTCATTGTGGTTTTGATTTGCATTTCTCTAATGAGCAGTGATGATGAGCTTTTTTTCAGATGTTTATTGGCTGCATAAATGTCTTCGTTTGAAAAGTGTCTTTTCATATCCTTCGCTCCCTTTTTGATGGGGTTGTTTGATTTTTTTCTTGTAAATTTGTTTAAGTTCTTTGTAGATTCTGGATATCAGCCCTTTGTCAGATGGGTAGATTACAAAAATTTTCTCCCATTCTTTAGGTTGCCTATTCACTCTGATGATAGTTTCTTTTGCCGTGCAGAAGCTCTTTAAGTTTAATTAGATCTCATTTGTCTATTTTGGCTTTTGTTGCCATTGCTTTTGGTGTTTTAGTCATGAAGTCCTTGCCCATGCCTATGTCCTGAATGGTATTGCCTAGGTTTTCTTCTGGGGTTTTTATGGTTTTTGGTCTAACATTTAAGTCTTTAATCCATCTTGAATTAATTTTTGTACAAGGTGTAAGGAAGGGATCCAGTTTCAGCTTTCTACATACGGCTAGCCAGTTTTTCCAACACCATTTATTAAATAGGGAATCCTTTTCCCATTTCTTGTTTTTGTAAGGTTTGTCAAAGATCAGATGGTTGTAGATGTGTGGTGTTATTTCTGAGGCCTCTGTTCTGTTCCGTTGGTCTATATATCTGTTTTGGTACCAGTACCAGCAGCATTGGTTGTTTTTTGACTTTTGAATGATAGCTATTCTGACTGGTCTGAGAGGGTATCTCATTGTGGTTTTGATTTGCATTTCTCTAATGATTAGTGATGTTGAGCATTTTTTCATATGCTTGTTGGCCACATGCATGTCTTGTTTTGAAAAGTGTCTCTTCATGTTCTTTGCCTACTTTTTAATGGGGTTGTTTTTTGCTCATTGATTTAAGTTCCTTATAGATGCTAGATATTAGACCTTTGTCAGATGCATAGTTTGCAAATATTTTATCCCATTCTGTGAGTTGTCTGTTTACTTTGTTAATAGTTTCTTTTGCTGTGCAGAAAATCTTTAGTTTAATTAGGTCCCACATGTCAATTTTTGTTTTTGTTATAATTCCTTTTGAGGTCTTCATCATGAAATCTTTGCCAGGACCTGTGTTCAGAATGGTATTTTCTGGGTTTTTATAGTTTTAGGATTTACATTTAAGTCTTTAATCCATCTTGAGTTGATTTTTGTATATGGTGAAAGGAAGAGGTCCAGTTTTAATCTTCTGCACATGGCTAGCCAGTTATCCCATCACCATTTTTTGAATAGGGAGTCCTTTCCCCATTGCTTGTTCTTGTTGACACTGTTGAAGATCAGATGGTTGTAGGTGTGCGGCTTTATTTCTAGGTTCTTTAACCTGATTCCTTGGTCTATGTGTCTGTTTTTGTACCAGTACCATGTTTTGGTTACTGTAACCTTGTAGTATAGTTTGAAATCAGGTAGTGTGATACCTCCAGCTTTGTTCTTTTTGCTTAGGATGGCATTGGCTATTTGGGCTCTTTTTTGGTTCTGAATTTTATAAGTTTTTTTTATAATTTTTTTTATAATTTTTTTTTAATTCTGTGAAAAATGTCATTGGTGGTTTCATAGGAATAGCATTGAATCTTTAAATTACTTTGGGCAGTATAGCCATTTTAACATTATTGAGTCTTCTTATTCATGAGCATGGAATGTTTTTCTTATTTGTTTGTGTCATCTTTCATTTCTTTCAGCAGTATTTTGTCATTTTTTTGTATAGATCTTCAACCTCTTTGGTTAGCTGTATTCCTAAGTATTTTATTAATTTTTGGCTACTGAAGCATGGCAGACTGAAAGTTAATATTTCTACTGTGTAAAATCACCTAGAAGTAAAGAGAATAAGACTATTATGAGGAAAATGGAATTGTAGGAAGATTAGAGATGCTAGAATTGTTTATCCCAGAGAAGAGAAGACTAGGGGAAGGTGGCATGATTACTGCCTTTATCTACCTTAAAGCCCTAAAGGAAAAGAGTAAATATACTTCTATTTTAAGGCAGAAGCTATAGGGAAACAAAGTTTTTCTCAACATAGGTGAGCAATGGAATGGGATGGTAGGAAATCTATTTTCAGGAGGCAAGGATGGTAGTATTCACTAAAGTTACTTTAACATCGAATGCAACTTTAGTTTAGATGATTATTAAGGTCTTCCTGACCCTTTAGTATATGGACTGTATTTAAAGAACTTTAGTGTATTTTTTTCACTATTCATAAATGATGGTTTGGAAAGTGTTTGTTGCCTTGCCTTAGTCTTCCGGAAGATGGGTCATGATTGTGCAGTTTGTGCAATGGCTAGTGTAGAATGGGCCTCCTTCAATAGGAACCGGCAGTTTAAGACTTAGGCCATGGCATTAATGCTATAGTAACCTTCCATTCTTGTCGGGCTCTTTGAAGTAGCTAAAGACCAATGGCATAAAATAGCAAATTCAAATTCAAGAATTGAATTTCTGTTTAGCTTGCTATTTCCAATACTAATTATTCATTTCACATAGGGCTTTTGTCTAGGTTAGAAGCCTTACTTAAAAAAAAAATCTGAATCTCTCAAGTCCTTTTATTTCACACCAGTGAACTTCCATATTCTAATAGTGCAAACGAAGACAAAATAGGGTGAGTGGATGAATAAGAATCAATAGTATAAATGGAGAAATCCGATTTCAAATTGGACTTTCAAGTGTATTGAAATGCATTGTGTAAGAAATCTATGTAAGATGCTTCTTAATATGTTACTACTCACAGATTATAACATGATTTAAGTTGTTGGAAAAGTTTAATAGATCACAGCAGATGGTATACTATCTCAGACCCATTTTCCTGCCAAGTCCTCAACTGCTGAAGAAAAGGAGTTACTTGTGATAGGGGTATTTTCCTGTCATCCCTTCATACAAAAGTAAGAAATTTCAGGGTTAAGGATAACTCATTCAGGAATCTATGTTTACTGATGAGATTTTAAAGGAAGTCATGCCATGTGAAGGGGATGCACTTAAGCATAAGGATTATTGAAAAGCATTAAAATATTAATCTAGCTTTTAAAAGCAATGCTTTTATCTCTGAGTGTAAAGAGAGTGTTTGCTTATTCATTATCTTTTCATTCTAAATAGAATAAATCACTTAAGAATTAAAAAAGAAGCAACTCATCTTTTTCAATCTATAAAGGAAATGGTTGAATAAATTAACTACAAAAGCCAATATTTTCATTTCTTTTTATATTTACTGGGCTTCAATTTTTTATTTAGAGACTTACCTTAGATTCTTAATATTCAAAGATGTGTTAATTTAACCTAACACATAGATAATTTTGCTCTAAATAAAAACAGCATAAGTGTGCATTGTTTTTGATGACAGGAATATTCCCAGTATAAATTTGTGAGGATCTGTCCACTTGGGAAGACTCAACTTACACAAAAAGAAAAACAATATAAAGTAACTAAGATATATGAGGTTCAAAGGTAGTACGTACTCTGGAGTTTAAAGAAAGAAAGAGGTTGTTGTGAGCTAGGTTAGTGGAGAAAACTTTTTGAGAAATGTAGGATTTCAACAAGATGGTAAAGGAAGACCAATACTTAAGGAAAAGAATGGAATTTCCTATGTAGTTAATAAGCAGTGTTAAGTTGTGGACAGGAATGGAAATAGTGTCATATGGGGGAAACAGTAAGTGGACCAGTTTGTTAGAGAACAAGAATTCATATTAAAAAGTAGTTGTAGGCCAGGCACGGTGGTTCCTGCCTATAATCCCAGCACTTTGGGATGCCGAGGCGGGTGGATCACGAGGTCAGGAGATCAAGACCATCCTGGCTAACACGATGAAACCCCATCTCTACTAAAGATACAAAAAATTAGCCGGGAATGGTGGCACGTGCCTGTAATCCCAGCTACTCAGGAGGCTGAGGCAGGAGAATGGCATGAACCCGGGAGGCGGAGCTTGCAGTGAGCCGAGATCGCGCCACTGCACTCCAGCCTGGGAGACAGAGCGAGACTCCATCTCAAAAAAAAAAAAAAAAAGTAGTTGTAGAAAATGTTAAAATATACTAGGGTCAGATCATGAAGTGCTTTAATGCAAGTAGGCAGTAAGAACCACTGGTTTTTTAATAGGGGAATGAGAATATGTGGAAAGGAATATTTTTCAAGAGAGTGTTCTGCTGGCAGTGTGGAAAATGTTTTGGAGGCACGGAGAGCAACTAGAAAGTTCTTGCCTTAACCCAAATGTGACAATGAGGGAATAACATAGGGTATTGCTAGCATCGTATTAATAAAAAGATGCAAGAGAGATAAGACTTGGTAGCTGTACTAGATTTAGGGGAAAAGGAATAGCTTAAGGATGACTCTCAGTCACTTAGACTTAAAACCCATGATCCATTCCTTTGACAGAAATAAGATAGTGACCTTAATTCTAGCTATTCTCCAGTGATCTTGAAAGGATTTATTTCAATTAGCTTTGATACATAAAATAAAAAATTCATCATTCACTTTTCTGATGAAGCTGGAAAATTAATCTAAATAATGTAAAATATAAATCACTACTTTAATTACATACCTATGTGTCTTCTAAAAATAAATCCTACATCTGTCTGAGTTATGAAGAATATGTATTAAGGGTAAATCAAACAAGTATACATTCTTTACAGAAATATTGATTAAATTGACTCTTCCTGATTAGTGATTTAAATTGACATGATTTATTCCATTCATGCAAAGATTCTGTGCCCTCTGGGGGGTCTGTCTGGAATAGCAAAGCAGCTCACTGACAGCAGTGACTGGAATATTGCCAAGCTAGTCCCAGAGCTCAGCCTACTTTGTTTAGAAATTAAGCAAATGGAAAGTTTCCTGAGGTTCTCTTACAATGCAAGAATGTATGGGGTTTCATTTGTGAACCAACAGGGAGTTAAAAAGCAGGAAGTCAATTATATATTAAGTCTCACATTGTTCTGTAATTGTTTTCATCAATTATATTTTTAGTTGTATATTTTTGGCCAATTCGCTTGTGTCAATTACATATACTTCCTTATATTGTTGTCAAATTGTTTCATGTGCATCAGTCATAGCATTCCTATGTAAACTGGAAATTCCCCAGGGATAGGGACCATGATTCTCTTTTGTTTCCCCCAGGAAATAGCAAGAGACCTGGCACATGTTTTGAGTGTTGAACTAGAATAAGGTATTTCAGAATACTTAAGTCTAGGTCTGTAGTACTATTGTGGATCCCCTAAAACACTTTAGATTCCACAATAGCACTGTGAATGTTGACTTAAAGCAGTAGCATGACTTTATATTCCTTATAGAGTTGTTTCCAGGGACACTGTTAATGTATACAGTCATTCAGGATACAAACTAGAAAGTAGAAACATACACTTATCTTTAAAATGAGAGGATCTAACTGATTCATGGCCTGTTCTTGGCTTTTCCACTTGTGTCTACCAATTAAACTCTTTGGACTCAAGAGTTTTTCTACCTGCAAAATGGGATAGTAATTCCTACCTCGGCAACTTGTTGTGATGATTAAATACAATATCATGTCAATATCCTGGCAGTACCAGTTCCTTGGAGTGAGAACAGGTAACCTGTTGTCCATTTTCTTGGAATGTGCTACAGGGATGACAATGAATCTTTCTGCAAATCTATTCAGAAATTCTGGTTCTGAGGAGTAGTATCCATGACTGATATGATAATACTAAAGTTCTGTCAAGCTCTAAAATTCTGTGATTATAATTTTCATTATCCCTTTTCATGTGTATTATATATTGCCATTTAGAGTAAACAAAATGTTTTCCCAACCCCTTATCTCATTTGACCCTCACAACTGAAAGAAATGCATGAAAAGCTTTAGCTTATTCATTGAGTCCTTAATATATACTACATGAGTACATGTGTTCAATAAAACCACTGAGTATTGGTGATACTGGTAATACATCATTGATACATACAGATGAAAATTTCTGCTTTCATGGAATTCACATACTGGTGGATTGAAATCTGAGTGAAGAAACCTGGATTCTAGTTCTGTTGTAGCTACTAGCTCACTAGTTGTGAGAGAAAATGTGTATATGGGTATTCATGTGTGCACATGCTCTTACCTAGATGCTTTCACAGGATGCTTATTGTCTTGAAGAGAACACTGGTTTCAACTTTACCCATTGTCAGAGTTTACAAAACACATTTTTAAAATGCGTACAATTGCACTGGGCTCTGTTTGGTGGCAACTGTGGGCAGCTCTTGGAAAAGCTTCTTTTCTAAAGGAAGGACCTGGGGACAATTATTTACCCTTTTTTATAGCATGTTTTTTTTCTTAATTTCCTTTTCTTTTATTGAATATTGGATATAGGTATATCTTTTTTGTGTGTAGCATGTTATTTTATATATCTGCCTTATGTTTTGTTTTTGTTTTATTTAAATGTTGGACTTAATGCAGAGTAATGTGGAGGCTCTAAATTGTTTGCTTCCTTTTGTTTAATTAAGGCTATGCCATCTACTTATTCCACCTCCTTAAAGAATCTCAATTAACTAAAATATTTCTTTTCCAAGTGTTTTCTCACCTCTCTTCTTTAACCTCACATCATCCCTAGGAATTTTGTGCCTGTTATTATGATTTCTGTTTGACAGAGAAGAAACTAAGGTATAAAGAAAGTAAACAGCTAGGCCAGTATTCTCTGGGATAAAAAGCAGTCAATGTTACTCTTAGACTTGTGCTTTTTTTCACTACAGCAGGTTTTCCAAGTTCAGCACCAATCACATTAGGAGAAAAGGCTGCAGTTGCACTGATCTTGGAATCAAAAGATTTGGTCTGTGCCCCTGGTTCTGCCTCTCTTATGACCTTGGACAAGCATTTAAGGTCTCTGAGATCCTACAAAATTGGGTAAATGCCAGCTTTTCTTGAAACTGTCTCTCAAACTTTTCTACTCTTCAGATATCTTTCTCTAATATCATCTTCTTTCCTCTGATTTTCTTGTACTTAGCTTTTCTTTCTTCTATTTTTCTTCCTGAGACTTTCTCTGTCTGTTGCAGCCCTGACTATCTTTTCTGGCCTGCCCCTCCTCCTATTGGTATCATGTTATCCTATGTAATATTTATCTGATCAGTTTCTTGCATTATCTTTGGATGAAGAGAAAGTAAGCCTCATTTGGCATCTTTATAAAGGATACAGTACCTTAATTGATTACTTGTCAGAAAGAATATAAAATATTAAACACGATGAAGATTAAAGATTCCAAATAAGTTGGTAAAAATCTATTTTACTTTAAGGAACTAACAAAGAAGTTTATTTAAATAAATTTTTTTAATGAAGAGGCCATCAAGCTAGGGAAACTATGTGTTAATTTGGTGTTGGGAGAGATATATGTATATGTGTGTATAGTTTCAATTAAGTTTGGATAGTGTTTGTATATGATATATAAATTGTGTGTACCAAATGAGTTATTGCTAGTGATTAACAGTGAATAAAATAACTTCTAAGATGTGTTAGTTACTATTTACTGAGGCTGAATGCTAGAAATACTGATAGCATGAAACTCTATTTCCTAATTATTCTCAGAGTCCAATTCTGCCTTCTGTCTAATCTTCACTAAATCACAGCAGCATATTTTTCAGCAAATTGTGAAACTCAGGTAACCTGGTTAGAGGAGAAAAGATTAATTGAATCACATAAATATTCTCTTTGAAGCTAGACTTTTCTTCCTCTTATGTTCAGATGGGAATAAATCATATCCACCCACCCCACCTTACTTAGAGAGTTTTCTCCATGCCTGGAAGGCAAGGGCAAAGAACACAGAGATTTCCTGTCTACAGTCACTTAGGAGTTTAGCATCCTGGGACACTGTGAGGAACAAGGGAATCTTGTTACTGTGCTGTAGGGAGCCCAGAAAGGGGGAACCTAGTTTTATGATGCAACTGGTTTCCTCCCCAAGTTTAGGGCATGTAGGTTCAAAGAATGTAATAGCCTACAGGCTCAGAAAGATGGCTAGGTAAATCCAGCTTGTTTAGAAGAATGATTGACTTTTGCCCACAGCAGGTAAACTCAGTCTCGTTCCTGACTGCTAGTCTCTTCAGTCTAGACTGTGTGACAGTTGCTACTAGCTAAGGAATAGAGCTACAAGTGAATATTTTAAGCTGATAAAGGATTTGGGTTTGTCTGTAAGATTACGCTAAATATGTGAATTGTGGTTTTAATGTTAGACATAAGAGAATACCATCAACAATGAGACCTTGAAATGCAGACTTCAACTTTACTTCAAGTGGGACGTTTTCTTATGTTCTTATGGGAAGGAGCCAGTCCCACGTCACATAGCCTACAGATGGAATGCGGAAGGAAAGGGAAAATGGAAGGGGAAGTCATATTTGGAGATGAGATTGGAAGGTAGACAATGTAAGCCTTATCTTAGAAGACCTTTATTGCCAGGCTGAGGGGATCTAAACTTCATTGTATATACAAACAATTGGAGAAAGCCTTGTGATCTGGACTGAAAAGGTGTAGAATAATGCAGCTTTAGGGTTTAAACAAGCCTGGCTTTGAAGTCCTCTTTCTGATACTTACTATGGGCTCTTAGCTATGTTGCCCCTTCTTTCAAATGCCTCACTTTTCTCTCTTGTAGAATATGGATAGTAGTAATTTCCCTTGCATAGCTGTTAATACTAAATATTGTAAATATTAAGTGAGATAATATATATAAAGTCCAGTGCCTAGCGTTGTAGGTACTCAGTGAATAGTAGCTATTATGAGTAATCCTTGGACCTCATTACAGCCCTTTGATTCCAGTTTGGTAATTGAGCTTTAGAAGAAACAAATGAGGTTGCTCTCTGTTTAGTCGTTAAGTCACTTTCAATTTGTACAGCAGTTGGTAACCTTCATTCATATTATTCCATTTGATCTTTAGAATGATTCTTCGAAGTTGTTAAGATCATTGTACACAAGAAAAACCTGAGGCCCGTACAGGAAATGGATTACTTAAGGTGACGTAACAATGTCAGAGCTAGGACTAGAACCCAGACAGATTTCCTTTTTTTTTTTTTTTGTAGAGGGAGGGTTTTGCCATGTTGCTCAGGCTGGTCCCTCACTCCCTGACTCCTAACCTCAAGCAGTCCACCCGCCTCGGCCTCCCAAAGAGCTGGGATTACAAGCGTGAGCCACCTCACCCGGCCTAGAACCCAGGTTTCTTAATGCTTTTACTCCCAATTCAGTGCTCTTACTCTTAACTGGAGTTTAGGTAACTTTGACTTTTACTTTTTTCTGTCAAACCTATGGTAGACCACATTGTGTAGCTTTTAAAGTTAAAGCTACTTGAATGACAAAAGATTAGGCTACACAGTAATTTACATACCAATGTTGTATGTTACTTATGGTAAATCCACTAGAAAGCCCCCATCCCTACATCTCCCTATGTTTTATCCTTGAAGTCTAGCATTTATTAAAACTTAAATATAAATAAAAAGGCTTCTTACTCCTGAGATAAGCTTTCTGCAGTTGTAATTTGCTAAAAAAATATTCTAATTACAAAGGATTGCAACTTTCAAGTAGTACAAGGATGATTCCATTTATAATTTGCAATCATTAATCTTACTCTGTCTAGAGAAGAAAACACGTGGAAGTTTCCTTTTTTCAAGAATACCAAAGCCATATTAATATATTTTGTTTCTTCCTCTTGGTAGATCTTGCTCTCATAGAACTATTTTGTAATCCTATTTAAAACCCAGTTGTACTAATAACGGTCCTTTGAGTTTCCCGGGTTCCACTGTTTATTACTCAGCTCTTATTTCTGCTCCTTTGCATGCAGTAAACCAAACACCCTCATTATTCAGCCAAATAATGAGTATCTACTGTGTGCTAAACATCACACAAGATGCAAGTATGATTGATACTGGACTGTGTTGAAACCCAAGTACTCTGGGTATGGGTGTTGGCAGGGGCTGCAGAAGCAGTTTGTATCATAGTAAACTAGAAAGAGCAATGGATTTGGCATCAGGAAACACGAATTCAACCTCTAGCATGTCATATGACTCAGTTTCTTCATCTATTAAGTGAGGCTACTAAACTAAAGTCTTTGCTTAGCAATTTTTGGGCCAACATTGGCCCAAAATTCTTGGTTGGGTGCATCAAAACTTTTAAGCTAAACATTGTAGTTCTGAAGGTGACCAGTTCCTCTGCAGGTTTTGTAAATGAATAAAGAAACACAATGCAAAGACAGTTCTCTAATTTGTCTAGGGATTTCATGTTCAGATTTCCTATGAGTGCAGGATCAGCCAGGCTCCATGCTTGACAGATTGCAGCTCATATTCCCTAAAGTAGACAGTTGCCTTTGCCTTCATCTGGGCACAAGACATGGTTCTACAATTTTAATTGCATTATGACTTTTACTTTTTATTTTTATTCCTAATGGAAATAATGGTCTGGGTGTGACAAGGGAATGTTAAGACTTATTTTTTTTTAAGCAGTGTTTTAGTCTGTGCTGCTATAACAGAATACCAGACTGGGTAATTGAGTAGGAAAAGAAATTCATTTCTCACACTTCTGGAGGCTGGGAAGTCCAAGATCAAGGTGCTGCTCTCTGGTGAGGCCCTTCTTACTGTGTCTTCACATGGCAGAAGATCAGAAAAGAGCAGACCCACTCCTGCAAGCTCTTTTTATAACAGCACTAATCCATTCATGAGAGCAAAGCCTAGAGCCCCAATGACCAAAACACCTTTTATTAGGCCCCACTTCCCAACACTGTTGCATTGGAGATTCAGTTTCCAACACATGCATTTTGGAAGGAACAAAAGCATTGAAATCATAGCATGCAAAAACCGCTTCCCTCCTCCAGCCGTTAAAGCTCCTTTCCATTCCATTTTAAGTTGAAGGGATCATCTTTATTTAGAGGTGAGATAGCTTTGGAATGTTATCAGTAAAAGCTAATAGAGCCTATATATGTTAAAGAAATTGAATCAACAATTAACCTTCCAAAACAGAAAGCACCAGGCCCAGACTGGATCACCAGTGAATTCTACCAAACTTTTAACGAAGAAGTTATACCAGTTCTCTGTAATCGCTTCCAGAAAGTTGAGGTAGATGGAATACTTCCTAACTTATTTTATAAGACCAGCATTACACTAATACCAAAGCCAGACAAAGACATTACAAGAAAGGAAAACTACATACCAATATCTCTCATTAATACAGATGTAGAAATCCTCAGTAAAAGATTATCAAATTAAGTCTAACAATGTACAAAAAGAATTATACCTCACACCAAGTAGATTTTTTTTTGAGACAGAGTCTCACTCACTTTGTCACCCAGGCTGGAGTGCAGTGGTGCAATCTTGGCTCACTGCAGCCTCTGACTCCTGGGTTCAAGGGATCCTCCTGCCTCAGCCTCCCAAGTAGCTGAGATTACAGTCTTATGCCACCACACCTGGCTAATTTTTGAATTTTTAGTAGAGACAGGGTTGTACCATTTTGGCCAGGCTGGTCTCGAACTCCTGACCTCAAGTGATCTGCCCACCTTGGCCTCCCAAGGTGCTGGGATTACAGGTATGAGCCACTGCACCCAGCCCCAAGTAGAATTTATTCTAGGTTTACAAGGCTGGTTCAACATTTGAAATACAATTAATGTAATCCATCATATTAACAGAAAAAAATCATAAGATTATATCAATAGATGCAGAAAAAGCATTTGACAGAATTCAACACCTATTCATAATAAAAGCTCCTAGCAATCTAAGAATGGAGGGGAACTTCTTCAATTTGATAAAGGACATTTAGAAAAAAACCTACAGCTAAAAGTATACTGAATGGTGAGAAACTACATGCTTTCCCTCTAAGACTGAGAACGAGACAAGGCTATTCACTCCTACCACTCCTATTCAATATTGTACTGGAAGTTCTAGCTAATTCAGTAAGACAAGGAAAAGAATGTCAGCATGGTGGCTCACGCCTGTATTCCCAGCACTTTGGGAAGCCAAGGTGGAAGAATCACTTGAGGCCAGGAGTTCAAGACCAGCCTGGCCAACATGGTGAAACCCCATCTCTACTAAAAATACAAAAATTAGCTGGGTGTGGTGGCACGTGTCTGTAATCCCAGCTACTTGTGAGGCCGAGGCAGGAGAATCGCTTGAACCTGGGAGATGGAGGTTGCAGTGAGCCAAGATGGCGCCACTGCACTCCAGCCCAGGCGACAAAGCAAGACTCCATGTCAAAAAAAAAAAGGCTGAGCACTGTAGCATATGCCTATAGTCCCAGCTACTCAAGAGGCTGAGGCAGGAGTATTGCTTCAGTCCAGGAGTTTTTGGTATGATCACACTACTGCACTCCAGCTTAGATGACAGAGTGAGACCCTCAAAACCAAAACAAAAGAAAAACAATACCATTTACATTAGCATCCAAAAAAGGAAATACTTAGGTATAAATCTAACAAAATATGTACAAAATCTATATGAGGGAAACTACAAAACTCTGATGAAAAAAATCAAAGGAGATCTAAATAAATGGAGATATTTCACGTACATGGATAAAAAGACTCGATGTTGTCAAGATGTCACTTCTTCCCAACTTAGTCTTTAGATTCCACACAATCCAAATAAAAATCCCAGTAAGTTATTTTGTGGATATCAACAAAGTAATTCTAAAGCTTATATGGGCAGGTAAAAGATAGAATATCCAACATAATGTTGAAGAGGAAAAACAAAATTGGAGGGCTGACACTATGCAATTATAAGACTTACTATAAAGCTACAGTAATCAAAACGTTGTGGAATTGGCAACAGACAAATAGATAATGGAACAGAATAGATACACAAATACAGTCAACTGATCTTCCAGAAAGCTGCAAAGGCAATGCAATAAGGAAAAGATAGACTTTTCAACAAATAGTTTCTGGGACAATTGGACAACCATATACAAATAAATGAATCGAGACACAGACCTTACACCTTTCACAAAAATTAACATAAAAAGTATCATAGACCTAAATATAAAATTAAAACTATTAACCTACTAGAAGAAAACATAGGAGAAAATCTACGTGATCTTGGGCTTGGTGATGACTTTTATTTTTAAAAATAGATTTTATTTTTTTGATTAGTTTTTGATTTACAAAACAAAATAAGCAGGCAGCACAGAGTTTCTATATACCCTGCACCTGGTTTCCCTTATAGTATGATACATTTGTTACAATTAAGGAACCAATATTGAAACATTATTATTAATTAATAGCTATAGAGTAGTCAGATTTCCTGAATTTTTTATAATTTCAACTTTTATTTCAGATTCATAGGGTACATGTGCAAGTTTGTTACATGGGTATGTTGCATGATGCTGAGGTTTGGGATACACTTGTCTCATCACCCAGGTACTGAGCATAGTACCCAATAGTTAGTTTTTCAATCCTTGCCCCACTCCCTCCGTCCCACCTCTTATAGTCCCCAGTGTCTATTGTTGCCAGGTAATAACTTTTTAGATAAAACATCAAAGGCGTGATCCATGAAAGAAAAAAAACGGTAAGTTGAACTTCATTTGAGTTTAAAACTTCTGCTCTGAGAAAAACACTGTTAAGAGAATAAAATAACAAACCACAGAGTGGGAAAAAATATTTGCAAATCACGTATCTGATAAAGGACTGGTATCCAAAAAATATATAGAACTGTTAAAGCTCAACAATAAGAAAACACACAGCCCAATGAAAAATGGGCAAAAAAAAAATGAATAGCCAAAGCAATCCTAAGCAAAAAGAGCAAAGCCAGAGGCATCGCCTTACCCAACTTCAAACTATACTACAAGGCTACAGTAACCAAAATAGCATGGTACTGATAAAGAAAACAACAACAACAAAAACAGACACATTGACCAATGGATCAGAATAGAGAGCCAAGAAATGAAGCCAAACACCTGTAATCTCTGATCTTTGACAAAGTTGACAAAAATAAGCAAAGGAGAAAAGACTCCCTATTCAATAAATGGTGCTTGGAAAACTGGCCACATGCAGAAGAATGAAACTGGACCCCTACTTATTACCACATACAAAAATTAACTCAAGATCTCAAACTACAAAAATCATAGAAGAAAACCTAGGAAAAACCCATGTCAACATGAGCACTGGCAAAGAATTTATGGCTAAGACCTCAAAAGCAATTGTAACAAAAACAAAAATTTACAAGTGGGACCTCATTAAACTAAAGAGCTTCTGCACAGCAAAAGAAGCTATCAACAGAGTAAACAGGCAGCCTACAGAATGGGTGAAAATATTTGCATACTATGCATCTCACAAAGGTCTAATTCAGAATCTATAAGGAACTTAAATCAACACGCAAAAAGCAAATAACCCATTAAAAAGTGGGCAAGGGAGGGGTGGAGCAAGATAGCCAAATAGAAGGCTTTACCAATCATTCCCCACCACAAGGACACCAATTTAACAATTATGTACACACACACACAAAGCACCTTCATAAGAACCAAAAATCCGGCGAGCACTCACAGTACATGGTTTTAACTTCATATTGGTGAAAGAGGCACTGAAAAGGGCAGGAAATACAGTCTTGAATTGCAGATATGACCCCTCCTCTATGTCCTGGCAGCAGCCATGGGGCATGAAGAATCTGGGGTTTGAAAGAGGGAGAGCACAGCGATTGTGAGACATTGCATTGAACTCAGTGCTTCCCCATCACAGCAGAAAGCAAAACCAGGCTGAATTCAGCTGATTCCCACCCACAGAGGGAGTATTTAAATTAATCCTAGTGAGAGGGGAATCGCACATCTAGTGGTTGGAACTTGAGTTCCAGCAAGCCTCTGCAACACAGGCTAAAATGCTCTGGGGCTCTAAATAAACTTGAAAGGCAGCCTAGGTCACAAGGACTGCAACACCTAGGCGAATCCTTGTGCAGAACTGGGCGCAGAGCCAGTGGACTGGGCAGTACTGAGACACCAGCTGGGGTGGTTAAGGAACTGCTTGCAACACCCCACCCTCAACCCCAGACTGCGCAGCTTGTGGCTACAAAAGAGACCCATTCCGTCCACTTGAAGAGAGGAGAGGGAAGAGTGGGAAGGACTTTGTCTAGCATCTTGGATACCACCTGAGCCATAGCAGGATAAGGCAGCAGGCAGAGTCATGAGGCACCTGGATGACATTTTGAAACACAACCTGGGCCAAAAGGAAACCTGCTGCCTTCAAGGGAAGGACACAATGCTGGCATGACCCATCACCTGCTCAGGAAAGAGCCCTTGGACCTTGAATAACCAGCAGCTGTACCCAGGTACTATGCCATTGGCCTTGGATGAGACTCTGAGACTAGCTGGCTTCAGGTAAGACTCAGTACATTCCCAGCTCTGGTGGCTATGGGAAGAGACTTCTTTTACTTGAGAAAAGTGGAAGGAAAAGTAATGCAGACTTTGTCTTGCACCTTAGGTGAGGCTTGCAAATACTATCTTTTAACCCATTATTTTAAGCTGATAACAAGTTAACACTGCATAAACAAACAAATGAGCAAAAAGAAAACCAATAAAAACTCTATTCCTTAACTTCATCTCCCGAGTTTTTAACTTTTTGTTCTTTTATATCTTATTGTACTATCTATATCTTCAAAAGTTGTTGTAGTTATTATTTTTTGATTTGCTCATTGTTAGTCTTCTACTTAATAGTAATTTACACACCACAATTACAGTTCTATAATATCCTGTCTTTTTCTGTATACTTACTATTATCAGTGAGTTTTATACCTTCAGATGATTTATTCTTGCTCATTAACACCCTTTTCTTTCTGATTGAAGTACTCCCTTTAGCATTTCTTGTAGGAGAAATCTGGTGTTGATGAAATTCCTCAGCTTTTGTTTGTCTGGAAAGTCTTTATTTCTCCTTCGTGCTTGAAGGATATTTTCACCAGATATACTACTCTAGGGTAAAAGTGTGTGTGTTTTTTTTTTCCTTCAGCACTTTAAATATGTCATGCCACTCTCTCCTGACCTGTAAGGTTTCCACTGAAAAGTCTGCTGCCACACTATTTGAGCTGCATTGTATATTGTTTGTTTCTTTTCTGTTTCTGCTTTTAGGACCCTTTCTTTATCATTGACCTTTCACAGTTTGTATTATTTATTTATTTATTTATTTATTTATTTTTTTGAGACAGAGTCTCGCTCTGTTGCCCAGGCTGGAGTGCAGTGGCGCAATCTCTGCTCACTGCAAGCTCCGCCTCCTGGGTTCACGTCGTTCTCCTGCCTCACCCTCCCAAGTAGCTGGGACTACAGGCGCCTGCCACCACGCCTGGCTACTTATTTATTTATTTATTTATTTTTGTATTTTTAGAACAGACAGGGTTTCACCGTGTTAGCCAGGATGGTCTCGATCTCCTAACCTCATGATCTGCCCGCCTCAGCCTCCCAAAGTGCTGGGATTACAGGCGTGAGCCCGGCCCACAGTTTGATTATTAAATGCCTTGAGGTAGTCTTTGGGTCAAATATGCTTGGTCTTCTATAACCTTTTGCACTTAAATGTTGATACATTTCTCCAGGTTTGGGGAGTTCTCGTTATTTTCCCTTTGAGTAAGCTTTCTACCTTTATCTCTGTCTCTTCCTCCTCTTTAAGGCCAGTAATTCATATTTTTCCTTTCGAGGCTATTTTCTAGATCTTGTAAGTGTGCTTAATTGTTTTTCATTCTTTTTTCTTTTGTCTCCTCTGACTGTGTATTTTCAAATAGCCTGTCTTCGAGCTCACAAATTCTTCCTTCTGCTTGATCAATTCTGCTGTGAAAGAGTCTGATGCCTTCTTCAGTATGCCGGTTCCATTTTTCAGCTCCAGAATTTCTACTTTATTCTTTTTAATTATTTTAATATCTCTGCTAAATGTATCTGATAGAATTCTAAATTTCTTCTCTGTTTGCTTGAATTTATTTGCATTTCCTCAAAACAGCTATTTTGAATTCTCTGTGTGAAACGTCACATATCTCTGTTGCTCCAGCATTGGTCCCCGGTGCCTTATTTAGTTCATTTGGTGTGGTTATGTTTTCCTGGATGGTCTTGATATTTGTAGATGTTCATCTGTGAACATTGAAGAGTTGTATATTTATTGTAGTCTTCGCAGTCTGGGTTTGTTTGTACCTGTCCTTCTTGGAAAGGCTTTCGAGATATTCAAAAGGACTTAGGTGTTGTCACCTAAGCTCTATCTACTTTAGGAGACACCCCAAGCCCAATAATTCTGCGGCTTTTGCAGACTCTTAGAGGTACCGCCTTGGTGATCTTGAATAAGAATCTGAAAGAATTCTCTGGATTACCAAGCAGAAACTCTTGTTCTCTTCCCTTACTTTCTCCCAAACAAACAGACACTCTCTCTCTGTTCTGAGCCACCTGGAGCTGGGGGTAGACTGACACAAGCACCCCGCGTGACCACCACCACTAGGACTGTGCTGGGTCAGATCTGAAGCCAGCACAACACTGGGTCTTACACAAGGCCTGCTGTAACCACTCCCTGGATACCACCTATGTTCAGAGTACCTGGGACTCCACAATCAATATGTGGCAAAAGCACCCAGGCCTGTGTCCTACCCTTCAGGGTGGCGAGCTCCCCACAGGACCCAGGCAGGTCCAGAGGTGCTGTACAGGTGCCAGGGACTAGAGTCCAAAACCTTAGAAGTCTACCTGGTGTTCTGTTGTTGCAGCTGAGCTGGCACTCAAATCACAAGATACAGTTCTTCCCACTCTTCCCTCCCATTTCCACAGGCAGAGGAGCCTCACCCCATGGCCACCACAACCACAGGCCCACAGGGAGTACTGCCAGACTAGCACCAATGTTCCCTTAGGCCCAAGGGCTCTTCAGTCAGCTTGTGGTGAATACTACCTGGTTTCAGACTCTCCTTTCAGGGCAGTGGGCTCTGCTCTGGCCCAGTGCAGGTCCAGAAATGTCATCCAAGAGCCAGAGCCTGTAATTGGGGACCCTGATAGTTGGCTTGATGCTCTATGCCCCTGTGGGCAAGATGGTATCTGAGGTGCAAGACAAAGTCCCCTTCACTTTTCCCTTTGCTTTTCTCAGGCAGGAGTCTTGCCCTGCAGCCACCAAAGCTGGGAATGTGATGAGTCTCTCCTGAAGCCAGCAAGTCTCAGAGACCCATCAAGACCTTCAGTGTAGTACCAGGGTAACTCAAGGGCTCTTCAGTTAGCAGCTGATGAATGTCACCAGGACTGGGTTCTTCCTTTCAAGGCAGCATTTTCCCTTCTGGCCTTCTAGACATCTGGTGGATGTCTAGAAATGTCATCCACCATCTTGCTCTGACCCCTCCTTGGTGTGGCCATTTTGGAAGGCAGTTTGACAGTTTCTTACAAAGCTTATCATATTCTTACCATATGATCCAGTAATCATGCTACTTGTATTTATCCAAATGAGTGGAAAACTTGCATCCACAAAAAACCTGCACGAGTGTTTATAGTAGCATTATTCATAATTGCTCAAACTTCTAAGCAACCGTGATGTCTTCTAATAGGTGAATTGATAAATACACTGTTATATCCATGCAATGAAATATTATTCAGCACTGAAAAGAAATGAGCTATCAAGCCACAAAAAGACATGGAGAAACTTGAAATGCATATTGCTACATGAAAGAAGCCAATCTGAAAGGCTACATAATGTATGATTCCGACTATACGACATTCTGGAAAAGGCAAAACTATGGCGACAAAAAAAAATTCAGTGGTTACCAGGTGTTTTGGGGGAAGAGAGAGAGGGATGAGTAGGTGGAGCACAGAGCATTTTTAGGGCAGTGTAACTATTCTGTATGATGCTGTAATAGTGGATACATATCATTATACATTCCTCAAAACCCATAGAATATTCAACACAAAGAGTGAGTCTTAATATAAACTATAGACTTTAGTTAACAGTCTATCAACATTAGTTTGGGGTGGGGGAAAAGAAAAAAATTGCTAAATAAATAAAATTTAGTAATAACTTCACTAAATAAATTCTATTGTATGGCCTATCTATACAATAGAATATATTTTTAATTTTAATTTTTTAAAAATAGAATATTTTGCAGCTATTAAAAAAGGATGATACATTATGGAAAGACAAAACTATAGGGACAGAAAACAGGTTAGTTGTTACTTAAGAACTAGGGGAGGGATTGACTACAAAGGGGTAGCTTGAGGGAATTTTTGGGATCACGGAACTGTTCTGAATTGTGATTGTGGAGTGATTATCCCACTGCATGTGTCTGTAAAAACTCATAGAACTGTACAATGAAAAATTATTTTTACTATGCGTAATTTTTAAAGTAAATAAAAATAGGATGGGGAATTTTAAAAAGCTTTTTATAAAAAAAAAAGCTAGTAGTAGCCTTCCAATTGTGAAAGTTCTCACAGCACGCAAGGGCATTATTTTCAGTTAACAAATGTTTCACTTAGACTCAGATTACTCAGGATAGAAGGGTCCTTCAAGATCACTAAAGCCCCTACATGCACCCTCACTTTACAGAGGGAGAAACAGGCCCAGAAAGAAGGGAGTTTCCCAAGGTTACATGCAAATTAGTGGATACTTTGTGTAGTTTCAGTCTTTTGACATTTATTGAGAATTATTTTGTGGCCTAACATATATGGCTTGTCTTGGAGTATGTGTATTCTGCTGCTGTTGGGTCTGGTGTTCTTTGTATGTCTGTTAGGTCTTATTGGTGTTTAGGCTTTCTATTTTCTCATTGATCTTGTATTTAGTTGTTCTGTCTATCATTAAAAGTGGGGTTTTGAAGTCTCCAGCTATTATTATAGAAATGCCTATTTCTCCCTTCAATACTATGAGTTTTTGCTTCTTATATTTTGGGCCTCTCTTGTTAGGTACTTAACAAGAGAGGTGTTTATAATTATTATGTCTTCTTGATGAATTGACTCTTTTATCAATGTATAATGTTCCTGGATGGGCACAGTGGCTCATGCCTGTAATCCCAGCACTTTGGGAGGCTGAGGCAGGAGTATCCCTTGAGCCCAGGAGGTCGAGGTTGCAGTGAGCCGTGATCGTGCCGGTGCACTCCAGCCTGGACAACAGAGCAAGACCCTGTCTCCAAAAAGAAAAATGTTCTGTTACTTGTTTTGAGAGTTCATTATTGTTCATTATTTGAGCTAGATCCCTCAATTTGAGGAAGTATGTATTTGTTTGTGTATATGTGCATGCATGCATGTGCTGCTGACCAGTGTGGTAAATAGCGTGGGGCTACTCTACTTGGTCTTTAATTCCATGGAAAATGAGAAACTTTTTTTTAATTTTTAATTTGATGTATGTATGTATGCATGTATTTCTTTATTTATTTTGCTGGCAGCTCTAAAACCAGCACAAATTGGGATCATAAGCTCCCTATTCTAATAAGATCTTGTAGTTGAGAATGAGTCAGGGGACTCACTGTGAAGGAGACCAGGTCTTTATTGAGGCCTTTGTGAAAATCTCTGCTACACACAGATAACAATTGAAATCCAATTTACTTCACACTCAACAGGAAGTCTTAGTTTTATTGACTCAACAACTAGTCAATAAAATTAAAAAGCATTAGTGGCCAGGTGTGATGGCTCATGCCTGTAATTCCAGCACTTTGGGAGGCTGAGGTGGGAGGATCACTTGAGGCCAGGGGTTCAAGACCAGCCTAGGCAACATGGCAAGACCCCCTCCCTACAAAAATAAAAAATAAAGCAGTACCAATTTGAGAATTTTCTTCATTGTTCCCTTGTTTCACTGTCATCTTTTTTTTTTTTTTACTTTATTCCTTTTTCTTTCTCTGGTTTTTCTCCAACTGTTCTATTTTCCCTGTTTTCTTTACATCTTTCCTTTTTTCTTCTCTACTTCCCCTTCTCTTTACCCTTTCCTCCCATGTATCTTTCTCTCTGATTTCTCCTTTTCTGTATTATTCTCTTTACCCTGTGACTGTTGCATTACTGGACACTGGCAGTGAGACTAAATATTTTAAGTTAGCATCAATAGGGATATGTTAATAGAAGACATAACTATAATTTTGTTTCTTTGTGGGAGAAATATACACATTAAAATAAAAGGCCTATACTCTATTGCCATCTAATTGGAGCTTCTGTGCTGGCAGAAAATGCACTGGAAAAAAAGTAAACCAAAATTACTTGATAAGAAAAGCATAGTAGCTAGGCCCAAATGTCCACCTTGCTCTTTATTAGAATTATCTAAATACAAAGATGAAAGCAAGACTCTTCTCCAAGAAACAATCTCTGCAAAAAGCCCCTTTGGCATCAAAGCTATGAACTTTACGGGAAAGCCAGAGTTTCTCAGGTTGTGTGCCATATGGATAGTTTGGCCTATTATAAGTTTTGATTGAGAGAAGAATGCAATATAAAAGCAGCTATTGGGTTTAAGCACAGCTAAGTGTGGTGGTTGCAGTGATAGTCTTGAGTGCCTTTCTGAGTTAGGCACTCTTTTATTATTTTGTTTTGGTTTTTTGTTTTGGTTTGGTTTTTGGTGTTTTTGAGACAGGATTTCAAACCATGATGGTTTGCTGAATAGATCAACCTGTCACCTAGTTATTAAAGCCAGCATCCATTAGCTATTCTTCCTGATGCTCTCACTCCCTCAAGAATGGCATTTTGAAGGTACTTGGGTTTACTGGCAATGTGTCCTTGCTTAGCCAGTGTGGCTGGATGGCCAGGGCTTGACAAGAAGTAACATTTCTTGGCCATAGAAATTCAAGTTTTTGTTCACTTTCTGTTCTTCTTAAACCCCACCTTTAGATTGGCTTTCACGTTGCCCTCATTTCCCGGAGAACACTGAATACTTCCCAGGAAAAGAGGCTTATGCCATGCACAGTTCCATCCTTCTTCTTACTGAACCCATCTCTCTGGGATTGCTGGTGATTGGAAT
Organism: Homo sapiens; assembly: GCF_000001405.40. Lineage (NCBI taxonomy): Eukaryota > Metazoa > Chordata > Mammalia > Primates > Hominidae > Homo > Homo sapiens. Next base: position 74,797,840 of record NC_000023.11, on the reverse strand, counting down.
TCACATGGAACATTCTACGTTGAGCTTGGTAAAGCAGCTGGTTTTGTTAAGAAAGCCCAAGGAAAGCTTTGGCCTCTGTTCCCACCTCCCACACAGTCAAAAAGAAGCCCAGTCTAGGTAGAGCTGAAAGGGCATTTGAACACCATCTAGTTCCACTCCTCATGGTACAGATGGAAAATTCAAGCCTGAAGTTGAAAAAAGGAACTTGCTTAAGGTCACACAGTTAGATAATGGTTACCTTCTGACTTCAGAAGACTGTTCTCCTCCCTAATTGTATGTTAAGGAAGAATCTGACAGACATCTGTTTAAACTATTAACTCTGTGTGTGTGTGTGAACATGGTTTAATTTTTAAACTTTATTTGAGATGACTTTTGTACTTACAGAAAAGTTGCAAAGCTAGTACAAAGAGTTCCAATATACCGTTTGCCCAGTTTCCCCTAATGTTATCATCTGTACATTACTATGGTACATTTATAAAAACTAAGAAATCAACACTGGTATATTACTATTAACTAAACTCCAGACTTCATTCAGATTTCACCAGTTTTTCCATTAATTATCATTTTTCTAAAATATCAGGATCCAATCCAAGATAATACATTGCATTTAATCATCATGTGTCCTTAGTCTTCTCTGGTCTGTGGCAGTTTCTCTGCTTTTCCATAACGTTAAGATTTTTAAGAGTACTGGTCAGGTATTTTGCAGAATGTCCTTCAATTTGTGGTAGTTTGATGTTTTTCTTATGATTGCACTGGGGTTATAGATTTTGGAGAAGAATCTCACAGAGGTAAAGTTCCATTTTCATTACATTATTTCAAGGCGCACATAATAGCCTTTAACAAGACATCACTACTAATTATCACATTTAACTTTGGTCATTTGGTTAAGGTTGTGTTTGCCATGTTTTTGCAGTGTAAAGCAACTACTTTTTCCTTTTTCATTCTCTATTCTTTGGAAGTAAGTCCAGCCCACACCCAAGCTCTACCTCCTTGAAAGGGGAGTATCTACATACATTATTTAGAATTCTTCTGTTAGGACGATATGTCTTTTCTCCACCATTTATGCATTTATTTGATCATTTATTTATGCTGTATATGTGGGCTAATATTTATTTATTTTATACTTTGGGCTTTAATCCGATACTACCTTATCTATTTTGTTACTCAAATGCTCCTGCTTTAGCCATTAGGAATTATTTCAGGTTGGTTCCTGCGTCCCTTTAAACACATGCCCTCTTCCTTTTATCTTTTTAGTACTTGCTAATTTTCTGGTACTACAAGATACTCCAGGCTCATCTTGTGTTTTCCCTGACCTAGCCCTAGAATGAACCATTTATCCAAATAACTCTGGTTCCTTTTATTGGAAAATGTTATTTAGAAACCAAGATCTAGGAGTGGTCATTTTTACCAAGCTATCATTGCTTCCAGACTTTCTCAGTGGACATAACTGGGTAATATATGTTTGTTTATGTACTAACCTTTGTATACATATATATCTATAATCATTTGTGTGTCTATCCATTGTGTGTGTGTGTGTATATATATATAATATATATAATATATATGTATATATATAATATATATAATATATATGTGTATATATATATATATTATATATGTATATATATATAATATATATGTATATATATAATATATATGTATATATATAATATATATAATATATATGTATATATATAATATATATATTATATATAAATATATATATAATATATATAAAGCTAAACATGAGTTTATATTGATGTCTCTAACTCTAATCCAATACTACAGGGTTCATTCTAGCCTTCCTTTCTTTTTATCTGTAACTTCCCCCTATAACAATGACAAACTTAGCTTCCACTACCCACCATCCATTTACTTACTTGTTCAAACCCAGTACATTCAAACCAGTCTCACAATTGTTCATCTATACCACCATGACAACAGCTTTATCAACTACAGTACAGTGTTTATGTATGGTTATTTGTCTTTTATCTTTATACTTTCTAGCTAAAACACAATTTTTCAAAGTTAAATCAGCTTCGTACCCCCTTCCTCAGTGCACTTATGTCACACATTTGTAATACAGTTAGATTCATTTGTCACAGTCTGCATTTCATCCTGGGATCCTCTGACATCTGGTTGATGTTTGCATTTGCATATGTTAAGGCTCATTCTTTGTAAATTACAGGTCTATAGGTTTTGACAAATGCATAATGTCATGTGCTCACCACCCCAATACCATACAGAAGAGTTCCATCACTCTCAAAATTCCTCTGTGAATCCCCTCTGTTATCAACCAGTTCCCCCACCCCTAATATTCAGAAACTACTGATAAGTATCCCATCCCTATAGTTTTATATTTTCCAGAGTGTCATATGAATGGAATAATACAATATGTAGTCTTTGGGTATGGCTTCTGTCTCCTAGCAAAATGCATTTAAGACTCATTCATGTTGTGTGAATCAATAGCTCCTTTTATGTAAGTAGTTCCTTTTAAACACTGAATAGTATTCCATTGTAAGAATACTTGTTTATCCATTCTCTTGTTGAAAGACATCTTGATTGTTTTTAGCTTTGAGAAATTAGGAATAAAGTTGCTAGAGACATCCACAAGCAGGTTTTTGTGTGGATGTAAATTTTCAATTCACTTGGGTAAATACCTAGAAGTGTATTTGCTGTATCATATGGTAGGTCTAACTTTTAACACAATTCCTTTCCAAGAAGTCTGGGTTGAGTATGTATGTATGGTGCAGTAGAATATCTGTTCCTGAGCTGGACTGAAATAGTGATCACTCTCACACCATATTCCATGTGGACGGAAAATAGAATATCAATGGGATGGGAGGAGCCAAGATGGCCGAATAGGAACAGCTCCAGTCTACAGCTCCCAGCGTGAGCAACACAGAAGACGGTGATTTCTGCATTTCCATCTGAGGTACCAGGTTCATCTCACTAGGGAGTGCCAGACAGTGGGCGTAGGTCAGTGGGTGCGCGCACTGTGCATGAGCCAAAGCAGGGCGAGGCATTGCCTCACTTGGGAAGCGCAAGGGGTCAGGGAGTTCCCTTTCCGAGTCAAAGAAAGGGGTGACGGACGGCACCTGGAAAATCGGGCCACTCCCACCCGAATATGGCGCTTTTCCGACGGGCTTAAAAAAAGGCGCACCACGAGATTATATCCCGCACCTGGCTTGGAGGGTCCTATGCCCACAGAGTCTCGCTGATTGCTAGCACAGCAGTCCGAGATCAAACTGCAAGGCAGCAGCGAGGCTGGGGGAGGGGCGCTCGCCATTGCCCAGGCTTGATAAGGTAAACAAAGCAGCCGGGAAGCTCGAACTGGGTGGAGCCCACCACAGCTCAAGGAGGCCTGCCTGCCTCTGTAGGCTCCACCTCTGGGGGCAGGGCACAGACAAACAAAAAGACAGCAGTAACCTCTGCAGACTTAAATGTCCCTGTCTGACAGCTTTGAAGAGAGCAGTGGTTCTCCCAGCACGCAGCTGGAGATCTGAGAACGGGCAGACTGCCTCCTCAAGTGGGTCCCTGACCCCTGACCCCCGAGCAGCCTAACTGGGAGGCACCCCCCAGCAGGGGCAGACTGACACCTCACACGGCAGGGTATTCCAACAGACCTGCAGCTGAGGGTACTGTCTGTTAGAAGGAAAACTAATAAACAGAAAGGACATCCAAACCAAAAACCCATCTGTACATCACCATCATCAAAGACCAAAAGTAGATAAAACCACAAAGATGGGGAAAAAACAGAACAGAAAAACTGGAAACTCTAAAATGCAGAGCGCCTCTCCTCCTCCAAAGGAACGCAGTTCCTCACCAGCAACGAAACAAAGCTGGGTGGAGAATGACTTTGACGAGCTGAGAGAAGAAGGCTTCAGACGATCAAATTACTCTGAGCTACGGGAGGACATTCAAACCAAAGGCAAAGAAGTTGAAAACTTTGAAAAAAATTTAGAAGAATGTATAACTAGAATAACCAATACAGAGAAGTGCTTAAAGGAGCTGATGGAGCTGAAAACCAAGGCTCGAGAACTACGTGAAGAATGCAGAAGCCTCAGGAGCCGATGCGATCAACTGGAAGAAAGGGTATCAGCAATGGAAGATGAAATGAATGAAATGAAGCGAGAAGGGAAGTTTAGAGAAAAAAGAATAAAAAGAAATAAGCAAAGCCTCCAAGAAATATGGGACTATGTGAAAAGACCAAATCTACGTCTGATTGGTGTACCTGAAAGTGACGGGGAGAATGGAACCAAGTTGGAAAACACTCTGCAGGATATTCTCCAGGAGAACTTCCCCAATCTAGCAAGGCAGTCCAACCTTCAGATTCAGGAAATACAGAGAACACCCCAGAGATACTCCTCGAGAAGAGCAACTCCAAGACACATAATTGTCAGATTCACCAAAGTTGAAATGAAGGAAAAAATGTTAAGGGCAGCCAGAGAGAAAGGTCGGGTTACCCTCAAAGGGAAGCCCATCAGACTAACAGCGGATCTCTCGGCAGAAACCCTACAAGCCAGAAGAGAGTGGGGGCCAATATTCAACATGCTTAAAGAAAAGAATTTTCAACCCAGAATTTCATATCCAGCCAAACTAAGCTTCATAAGTGAAGGAGAAATTAAATACTTTACAGACAAGCAAATGCTGAGAGATTTTGTCACCACCAGGCCTGCCCTAAAAGAGCTCCTGAAGGAAGCACTAAACATGGAAAGGAACAACCGGAACCAGCCGCTGCAAAATCATGCCAAAATGTAAAGACCATCAAGACTAGGAAGAAACTGCATCAACTAACGAGCAAAATAACCAGCTAACATCATAATGACAGGATCAAATTCACACATAACAATATTAACTTTAAACGTAAATGGACTAAATGCTCCAATTAAAAGACACAGACTGGCAAATTGGATAAAGAGTCAAGACCCATCAGTGTACTGTATTCAGGAAACCCATCTCACGTGCAGAGACACACATAGGCTCAAAATAAAAGGATGGAGGAAGATCTACCAAGCAAATGGAAAACAAAAAAAGGCAGGGGTTGCAATCCTAGTCTCTGATAAAACAGACTTTAAACCAACAAAGATCAAAAGAGACAAAGAAGGCCATTACATAATGGTAAAGGGATCAATTCAACAAGAAGAGCTAACTATCCTAAATATATATGCACCCAATACAGGAGCACCCAGATTCATAAAGCAAGTCCTGAGTGACCTACAAAGAGACTTAGACTCCCACACATTAATAATGGGAGACTTTAACACCCCACTGTCAACATTAGACAGATCAACGAGACAGAAAGTCAACAAGGATACCCAGGAATTGAACTCAGCTGTGCACCAAGCAGACCTAATAGACATCTACAGAACTCTCCACCCCAAATCAACAGAATATACATTTTTTTCAGCACCACGCCACACCTATTCCAAAATTGACCACATACTTGGAAGTAAAGCTCTCCTCAGCAAATGTAAAAGAACAGAAATTATAACAAACTATCTCTCAGACCACAGTGCAATCAAACTAGAACTCAGGATTAAGAATCTCACTCAAAACCGCTCAACTGCATGGAAACTGAACAACCTGCTCCTGAATGACTACTGGGTACATAACGAAATGAAGGCAGAAATAAAGATGTTCTTTGAAACCAATGAGAACAAAGACACAACATACCAGAATCTCTGGGACGCATTCAAAGCAGTGTGTAGGGGGAAATTTATAGCACTAAATGCCCACAAGAGAAAGCAGGAAAGATCCAAAATTGACACCCTAACATCACAATTAAAAGAACTAGAAAAGCAAGAGCAAACACATTCAAAAGCTAGCAGAAGGCAAGAAATAACTAAGATCAGAGCAGAACTGAAGGAAATAGAGACACAAACAACCCTTCAAAAAAATCAGTGAATCCAGGAGCTGGTTTTTTGAAAGGATCAACAAAATTGATAGACCGCTATCAAGACTAATAAAGAAAAAAAGAAGAATCTAATAGACGCAATAAAAAATGATAAAGGGGATATCACCACTGATCCCACAGAAATACAAACTACCATCAGAGAATACTAAAAACACCTCTATGCAAATAAACTAGAAAATCTAGAAGAAATGGATAAATTCCTCGTCACATACACTCTCCCAAGACTAAACCAGGAAGAAGTTGAATCTCTGAATAGACCAATAACAGGATCTGAAATTGTGGCAATAATCAATAGCTTACCAACCAAAAAGAGTCCAGGACCAGATGGATTCACAGCCGAATTCTACCAGAGGTACAAGGATTAGCTGGTACCATTCCTTCTGAAACTATTCCAATCAATAGAAAAAGAGGGAATCCTCCCTAACTCATTTTATGAGGCCAGCATCATTCTGATACCAAAGCCAGGCAGAGACACAACAAAAAAAGAGAATTTTAGACCACTATCCTTGATGAACATTGATGCAAAAATCCTCAATAAAATACTGGCAAACCGAATCCAGCAGCACATCAAAAAGCTTATCCAGCATGATCAAGTGGGCTTCATCCCTGGGATGCAAGGCTGGTTCAATATACACAAATCAATAAATGTAATCCAGCACATAAACAGAGCCAAAGACAAAAACCACATGATTATCTCAATAGATGCAGAAAAAGCCTTTGACAAAATTCAACAACCATTCACGCTAAAAACTCTCAATAAATTAGGTATTGATGGGACGTATTTCAAAATAATAAGAGCTATCTATGACAAACCCACAGCCAATATCATACTGAATGGGCAAAAACTGGAAGCATTCCCTTTGAAAACTGGCACAAGACAGGGATGCCGTCTCTCACCACTCCTATTCAACATAGTGTTGGAAGTTCTGGCCAGGGCAATTAGGCAGGAGAAGGAGATAAAGGGTATTCAATTAGGAAAAGAGGAACTCAAATTGTCCCTGTTTGCAGACGACATGATTGTATATCTAGAAAACCCCATTGTCTCAGCCCAAAATCTCCTTAAGCTGATAAGCAACTTCAGCAAAGTCTCAGGATACAAAATCAATGTACAAAAATCACAAGCATTCTTATACACCAACAACAGACAAACAGAGAGCCAAATCAGGAGTGAACTCCCATTCGCAATTGCTTCAAAGAGAATAAAATACCTAGGAATCCAACTTACAAGGGATGTGAAGGACCTCTTCAAGGAGAACTACAAACTACTGCTCAATGAAATAAAAGAGGATACAAACAAATGGAAGAACATTCCATGCTCATGGGTAGGAAGAATCAGTATTGTGAAAATGGCCATACTGCCCAAGGTAATTTACAGATTCAATGCCATCCCCATCAAGCTACCAATGACTTTCTTCACAGAATTGGAAAAAACTACTTTAAAGTTCATATGGAACCAAAAAAGAGCCCGCATCGCCAAGTCAATCCTAAGCCAAAAGAACAAAGCTGGAGGCATCACACTACCTGACTTCAAACTGTACTACAAGGCTACAGTAACCAAAACATCATGGTACTGTTACCAAAACAGAGATATAGATCAATGGAACAGAACAGAGCCCTCAGAAATAACGCCGCATATCTACAACTATCTGATCTTTGACAAACCTGAGAAAAACAAGCAATGGGGAAAGGATTCCCTATTTAATAAATGGTGCTGGGAAAACTGACTAGCCATATGTAGAAAGCTGAAACTGGATCCCTTCCTTACACCTTATACAAAAATCAATTCAAGATGGATTAAAGAGTTAAACGTTAGACCTAAAACCATAAAAACCCTAGAAGAAAACCTAGGCATTACCATTCAGGACACAGGCATGGGCAAGGACTTCATGTCTAAAACACCAAAAGCAATGGCAACAAAAGCCAAAATTGACAAATGGGATCTAATTCAACTAAAGAGCTTCTGCACAGCAAAAGAAACTACCATCAGAGTGAACAGGCAACCCACAAAATGGGAGAAAATTTTCGCAACCTACTCATCTGACAAAGGGCTAATATCCAGAATCTACAATGAACTCAAACAAATTTACAAGGAAAAAACAAACAACCCCATCAAAAAGTGGGCGAAGGACATGAACAGACACTTCTCAAAAGAAGACATTTATGCAGCCAAAAAACACATGAAAAAATGCTCATCATCACTGGCCATCAGAGAAATGTAAATCAAAACCACAATGAGATACCATCTCACACCAGTTAGAATGGCAATCATTAAAAAGTCAGGAAACAACAGGTGCTGGAGAGGATGTGGAGAAATAGGAACAGTTTTATACTGTTGGTGGGACTGTAAACTAGTTCAACCATTGTGGAAGTCAGTGTGGCAATTCCTCAGGGATCTAGAACTGGAAATACCATTTGACCCAGCCATCCCATTACTGGATATATACCCAAAGGACTATAAATCATGCTGCTATAAAGACACATGCACACATATGTTTATTGCAGCATTATTCACAATAGCAAAGACTTGGAACCAACCCAAATGTCCAACAATGATAGACTGGATTAAGAAAATGTGGCACATATACACCATGGAATACTATGCAGCCATAAAAAATGATGAGTTCATGTCCTTTGTAGGGACATGGATGAAATTGGAAAACATCATTCTCAGTAAACTATCACAAGAACAAAAAACCAAACACCGCATATTCTCACTCATAGGTGGGAATTGAACAATGAGAACACATGGACACAGGAAGGGGAATATCACACTGGGGACTGTGGTGGGGTGGGGGGAGGGGGAGGGATAGCATTGGGAGATATACCTAATGCTAGATGATGAGTTAGTGGGTGCAGTGCACCAGCATGGCATATGTATACATATGTAACTAACCTGCACAATGTGCACATGTACCCTAAAACTTAAAAGTATAATAAAAAATAAAAATAAATAAATAAATAAATAAATAAAAGAATATCAATGGGATGTCTTCTTCTCCTACCTGGAAGATGAAGTTTCTGCAAATGACCATTAGATGGCGGGGTACTTGCTGGCACTCTGAGCTGGAAGTCTGGGAGATTGTGGGAGACTGAAAATTATATCACTCTACCCCCTTCCCTTTTCTTGGCAAAGGGATATTCTAGCCACACTCAGGAAATAAAATACCTGATTTATGACTCCTGGCATGTACCTTTATACTGCTTCAGGAAGTTAGGCTTGGGTTTCATGTTGGCAAGTATCCCAACAGCTAAATTTGTGTAATGGTAAACTTTAGGTTAGATAATGAGTTTTGACCTGAAATGGGGTAAGCAACATCATGTCATGTTTGTGCCCCTTGCTGACCTCATTGCAAAGTAAAGGAAGCATAGAACCTTGATTCCTGGGTTCTAATGCCAGCCATCTATTGTCCCAACTCTCTTGGCCTCATATTCATCATCTTTAAAATAAGGATAATACCTGCCCATTCATGCTCACAGGGCTGTTGTCAGAGATCAACCTAAGATACATAATGTGAAATATATTGAAGGACTTTATAAGTTTAACATCATACAAATATGAATGATTATTAATGATCAAACCAAATAGAATATGAAATACTATTGATATTAGGTGGCATCATACATTAATAAATCTGACTTAAAAATACAATCTGTTTACCTTGATCAGGAGAGGTAGATATTTAGTCTCTGAAGTGATGCAGTATTTTCCTCAGAACTTAGTGGGTGGGTAATTTATTATTATCTACTTGTTTAATTTTTGGTGTAGCAGTTACAGAAAATACTTGATTCCAGATTGAACGATTTTATAGGGTAATTCCTCACCCTCATAAAATCCACATTATTTCAATTTACCAAGTAAATACTGGCACATTCAGTAGATGTTACTATTTTGGGTTCCAACTGGTACTCATGATTGACTCTGGTGCTCTGGATCCAGATCCTTTGGTATGTACCAGGGGACAGCAAACCTCAGTTATAGAGGTGGCTTTACCTTTACCCTAGAAATCATCTGCAGTTGCTCTGGTTCAAAGCTTAAAGGAAGGTTTGAGGAGTGTACTTTCAAGGTTTGAGGAGTGTACTCTCTCTTCCCAGCAGTGCAGAAACCAATAATCATCAAAACATTGTCACCATAACTGTTGTCAGGTTTTTTTCAACCTTGCCCTTGCATCTCAGCACAGCTCTCTCGCCCAAAGAGGTAAGCTGGGGAAAACAGAATCTACTCATTGTAATCTTTTCAGCTTATTTATCTGCATTTAGAAAGTCTCAACCCTCTGGGCTCCCCTGCCTGTCAGAGTCAAAAAGAAAGGCCCCATGTGTATGTGTGGGCCTGTATGTAAGAAGTAAGGCTTGAAGGCATCCTTGGCATCTGTCATGTGACACATGCAATGGTTTGTAATAGAGTCAGGGAATCATAGGATATGACCTGAGGTGGGAGGTCCAGTTTCTACCCTTCATTTTACAATTGGGGAAACTGAAACCCAGACCAAAAAGTAACAACTAATTAGCTATGTAGGTCTTGCTTTATTATTACTGGTCACGGAGAGTGCATCTTAACAGTAGCCAAAGAAGGTATTGATCAAGTAGAGAAGGGACACTGTCATTCCCATAGCTTCAATCTTTTTTTTTTTTCTTTTTTCTTTTGAGATGGAATCTCGCTCTGTCGCCCAGACTGGAGTACAGTGGCGTGATCTTGGCTCACCACAACCTCCGCCTCCTGGGTTCACGCCATTCTCCTGCCTCAGCCTCCCGAGTAGCTGGGACTACAGGCACCCACCACCACGCCTGGCTAATTTTTTTTCTTTTTTTTTTTTTTTTTTTTGTATTTTTGGTAGAGACAGGGTTTCACCATGTTAGCCAGGATGGTCTCGATCTCCTGACCTCGTGATCTGCCCGCCTCAGCCTCCCAAAATGCTGGGATTACAGGCGTGAGCCACTGTGCCCGGCCCATAGCTTCAATCTTTATTTTTCTCCAGTGGAAGGGGCTTAGCCTAACTGAAAACAGTTGATGTAATTTAGGGCATGGGAGGGACTAGTGATAGGGGTGTGTGTGTGTGTGTGCACACACGCACATGCACATGTGCTCACGTGTGTGTGTGTGTGTGTGTGTACAACCTTGTTTTCAGTTATCTACTTCTCTTTGGCCTCTAAATTCTACATATTTTCCCCTTCTCCTGTCAGAATCATTTAGTCAATATGTGCCTTTTTGAGTTTGTAAGTGGAGGCTAGGTTAAAGAGTGTCCTTAGTTTAGGAATGTCATGTGCTCATTTGGCTAGGTGTGTGGTGATTGTGTGTGGGGGAATGTGCTGGATTCAGAATAGTAATAGTTGCTTAAAACTGGAACTTTTTAATGAGGGAGAATGGTCTACCTTTTTTCTTGCAGAGCTCAGTTTTATTAATGTGATATGCTGTGTGCTAGTCTGTGCCAGAAAGTATCTCTGTAGGTAATTGATCTGCCTCTTCTTCCTTTCTCTTTAGATATTCCCTTCCATGTATGATAAAAACCAATCTTGGTGTGTTTATCTCTTTTTTAAGCACTTTATCAAGGGTTTTTTCCAGCTCTTGAAAAGACAACTTGTATACCCACCCTCCACACTACACTGTACAACCAACCCAACATTCTCTGCATAGACAATCAGTCTTCTTTTCTGTGTGATATAAATCTATGAAAACTCCCACACATTATAGTACAACTGGACTTGCTGATTCCAAACCCTGAGCAGAAAAACCCTCTAGGAAGCCATTGCCAAGGATAAGATTGATTGCTACACTGGCAGGTGCCTGCCCATTTCCCTCGCTCAGTGGAAAATCTGGCCCACCATGACAAAAAATAGCTCATCCCAGGGCCTTAAAACCCACCGAATGAGATTTTAGTGTTGGGGATAAAAGCAAGGCTGTAGACTAACTCATTCATTTGCTTTAGTGTTCTCTATAAAATATAAAACATATATTTCATAAACACCAAATTTCATGAAAGCAGATTTATTTCATAAGTTTTGTCTATTACCTTATCTAAGCACAGTCTCTTCCTCCACCATTCTCAGGACATATGGCTTAGTCAGACAGACTACACAGATGAATGCAGAGTGTTGAGTGACAAAGCCAGCCCTTTAGGCGTTTGGAGCACAGCAAGGTTATGTTGGCAAGGCCAGGTCAGACAAGGCTATAAACTTTGCCTTTCATCTTTACCCTAATAATGCCACTGAACAAACCCAACCAGGATCTTTCTCAAATCCATGTGTACAGTTTTTATTTGTCAGAGACTAAGCAGAATGCCTGGGGGAAGGCATGCATAATAGAACTAATCATTCTTTAAAGTGTAATTTTCCTTGCCTATGCATTCTTGTAGAGTTTCAGTAGAGCCCTTGACACCCTAAGATAGAAGTGAACTATGCAAAGGGGGAATGAGTGGAGATAACTTGAAAAAAAATTTTTTTTTTAGTTTTACATCCTCCTTTTTTTCATATGGACTTTAGACATAAACAGTTAATGTCTGTCAGAGCTAAAAGGTACCTCTGATACCATTTTATCTACCCCTTAACCACAAAAAAAGATTATATAGGGAGCAGTTCAGTATAGTAGAAAGAACATGGGATTTGGAAAGAACTGAATTCTACTTCCAGCTCAAGCCATTTGATCTCAGTTTCTTTATATGTAAAATGGAGGTGGTAATCCTCATAATGACATTGTAAAGCAATGTACTGGTGGCCCCCAATACTATCCCCAGGTTCACTGATTTGCTAGAAGGACTCACAGGACTCATAAATTGTTACAATCAGGCTACAGTTTATTATATCAAAAGGACAGAAAGCAGAATCAATAATGGGAAAACGTACATCAGTCAGAGACCGGAGGATACCAGGTGCAAGCTTCCAAGAGTCTTCTCCCAATAGAGTCACACAGGTTGTGCTTAATCCTCCAACAATGAAGTTCAGAAACATATGCAAAGTGTTTTCTGCCGGGGAAGCGTACTTGAGCCTGAAACTCCAGGATTTTTATTGGGGTAACTAGTGACTGAAACTCCATATCCCTTGGAAAGAAAGCATGCATTCACCATAAATCATATTTTTTGCACAAGATACCTAGACAGGCTGTTACAGCATGGTTGAAAGGGCATACACAATGCCCTTACCAGTTACTAGAATAGAGAACATTCTAAGACCTCAGTTCCCAGGAGCTGGCCAAGGACCAGTCACACAAGTGGGCCCTTCTAAAAATGTATACGATTTGAGCAACTCAAGACTGCTGGGTTAACTCTTTCTTTCACAGATAGGTATTAAATTATTGTATGTGTGTATATATATATATATATAAAATATTGCATATACATACACACAGTATAAAGCAGTACATTAAATGTGAGGGATTATTATACATATGAGTAAAGAGAGCTAGAGCTATTCTGGGGTGTGATTAAGTGCAGTAAGAATGGAAGTATCTAAGACAACTCTCCAGGGCAATGAATGGGGAAGCTGTAAACAATCCCACTGAGGATTTTATTTTTCTCTATGATTAGAGATAATTTCGTCACCACTACCATTCTGTCCCTCATCAGTTTCACATTGTACTTTCTTATCATAGCTATATATTTCTTGGGATTTTTGCATAAGCCAAATTGTTTCACTACGCACTGTGGAGTTTTGGCAAGGATGTGATCCTCTTAAGGAAAGTGCAGAATTGAGCCTTTGCAGAAGGCATAGGCAGGTGCTTCCTAGAAAACCCTGAGCAAGTCCCAATGAAAGACTATGGTTAATTATACTATAATCGTGGTAACTAATACCAACAGTGAATTTTAGTCTGAATTGAATTGAAGTGAATTTATGTGAACCTAAATACTATTGAAATACGATTTTGAGCTAAATACTGCACTAGATGCCCAGCCTAGCCCAATCATTTTATAAAAATTTGCCCTCTAAGGATGACGGAAATGACTATAGAAAGGAAGCTCAGGCATTGTATGCTAGGATGTGGAGGGGAACATCCTGAGGAAGTGCACATACTCATACCTAAAACTACTGAAAGCATTTGCCAAGGGTAGCCTGTACTGCCTGAACTCAGGTGGTAATGGCACCAAGTAGACTGGAGAACAGCTTGAGAAAGTGGGCATATCTTACAGATGGACAATAAACCTCCTGATGGAACTTTGGTAATGGAGTATTTGTTAATAGCATTTTAGCTGCTGTAAGCCTCTTTGTCTGCTTTATACCCCCAGAGCTGCTGTAGCTCTCCCCAAACTCATGAATGGGGCCTAAGGCAGCTGCCTTTATTCTGCATGTAAGCTAGAGCTGGCTCATTTGTCTACCTGGTATGTTCTTTTACCCTTTACGTTGGAGCCATGTCAATGGTTCTCCTCAAATTGACCCTCTGCTGCCAGACTTTATTGAGCCCTATCTGAGACTTTTTCTGAGCCCTCTGCTCCAGGTGGCCCTAAAAACTTCATATACAATGTAATGTAGGCTCTTTAATGTGCTAGCAGAAAATGACAGAGATTAAATGGTGGCCCTGCCATCAAGGGAACTCATTGCTTCTTTTGAAATAAAGTATTTGGCAGGTTTTGCCTAGAATTGAGGGATGGAATCACTCCTTTCCCTACCTTATCTTTTCTTAAAACAGCTCCTACATTTCACCCCATTTAAAATACTAGCCCTTGCATTTGTATCACATTCTATACTTTTCTAACACTTTCTTATTTATTATTTTATTCTTACATATTTTCATTCATGCTCCGAGGCCAAGCTCAGATGCTATTTTCTACAGAGAGATTAATTTTAACTTCCTCTGACCTCTTAAGGAACTTTCCATGATGCTCTCGTGGTTTTTAACCATTTTTCCTATTTTTATTCTAATTATTTATATATATATCATTTATTAGACTCTAAGATCCTCAATGGCAAGATCTAGATAGGATTCATCAACAACTTACATATAGCAGGCAAGCAATGAATAATAAAGATGAAATAGAATAGAAAACAAACAAATGCTTGAAGCTTAGATAACTGCCTCTCATTTACTCTAATTACTGGAAGGCCTAGAACTTGAATCTTCTTCTAGTCCTGTACTGCTATCTTAAATTCTCCACCACACTGCCTCCCTTACCCAGGCCAGATAGCATTTACTCTTCAGAAGGAAGGAAATTAGCTAAGTCTCTAATAATCAGGAAAGGCTTTAAGGAGGAGGTAGACCTTGACAAATGAGTATAATGTTACTAAGTGAAATGCAGAGCGAAGGGTATTCCAGAATTAGCAGTGAAAGCACATAAAGAGGGTGGGAGGAAGAACATGGTCTGTAGAGTAATGAGGCCAAGCCTAAGAACCAGGGCAGCAAGAATTGTTTGGGGCAAGTCTTGAAAACCATACAGAAATGTTGGAATGTGTTGTAGCAGGAAGTAAGGGCCCCATACAGAAGGCCTTATATGAAGGAAGGGTCTGTAGTAGGGAGGACTTAGGGCTTTCTGGTCTACTGGCTCTTTTGGAAGTTTGAAATCATGGCAGGGACCTAAGACCCTGAACCTCCTGCCTCTTGATTTGGTCAACTCTGAATGTGAAGTATATTTTATTAAGATATTCTAACTTGCTCACTAGCATTTAATGTTAGTTGCCAAATTTCCAAACCTGAGCTCAAAGGGAACTCTCTTACAAGTTTGAAAGCATTTCAGAACTCTTTTTCATGGTAATAAGGATTTTGCCTGGCCTAGAAGAAGCTGCCAACTCCAGAGGTCTCTCTGGCACTCTAACTCAGAGAAGTTTAAAGTAAATGTAGCTCCTGAGAGAGAGTATGAGTCCTTAAACCACCAACCCCTCATCCTTTTAAATCTCTGGGTTTATCCTCTGGGAAACACTGTCATTCAGCTACTGTTTTGTTCAGGTCTCTCAAGTTCTTGCCTACCATCCAGCCCTTCAGATGTCTGTGTCATCTGGTTAGTTCCCTATATTGTGAGGACTTAACAAATTTTCAGTCAGTCATTCAGTCAGTCAGTTCCTGTCTTGTCCTCCAGAATATCAAATATTGAAAAACCACTGGCCTCAACTAAACTGAGCTACACCACACCCTGGTAAAAGGGAAAATCTTAGTATAAATTTCACATACACCTAAGGCTTTCACATACATTTCACATACACATAAACCACTGGCCTCCACTAAACTGAGCTACACCACATCCTGGTAAGAGGGAAAATCTTAGTATAAATTTCACATACACCTAAGGCTTTCACATACACATAAATCACTGGCCTCCACTAAACTGAACTACACCACACCCTGGTAAGAGGGAAAATCTTAGTATACATTTCACATACACCTAAGGCTTTCACATACATTTCACATACACATAAACCACTGGCCTCCACGAAACTGAGCTACACCACACCCTGGTAAGAGGGAAAATCTTAGTATAAATTTCACATACACCTAAGGCTTTCACATACACCTAAGGCTTCACATACACCTAAGGAAACCTAAGGCTTCCCTCTTGTTCTTTCTCCCTCTTCTCCTCCTTCACCTCTCCCTCCACTCTTCCTCTGATCTCTCTTTTTCAAACGTTATGGTTTGTTGTTCCATACCAACTGCACATTTGGCAATAGACAAAAATACAAAACTCCTGCCCTCATCGATTTATGCCACTAACCTGATTCAGTTCTCTCTAAAGGAGATCGTAGCAACCTCTCTCAATATTCATTTCCAGCTAACATTCTCTTACTATTTCTCCGGAGAGCAGTGAAACTTTATCAAAGTCTACTTTGTAACGATGCCAAAAGCTGGCCTCTGAAAGCTAAAAGGAGAAGAGCTAGAATGTGGTAAGTGGGAGCTGGGCCCTAGCAACAGAACTGTGGGAGGCAGTGTGGAATAATGGAAGGACCATAGGTCTGAAGACCTCATTTTGGACTTAACAGTTGCCCAGGCTTTCTATATTCTCACACATTTATGTACCTTTAGGGTAAGGATAATCACTCATATTTGTCTCATCTGACAGTACCTATCACACAGCTCATGTTCAGGTGAGTCCCCAGGGCCCCCACTGTGCTGTACTCTCCCTTCCCTGCCCAACTTCTCTGCACCTTGGATTCATGTCTTGTTTCTACCACTTCCTAGCCTTGAGGCTTTGGTAGGTTTCTTAACTTCTCTGACTGAGTTTGTTTCATCTTCCCTAGAAGAGATAATACATGCTTCATAGCTTTGTTGTACAGATCAAATAAAATAACAGATATGAAATATTTTATAGCCTATAAGGTGCTGTGAAAATTTTAAGATGGGGCTAGGCGCAGTGGCTCATGCCTGTAATCACAGCACTTTGGGAGGCCACAGCGGGCCGATTGCCTGAGCTCAGGAGTTAGAGACCAGTCTGGGCAACATAGCGAAACCCCATCTCTAGAGAAAATACAAAAAAAAAAAAATTAGCCAGGCATGGTGGCACACGCCTGTAGTCCCGGGAGGGACTGAGGCAGGAGGATTGCTTGAGCCCAGGAGGTAAAGCCCAGTGAGCCATATTCATGCCACTGCACTCCAGCCTGGGTGACAGAGCCAGACCCCATCTCTAAGAAAAAAAAAAAAAAACAGTAAGATGGTTTTATCAGATTAGTCAACAAATGTCAAAAGGCACACAATTTTTATTACATCCATGAACCATGCCTCCAACTAGATCATGTGGTATATAGAGTTCCAGGCCTATTTATAGACCCACATTTGCTTAGGTTCAGTTCATCTGAACACTGATTAAAGTTAACATTAGGAAAGACAAAAACCTAACCTTTATCTGTGTTTGATACAAAGACCAGTAGCAATTACATCACTTGAATGTGGTTAGATTTTATTTTCCTTTGGTATTTTGGTGAAGTTCCCAAACGAATGCCCAGGAATAATTACAGCAGACTGGCTTTGGCGGAGGAAGTATATAAAGGCAATTAGTAAAATGTAACAAACTTAAATGATAATTGAACCTACATTCCCCCAGCCATTTCCAAGTATAAACTATATAAATCTGTGTCCCAGATTCACCAAATGAAATATTTTTGAGGGAATCAAGCAGCAAGGATCTAGTGATCCCTTATTGCAGCCCAGCTATGTGTTTAGGGGCAGGGTATGGTGGTAGATGTAAAATCCTAAAAGCCTGCTTTCCAGGAGCTCATATTCTGGTTGGGTCTACAAAACAGAAAAATTAAGTCTTTTGTTAGAAGAAATGAAACAATCTAAGACAAAATAGCATCAGGTGTCAAATAGTGTGGAGCAAAAGGCATTCAGAAAAGTAGAGGTCAAGGTGGGCTGGGCCTTTCAGCTTAAGAAAGACAGAGGAAGAAGGCAGGGAGATCTTGCCTATGTTGGGAAAGTAAGGGCAGGAGCCTCTGAGTTGGAAAGAACATGTCAGGTGTTGTGCATGGTGCCACGTAAGACTGCTGAGGTATGATAGAGCCAGATTATAGATGTCCCTGAAGGCCTGGCAAAGGAGACTTGACTGTATATAGTAAGCAGTGGTGACTCATTGTGAGTTCTTGAGCCAGGAGACTGCTGAAAAAGTAGTGTGTTAAAAAGCAGCATGCAGGGTGAATTAGAACAGAGACAGACACCTACTACCAGAAACCCATTTGTTAGCTTCCATTGTAAGATGTGGTCGTAGTCATGGAAGAGGATGATTGAAAACAAGATATGGCCAAAGAAAAGAGAACAATAAGAACACTGGGGCTTAGAAGGTCAGATTACGTCTTACTCAATCAGTCAGAACTCTGGCATCATAGGTGATTTTAGTGAAAAACATATCTATTTGTTGGAAACAAATTTTTAACTTTAAATGGTTAGCTTATAGGCTTAAGATATAAGTTCCCAGAGATGAATTGGTGAATGGCGTCTGAACTTGACCTATTTGCAGCAGCAAGAATGTGCAAGAATCTTCTCCAGGCTTTCTCAGAGCTGGAGGACCCAGCATTTGTGTTAATGTGACTGGGTTAAAATGAAAGCCTTTGTTGTCTCTGAAAAGAAATTGAGGAAGTACTGTTAAAAGATGATGAGATCAGCCGGGCACAGTGGCTCATGCCTGTAATCCCAGCACTTTGGGAGGCTGAGGTGGGCGGATCATTTAAGGTCAGGGGTTCAAAACCAGCCTGGCCAACATGGTGAAACCCCAGCTGGATGTGGTGGCATGCACCTGTAATCCCAGCTACTCTGGAGGTTGAGGCAGGAGAATCACTTGAACCCGGGAGGCAGAGGTTGCAGTGAGACAAAATGTAATGTAAGGTAAAAGTGAGACAAAAATGTCTATTGTGACCTGAACATATTGGCCTATAATGATGGTAAAGCTGTGTCACTCTGAGAAAGTTACTTAAACTCTCTGAGAAGCTTTAGAGCTTCTCATTTATAATATAGTAATGCTAATTCCTACCTGCTTCACAGGGTTTTTGTAAGGGTTAAATGTATATCAACATAAAGTTTCTAGCACACAGCAGGTAATTGCACCACTGCACTCCAGCCTGGGCGAGAGAGCGAGATGAAAGAAAAAAGAAAAGAAGGAAGGAAGGGAGGAAGGGAGAAAGGGAGATGAGATCCATGGAGGAAGGAAAGGAGACTTTATTTTCAGAGGAGATACAATCTGTAGATCCGGGAGTGCAGCTTCAGTACAAGCCCCACAGAAGGGGCAAGGAGCTGGGGTCAGCCATCCATACATAATTGAGTTAGGTTGGGAAAAATCTATGAATATTTATAAGAGGAATCAGGCACCATGCACAGTGGGTAAACATGTATGTAGCATGCATTTCATGTTCACTTTGGGGTGAGGTTTTAGTATTAAAATGAGGTGGAATTTGGCTCTTTACATCTAAAGGTGAACTACAGGACACAAAGTTCATGCACAGTCTTTATAAGTTGGTTGAAACTGGCTCAAGGTCTGCAGCCATTTATCAGTAAAAAATGTTCATAAGACAGGTCCTCTGTCCAATCAGAGCTGTGGTGGGACTGCAAGGCAGGGGCTTGGGATAGAGAGTGGAGGTCAGTGGATTCAATAGGTTGGCATCAGGCAGTCTATCTCGGTCAACTGGGAAATTTTCCAGCTGTAGTTGTTTCAGTAATGCTTTTTGGGAGCTGGTTTCTGCTTAATTACAGGGGAAAAAGCTTATGGCAGTTAATAACACAGAAATACTTAACTAAGCCCCAATCCTGCTGGCCATGAGATTCTGTTTTTGGTGTGTCTCATTTTAGCCACAGGGAGTCCATTTTATCTGTCTGTTGGGGCATATTTTAACAGTACAAAAGACAAACTGAGCAAAACACCAGCACAAAAAGACTGTAAACTAAGGGGAAATTACATGGAAAACGAGAAAAATATTGAAGTAGCAATGTATTCTTATAGTTACTCAGGAAACTGCTGTTCACTTTGACACACACATGCATCTCTTCCCTCCTTAAACTGCCTATATGTGATTCGATAGTACAGTAGGGAAATTATATTTAACAGTAATTTATTGTATATTTTTAAATATCTAGAAGAGAAAAATTGTAATGTTCCCAACACAAAGAAAAGATGAATGTTGGAGGTGATGGATATCTCAATTACCCTGACTTGATCATTACACATTGTATACATGTATCAAATTATCACGTGTACCCCAAAAGTATGTACAACTATGATATATCAATTTTAAAAATTTAAACAGGGTCAAAAATGTCTATTCTGACCTGAGCATATTGGCCTATAATGATGGTAAAGCTGTGTGACTCTGAGCAAGTTACTTAAACTCTCTGAGAAGCTTTAGAGCTTCTCATTTATAATATAGTAATGCTAATTCCTACCTACTTCACAGGGTTTTTGTAAGGGTTAAATGTATATCAACATAAAGTTTCTAGCACACAGCAGGTAATTGATAGATGTTAATATCCTTATCATTAGAGGGGATAGGTCAACTTAGTGTTGGAACTTAAACTTGCACTCATCTAAAAGCAGCAAACATTTCCCCCAGCTTGTTGTTTAAGTAGTCGCTAATGTGTAGAATTTAACCCAGCCCCATCAGCAGCTGCTAAAATAGCAGCCTGGGTTTCAGTTTACTTGACTGCATACAACTGGGCTAAGGTTATGTTGGAGAAATGGTCAGTAACTAGTAAGTCTAACGTATAACTGGTCCTGGGGAAATGCCATATTTTTAATCTTGAAAAGTCGACTCATTCATTGTTATATAAGATAATCCTACTTCCTTTTTTTGTTTGTTTTTTTTTTTTTTTTTTGAGACTGAGTTTCGCTCTTGTTGCCCAGGCTGGAGTGCAGTGGTGCGATCTCAGCTCACTGCAACCTCCACCTCCCAGGTTCAAGCAATTCTTCTGCCTCAGCCTCCCAAGTAGCTGAGATTACAGGTGCCCGCCACCACGCCCAGGTTATTTTTTGTATTTTTAGTAGAGACGGGGTTTCACCATGTTGGCCAAGCTGGTCTTGAACTCCTGACCTCAGGTGATCTACCCACCTCGGCCTCCCAACGTGCTGGGATTACAGGCGTGAGCCACCGCGCCCGGCCAAGATAATCCTACTTTTCTAGGAATAAAGTGATCCCACTCCTAAGGGTGATGTGACTCCAGTTTAACTCATTCATCTTCATCCCTATATTTCCCCATGGACCTTGATTATGGTGTAGCTTCACTTGGAAACGCTCAAGAAGGAATGAAAGATACCATATGGGAGGCATTGATAATGAGAGCTGTTTATTGCCATTCACCTGCAAACACTGTCTGTGCCGCCTGTTCATGCATATCAGACACACAAACATTCTTCATTTACTTAAGGTACATGGAGAAATGATGACATGCTCACATTTTGGGAGAAATTCCCCTTCTACTTGGATGGGTTTCCTTCTTTGTTCAACAGGGCCAGAATTTTATCTAAAGGGAGTACAAAGGCCATGATGCCTTTTCCAGGTAAAATTCTATATATCTTGTCCCCTTGTCCTTTATCACTTTTATGGTTAAATGAATAAGTAAATACATAAAATGTGTTTTCAGTATAAATAAATCATACAGAAAATACCAAATAAATCACTTGCTGCAATTAAATGTTTGGAGATCATTGGCTCTAAGGTGACACACTATTCTTCACAGTAATTTAGCAATGAGCCTACTGTGACCTCTCCATCAAAATGGAATCAAGTCACAATATTGCCTTATCTTTCTATGGCTTCTCGGTGACAACAATTTGGGTGACTGCACAGATTTTAGTGTCAGTAGGTAGAGCTGTCGCTCTGAGGCAACAGGATTGAACCCTAGTCCACTTGGGTGAGATTAGGGGTAAGAAGTAGCAGCAAACTTTGTCATGTTAACCCACCTAAAAAATATTCAGCCCTTCATACCCATTGGCTGGAAATCTCCAGCTCCTTAATCTCAGTTCTTCATATTCCAAGAACCTAAGACTGCCTCTCTGGTAGAGCAATCTTGGTAGTGTTCAAGGCATCAACAAAATAGCAGGCTCTAAACTGATTCTGTGATGTTTTTGCAAATGGCAAGATGCCCTTTATTAGATAGTCTCCATAGGGGTTCTGGATCTTTAATTACTTGATCATATTTACGGCTCTGTCTTTATAATAATACTGGCCTTCACCTTTTCAAGGCCCAGTATCCTGGCAAAAACATCAATTTGGACATATTATGGAATAGGTGGAGATGAGAATGCCATATCTGAGTGTGGTGCAATTATTTCAGAATTGTTGTAAATATGCTGGAACATTTTGTGAGAAGAGGTAAATGACAGTACAGAACTGGTTGAGACAAGAAAATTGGAAAATGATTGGAGCAAAAAATGAAAAGGAGCTAGAAAGGAATAAGGCAGGAAGCAAGGAATAAAAACAACTTGGGTCTGCTTATCCATTAGCTGATGTGGGGGAAAAAACAACGTGGGTCAGGATAACAGTCTCCTTTCTCCCCCCAAAAAAATATTTTAACAGGGGCCAGAATGACACTGCTTAGTCCATAGGTGGCCTAATAGTGGACTCATTTGATCTAGGCACATAATGATATTTTTATCTTAGTATATAATGAGTGGTAATTAAGCTGTCACTGGCACTGGGAAAAGATCAAAATGTGAGTGTGCAGTTTTCTTCATTCCTCACCCCATAATGGCAGATGTTAGGAGATATTTTGCTGCACCTCTCTATCCTTTGACTCATCATCTTACTCACTATTCCTGCCTTCTTACTGGTGGTATCTTGGCCTTTAAATGAAGCTGTTTCCTTTGGACCCTAGTGATCCTTAGAGTTCAGAGGAAAGAGGCTATGTAATATAGTCAGCAATATCATCACATTCATCTTATTCTCAACTAATTTTTAAAAGTACTTACCTAAAGTATCAAAGAGCTACAGAGCACATTTTAAGGTGAGCTGTCATCTTATTTCTTCACAAAGAATGTTTTGAGTTGATATGACGATGTATCATAAGTGACAACAGAATGCATGATCCACAGAATATTTATTTAAAACTGACTATAACTCTTCTAGGCTCCAAAGGTCTGATTTCTTTCAAAGTAGCTGATGACATTAAGCACTCTTACATTCATTATTTCTCTCATCTGAGCCCCCAACAGCCCTGTTAAGTAGAAATGACAGGGATCTTCATCTTTATTTTACAGGGCCACGTACTAAGGTGATAAAGCCATTACTAAGGTGATAAAGTAATATATTATTACTTCCCTTGTCCTTAGTTTTCTCATCTGTAAATCAAGATGATAATTATTTTCCTCTCACAGTGTAATGATTTTCAAGTGGTAGGATGGATATGATAGTTTTATTAAACTGTAAAGCCCTCTATAATCCTGTTACCATATTCACTTATAAATTCCTTAACTTTAGTTAGAAGTAGCATTGGAAAAAATAAAAAGTATGACTTTCTAAGATGTGCAAAAAGCTGTTCATAGATAAGACACTATTGTGTTCTTTTGATAAGTTTGAGCCAACAGAAGTACCTCAAATAAATGCCAGCTCTCAATTACAGATGTTCATCAAGTTCAGAACCTACTGCAACCTCTTCTCTCGTTTTCTTATTTTTTTTTTTTTTTTTTTTTTTTTTTTGAGACGGAGTCTTACTCTGTCGCCCAGGCTGAAGTGCAGTGGGGCAATCTCAGCTCACTGCAACCTCTGCCTCCCAGGATCAAGGGATTCTCCTGGCTCAGCCTCCCGAGTAGCTGGAATTACAGGCGCCCGCCACTATGCCCAGCTAATTTTTGTATTTTTAGTTAGAGACGGGGTTTTGCCATAGTGGCCAGACTGGTCTCAAACTCCTGACCTTAGGTGATCCACCCGCCTCGGCCTCCCAAAGTGCTGGGATTACAAGCGTAAGCCACCGCACCTGACCATTACTTTTCTTTTAAAGGATGTTTTATATGTAAAGAGTTCAACTTGATTGTATAGAGCAGCATATAATGAGTTGAAGGTTGCCCTACCAGTCTTGGGGCGAGTCAGTCCACCTTGATGGCCCCACCAAAGACTGAACCCTAGCTCTCAGCCCAGACATCTCAAAAGCCTGTGATTGAATAGCAGGACCATGAGCTTTGTACTAACTCAATGTTAGGTTTGAATCCTGATTCCCCTCCTGCTAGGCAGGTGGGCCTGAAAGAGTTACTTAACTTTTACTGAGTCTCAGTTTCCTTATATATTAAAGGAGATAGTAATAACTATCTTGTAAGACCATTGTTTGAATTAAAGTAATAAATATATTTAAAGTGCTTAGTAGAGGATCACTCAATAAACATTAATCTTTCCTTCCCATATTGTGGACATATAGTGTAACCAGGTGAGCTTGTGGATGGATCCTTGTAGAATCCCCCAGTCCCCAACTCTGGGAGAAAGTTTTTCTGAGAGCATATCTTTAAAATGGGGCAGGTTACCTACATCCTATCTGAATACTAATGCTAGCACTATTATAGATATACATGTGCAGCACAGACATCATTTTTAACAGATGTGTTTAGTTAAGTAACAGATTTAGAAAGTGCAGACTTTAATCTATGTTTTCTCCTGAGATTTCATCACCATCTGATTTCTTTTTTTCTTGCTAAAAAGTATAATTGTAGCTTGATTTCCCCCACCCCCCAGTTATTTCCCCAAGAAATAGGGGCCTTTTTAAAAATTTGAATAAGAAGCTGGATAAGCATTTGAAAGACATGAGGACAGTGGATACCTGAAGAGGTAAGAAGTTGAGGACTTTAAAGTAAAAGCCTTAATGACTAATATATTTTTTCAGAAGGTCCTGCTTCCACCATTTCTGCAAGGAACAGATGACTCTAAAGATATCATATCAAGGTCTGCTTTCTGCTTGTTGCATAACTGGATGGAGTAATAACCAAGATTGAAACTGTCATTGGTTAAAGGAGACTAAATGGAGCAGGTCATGGAAATTGAGGTGTTTCTTTCTTTCCCCAAGGAGGGGCTGGAGAGAAAAAGTAGCAGAGACTTTTGTCATCAGCTTTCAGGGGCAGAAAACATTGGTTCCTCTCTCCTCTGACCTGCCTCTCCACCTAAAAACCTGAATGGATTCTGGATTCCACTTCAGGCTGTTTTGAGTTTTGATAGAATAAGTTTGTTAAGATGTTGGGGAAAAGCAAAATATGGTCTTCCAGGATAGCCCTGGTGGGGAGAGGTAGAAAATGGTGGGATAAAAAGTAGGATTATACTAGGGCCATGTGAAACCATCCACACTGTAGTGGAGGAGCTTGACTGCATGGCAGAAGGCAAGGTTTTTCAATTTATCCTAAACCATATCCCACAATGTTCCACGGCTCTGTCTCCATTCAGCAAATATTTGCAGACACTATATAGGCTGTAGGAACTTTATCATTCCCATTGCTTTTGGCACCACAAAATGTCTTAGAGATCAACAGAAAAGATGAAGGAAGGACCTGATTGCCCCATTCAGGTAGTTCTCCCCATTCTTGTAGTTCTGCTTAGTTGCTTTGAGCACTGGTTTCTGTGTCCCCCTCCTTGAATTACCACAGGATCCTGGGGATTCCACTTCACAATTTAAGAGTATCCTATCAGGAATTCTTTAAATGGTACTCTGAGTGGTGAAGAGGGAGAAGAAGATAAGTACTACCACTTTTGTGGACCCACTATGAGCCAGGTACTGTACTTCTTTACACATACACACACACACACACACAGAGTGAGAGTTAAATTTTATTTGTATGTAAAAATTGTATAACCATGTAAGCCTATGAGGTAACTATTATTTTTATTAGACAGATAAGGAAACTGGAGCTTGGAGAGTTTCAGTGATTTATCCAGCATCACATAGCTACTAAGTGGAAGACAGAGACCAGAAAGCAGCCTAGTGATTTCATTCAATACTGATTAATTTCCCTTTCTCCCCACCCTCACCTCTACCCAGCTCCAAAAGAAGATAACACTACTTAAATATTAGCTATTATTATCATTTTCACTATTATTATTATATTATATACCGTATGCCTTTGGAACCAAAATAGGTGTAGAGAGAAAGAAACTAAACTACTAAGCCCTGTACTAGACACTGAGAGAATGTTTAGCAGTAACAGGTAGCTACTTTTAGACAATATCCCTAAGGTTGATTTAAGACTTTTTATTCCACAGCCCAGATTATACAGCTGAAATCAGGGATTTCAAACTAACCTCTAATGTTAGCCACCACCACCACCTTCATGCTGGAGCCATTCCCTAGGCCAAAACTACCTCAGTACTGTCAGTACCCAAATTCAAGACCTGAAGATCGCGACCAGTCATGAGATACTGGGTGGCTAAGGCAAAGTACATTTGTTGTCTTAGAAACCCAGAGCAGCCATATGCCACTAAATAAATTTATGAAATCAACTTTATAAGACATATTGATTATAAATATACTAAAACAACCAATTTGATAAAGGTATAGAGTATGCAAATTTTGATAAAGGTATAGAGTATGCAGATGTGTGGGACGATAGAATGTTATATAACAAAACTGGAGCTGCATTGCTAGGCTAAAAACAGGTTCTTTTATTCTCTTTGCCTTTATTTTTTAACATATGCAACAATTTAATCTTTGATGATTAAAAAGGTTGCAGAGAATTAAAATATATTGCTATAAGCTATTATAAATATCAGTCTACTGTATAGTAGGTTCTTATTTTCATAAATAAAAAACTGAAGCTGAGAAACTACCACAAGACCAAAAGCTTATTTTAATTTTTATAAGCAAAGGTCAATTCTTTGAACAAAGTCTACCCCATTGGGCTATGACTGATAGTTAATAAGTAATCTTATGAATTTTTCTTTATACATAAAGAACAAACATGGGAAAATCTGGGCTATAATCCTTGACAAGATATTTCTTACACTGCTTCTTGCCTAAAGGGTTAAAAAGTACTAGTATGGTTGCACATCATGCAATACTGACTTTGCAAAAAGGGTTTGTATAACTGTATATAGATTCTCCAAGTTGGAAAACTGAAAAATCTAATTTCAAAAATATAAGTAGGCACTGAACATATATATCAATATGCCAATGACAAAAAGAAACATACATATCTATTTACTTTCTATTTCCAGACACAGCAAAGATAAACTAATTTTGTAATGCTTTCTACCCACTGTAGGTATTGTTCACAGATTAAATAAAACTTTTCCAGGAAAATATGCCATATACATAAAGCCAATCAGATATACTTCCCAGATATTTAGGAAAATCCAATATAGAGAACAGAATGAAGAATGGGTGAATTCACAAAGTAATAAGATATAATAAATCATCTAAAATGAGTAAGAACTAGAATTCAAGTACAAGATTCAAATGAGGTTAAGTGATAGCCAGAAAAGGTCATACAAAGTAACATCCAAATATCACCTCAGAAGCTTAACATACAAACAAATTTCAAGTCAGGACAGATACACACACTAAATGAAGAGGGGTTTATGAACGGGGACTAATTTTATAAGTGGTACAAGAGTGAATATTTTGCTTCCCTACACAATTTCTCCTGCAACCTCATAGCAGCAGGGATTTGGATAACAAATTCATAGCCAATGAGAAACCCCTGTGTGTGTATTTATATTACCTGTGTATATAACAACAGGGGATATAAGTCTTGGTTTGACTATCTTAGGGTGGTACATACAGTGTATCTTGATCAGGACCACATTTATAAATGATTTTTTTATAGTATAATACTGTACCAAGGTTGTCAGGGAGGTCCTTTTCATATACAATCTCTCCAAGTACTGCAGTCCCTCATCTTTCAGTAACTCCAGTGGAAAATGGTGCAGATTCCTATAATTTAAGAACAAATTCTTGTGCTTTTCCAGCCTTGCCACAGAGTTCGTCTTACAAAGTTCGGATACCGTGACTGAATATATCCCATCAGACACATTGCAGCAGTACATCTTTACAAAATTGGTCGGTTTCTCAGCGCTGGCAGAGCCAGTGCTCCGGAGCTCAAGTGGCACTGGAAGGACTCTTTGCCTTTATTTCTCTGTAGTTTCTTTTCATAGTGTTGGCATTTGATTTTCCTTTTAATTTTCAGGTTATATTTGCACTTAATTGGCACTGTAGCAGGTTCATTGCATGTTGTGTGCCTTCTGCATACCTTGATTGTAATCGAACCTGGGCTAGAAGGGAAATTGAAGAGTACAGCAGGCAATAAAATCCAGACAAGTAGAGTGTCATTTTATCCAGCTTTCAAACTCTGTACCGAGTCCTGGAGATATGTGGCAGAGCCTTCTGAAAGGAAACACAGGTGTTTTGTTTTTGTTTTTGTTTTGATGGGAAAGAGGTGGTGCCAAGGTGCTAAGGGCATGAACCCTCATCTTCCTAGGCCAGTTTGCATGTATCTTAATTGCTTTGGAGACACTATCATGATTTTGGCTGAGAAAAAAAAAAAACTATAGATCAGTTCTTTAAGATTTTCAAAAACCTACAGCATTCCTCCAGTGCCCTAAGCCTCTTGTTCCTGACAAATCTCTCTGTGCTTTATAAAAACATGCCCAACATGACTTGAGTCCATACAAAGACCATGCTCCTTGTTGCTATGGGCCCATATTAAAGGCTGTACTTTGTGTCAGACTGTACGAATGTGTTCTGTTTTTCTTTTTCTCACGCACATGGCTGGGTAGCCTGAGCGGGACCCAGTTTTATTAGCTTTGCTGTGTTTTCTTTTATGTCTTTTTTAAAGCTCATTGAATTGGTTTAAGATTTGTACAAGTGATTTTCTTACTGTCACATAGAGTTAAAATTATCTAGTCCAGCTTCTCCATCCAATGTTTAAACCTGTTCTTTAATGTTGCTGAAGTTTTGCCCAGCCACTGCTTTAGTACTTCTATTGATGGGGAGCTCACTGTTTTCCCTATGCTCTTCTTATAGCACCCGTTTCATCTTTGGACAAATCTATCAGTCTACATGTTGAGCTACAGTCTTCCTCCCTCACGTTACTTTCCATTGTGGTCTAACTAAACACATTTCATTTCACTCTTTTGTGATAGCTCTTTAAGGATCTGAAGACAGAAAGCACATTTCTTAAATTTTCTCAAAACATCAGTTTCGGGGAGGCTGGCCAAGATGGCCAACTAGAAGCAGCTAATGCGTGCTGCTTTCATGGAGAGAAGTGGCAAGTAGATACAGCACCTTTAACTGAAACATCCAGGTACATGCATTGGGATTTATCAGGGAAACAATCCAACCCACAGAGAATGGAGAAAATCAAGGCAGGATGACCATCCAGCCAGGAGTGACATGGAGCCAGGGGAACCTCCCTCACCCAGGGAAGTGGTGAATGAGTGAGCAACACTGAAGACACATGCTTTTTTTCATGGATCTTTGCAACCCTTGGGTCAGGAGATCCCTTAGTGAACCCACTCCACCAGGGCCTGCAGTCTGACACACAAAGCTATGTGGAGTCTTGGCAGAGCAGCTGGTAAGGCACACGTGGAGCCCTGGGAGCTTTAGATATCCGGGCTTCCCAGCAAAAGAGGCTGCAACTCCAGCAAACCTGGAGGTTAGACCCCCCCTCCCATACATACCTCTAGAAAAGGGGCTGAATCCAGGAGGCTGAGCAGTGATGGTCTGCAGACCCTACTTCCATGGAACCTTGCAGGATAAGACCCACTGGCTTGGAACTTTAACCAGCCACCAATAGCAGTGTTACACCTCCCTAAGACGGAGCTCCCAGAGGGAGGGCAAGCTACCATCTTTGCTGTTATTGCCTTCAGTGCAGCCACCCTTTGGTAAACCAGTCAGACTGCTTTTTTTACATGGGTCCCTCACCCTACTTCTCCTCACTGGGTGGGACCTCCTGACTGGGGTCACCAGCCACACTTGCCGGGGTTTTCCAGCTGTCAGTGGTTCTGAGCCTCCCTGGGATGGAGCTCCCAGGGGAGGGATGGGTAGCCATCTTTGCTGTTCCAGTTGACTGACTAGAGCAGTCAACTGCCACAGTACAGCAGCTCTACAAAGAATCAGCCAGACTGCCTTTTCACATGGGTGCTGGATCCCGTTTCTCTTCACTGGGCAGAATCTCCCAACCGAAGCCTACAACCATCCTTACTGGTGTGTTCAGGCCAGCAACAAGTCCATACCTACCTGGGATGGAGCTCCCAGAGAGAGGGACAGGCCGCCATCTTTGCTGTTTCACAGCCTTCACTGTCGATACCTTAGGTGCTGGAAAATCTGAAGTGATTAGGGACTGGAGCAGACCCCCAGCATACTGCATCTCAGCCCTATTGAAAAGTGGCCAGACTGTTATATGGGTCCTCAATCCTATATTTCCTCACTGGGTGAGTCCTCCCAACCTGGGCCTCCAGCCACCCTCTGCTGGGCCTATCAAGCCAGTAGCAGCTCTGCAGCTCCCTGGGACAGAGCTCCCAGTGGGAGGGGCAGGTTGCCCTCTTTGCTGTCTTGCAGCCCTCACTCTCGCTGTCTCCAGGCTTTGGAGAGTCCATGAGGACTAAAGACTGGTCTGGACCCCTAGCACAGAGAACCCACCTCATGGAAAAGTCTGTTCTCCATGCAGTTCGCAGTCCTCACTTCTCACTAGTCAGGGCCACTCGACCTAGGACTGCAGCACAACCACCCTGCCCCTGCCTGACCACTTCAATCAGAGGCAGCCAAGCAGTGAAAGGAAGACCCACACACAGAGATGAGAAAGAACCAATGTAAGAACTCTGGCAACTCAAATGGCTAGAGTGTCTTATGTCCTCCAAATGATCACACTAGTTCTCCAACAAGGGTTCTTAACCAGACTGAATTGGCTGAAATAACAAATAGAATGCAGAATATGGGTAGGAAAGATCATTCAGATTTAGGAGAATGCCAAAGCCCAATTCAAGGAAACTAAGAATCACAATAAAATGATACAGGAGCTGACAGATGAAATAGCCAGTATAAAAAAGGAAACTAACAGATCTGATAGAGCTGAAAAACACAAGACAAGAATTTCACAATGCAGTCACAACTATTAACAGCTGAATAGACCAAGCTGAGGAAAGAATCTCAGAACTTGAAGACTGGCTCTCTGAAATAAGACAAAAATAAAGAAAAAAGAATAAAAAGGAACAAACAAAACCTCTGAGTAATATGGGGTTATGTAAAGAGGGCAAAGCTACAAATCATTGGCATTTCTGAAAGGAAGGGAGAGAAAGCAAACAACTTGGAAAATATATTTCAAGATATCATACGTGAAAACTTCTCCAACCTTACTAGAGATGCCAACAGTCAAATTTGGGAACTACAGACAATCCCTGCAAGATTCAACACAAGATGATCATCCCAAGAAACATACTCATCAGACTTCCCAAGGTCAAAATGAAAGAAAGAATGTTAAAGGTAGCTAGAGATAAAGGGCAGGTCACCTACAAAGGGGGCTTCATCAGGCTAATAGCAGAAACCCTACAAGCCAGAAGAGATTAGGGGCCTATATTCAACATTTTTTTTTTTTTTTTTGGAGACAGAGTCTCACTCTGTCACCCAGGCTGGAGTGCAGTAGTGCGATCTCGGCTCACTGCAACCTCTGTCTCCCAGGTTCAAACAATTCTACTGACTCAGCCTCCTGAGTAGCTGGGACTACAGGTATGTGCCACCACACCTGGTTACTTTTTTTTTTTTTTTTTTTTGTATTTTCAGTAGAGATGCGGTTTTACCATGTTGCCCAGGTTGGTCTCAAACTCTTGAACTCAGGCAATCTGCCTGCCTCAGCCTCCCAAAGTGCTAGGATTACAGGCATGAGCCACCACACCCAGTCTCAACATTCTTAAAGAAAAAAATCTTCAACCGAGAATTTCATACTCAGCCAAATTAAGCTTCCTCAGCAAAGGAGAAATAAGGTCCTTTTCAGATAAGCAAATGCAGAGGAAGTTTATTACAACCATAACTGCCTTACAAGAGATCTTGAAAGGAGCACTAAATATGGAAAGGAAAGGCTGCTACCAGCCAATACGTAAACAAACTTAAGTACACTGTCCAATGACACTATAAAGCAACCACACAAACAGGTAGGCATAATAACCAGCTAACAACATAATGACAGGATCAAATCCGCACATATGAATACTAATCTTGAATGTAAATGGGATAAATGCCTCATTTAAAAAGCACAGAGTGGTAAGCTGGATAAAAAGCAAGACCCAATGATAAGCCATCTTCAAGAAACCCAACTTACATACAGTGACACCTACAGTCTCAAAACAAAGGGATGAAGGAAAATCTACCAAGCAAATGGAAATCAGAAAAATGCAGGGGTTGCAGTCCTAATTTCAGACAAAACAGACTTTAAACCAACACAGACTTTTAAAAAGACTAAAAAGGGCATTACATAATGGTACAAAGTTTAATTGAACGAGAAGTCCTAACTAGTATAAATATATATGCACCTATCACAGGAGCACCCAGATTCATAAAGCAAGTTCTTAGAGACCTACAAAGAGACCTAGATTCCCACACAATAATAGTGGGAGACTTTAGCACTCCACTGACAGTATTAGACAGATCATCAAGGCAAAAAGTTAACAAAGATATTTAGGACGTGAACTCAACATTGGACCAAATGGACCTGATAGACCTCTACAGAATGCTCCACCCCAAAACAACAGAATATACATTCTTCTCACTGCCACATGGCGCATACTCTATAATCAACCACACAATCAGACATAAAACAATCCTCAACAAAGGCAAAAGAACCAAAATCATATCAAACACACTCTCAAACCACAGCACAACAAAGATAGCAATCAGGACTAAAAAAAAACTCACAGAAAACAGTGCAATAGCATGGAAATTCAACAACCTGCTCCTGAATGGCTTTTGGGTGAATGATGAAATTGAGGCAGAATGAACAGGCTCTGAAATTGAGGCAATAATAAAAACCCTACCAACCAAAAAAAGTCCAGGACCAGATGGCTTCATAGCCGAATTCTACCAGAGGTACAAGGAGGAGCTGGTACCATTCCTTCTGAAACTATTCCAATCAACAGAAAAAGAGGGAATCCTCCCTAACTCATTTTATGAGGCCAGCATCATCCTGATACCAAAGCCTGGCAGAGACACAACAAAAAAAGAGTATTTTAGACCAATATCCCTGATGAACATTGATTCAAAAATCCTCAATAAAATACTGGCAAACCGAATCCAGCAGCACATCAAAAAGCTTATCCACCATGATCAAGTGGACTTCATCCCTGGGATGCAAAGCTGGTTCAACATATCCAAATCAATAAACGTAATCCAGCATATAAACAGAACCAAAGACAAAAACAACATGATTATCTCAATAGATGCAGAAAAGGCCTTTGACAAAATTCAACAGCCTTTCATGCTAAAAACTCTCAATAAATTAGGTATTGATGGGACATATCTCAAAATAATAAGAGCTATCTATGACAAACCCACAGCCAATATCATACTGAATGGGCAAAAACGGGAAGCATTCCCTTTGAAAACGGGCACAAGACAGGGATGCCCTCTCTCACCACTCCTATTCAACATAGTGTTAGAAATTCTGGCCAGGGCAATCAGGCAGGAGAAGGAAATAAAGGGTATTCAATTAGGAAAAGAGGAAGTCAAATTGTCCCTGTTTGCAGATGACATGATTGTATATCTACAAAACCCCATTGTCTCAGCCCAAAATCTCCTTAAGCTGAAAGCAACTTCAGTAAAGTCTCAGGATACAAAATCAATGTGCAAAAATTATAAGCATTCTTATACACCAAAAACAGACAAACAGAGAGCCAAATCATGAGTGAACTCCCATTCACAATTGGCTTCAAAGAGAACAAAATACCTAGGAATTCAACTTACAAGGGATGTGAAGGACCTCTTTAAGGAGAACTACAAACCACTGCTCAACAAAATAAAAGAAGACACAAACAAATGGAAAAACATTCCATGCTCATGGATAGGAAGAATCAATATTGTGAAAATGGCCATACTGCCCAAGGTAATTTATAGATTCAATGCCATCACCATCAAGCTACCAATGACTTTCTTCACAGAATTGGAAACAACTACTTTAAAGTTCATATGGAGCCAAAAAAGGGCCCGCAGTGCCAAGACAATCCTAAGCCAAAAGAACAAAGCTGGAGGCATCACACTACCTGACTTCAAACTATACTACAAGGCTATAGTAACCAAAACAGCATGGTACTGGTACCAAAACAGAGATATAGACCAATGGAACAGAACAGAGGCCTCAGAAATAATACCACACATCTACAACCATCTGATCTTTGACAAACCTGAGAAAAACAAGCAATGGGGAAAGGATTCCCTATTTAATAAATGGTGCTGGAATAACTGGCTAGCCATATGTAGAAAGCTGAAACTGGATCCCTTCCTTACAACTTACACAAAAATTAATTCAAGATGGATTAAAGACTTAAATATTAGACCTAAAACCATAAAAACCCTAGAAGAAAACCTAGGCAATACCATTCAGGACATAGGCATGGGCAAGGACTTTATGTCTAAAACACCAAAAGCAATGGCAACAAAAGCCAAAATTGATAGATGGTATCTAATTAAACTAAAGAGCTTCTGCACAGCAAAAGAAACTACCATCAGAATGAACAGGCAACCTACAGAATGGGAGAAAATTTTTGCAACCTACTCATCTGACAAAGGGCTAATATCCAGAATCTACAAAGAACTGAAACAAATTTACAAGAAAAAAAAACAAACAACCCCATCAAAAAGTGGGTGAAGGATATGAACAGACACTTCTCCAAAGAAGACATTTATGCAGCCAACAGACACATGAAAAAATGCTCATCATCACTGGCCAGCAGAGAAATGCAAATCAAAACCACAATGAGATACCATCTCACACCAGTTAGAATGGCAATCATTAAAAAGTCAGGAAACAACAGGTGCTGGAGAGGATGTGGAGAAATAGGAATGCTTTTACACCGTTGGTGGGACTGTAAACTAGTTCAACCATTGTGGAAGACAGTGTGGCGATTCCTCAGGGATCTAGAACTAGAAATACCATTTGACCCAGCGATCCCATAACTGGGTATATACCCACAGGATTATAAATCATGCTGCTATAAAGACACACGCACACATATGTTTATTGTGGCACTATTCACAATAGCAAAGACTTGGAACCAACCCAAATGTCCATCAATGATAGATTGGATTAAGATAATGTGGCACATATACACCATGGAATACTATGCAGCCATAAAAAAGGATGAGTTCATGTCCTTTGTAGGGACATGGATGTAGCTGGAAACCATTCTGAGCAAACTATCACAAGGACAAAAAACCAAACACCGCATGTTCTCACTCATAGGTGGGAATTGAACAATGAGAACACTTGAACACAGGAAGGGGAACATCACACACCAGGGCCTGTTGTGGGGTGGGGGGAGGGGGCAGGGATAGCATTAGGAGATATACCTAATGTAAATGGCGAGGAGTTAATGGGTGCAGTACACCAATAATGCATGTATACATATGTAACAAACCTGCACGTTGTGCACATGTACCCTAGAACTTAAAGTATAATAAAAAAGAAAGAAAGAAAGAAAGAAATTGAGGCAGAATTTAAGAATTTCCTTGAAACTGATAAGAACAAAGATACAACATACTAGAGTCTCTGGGACGCGGTGTTAAAAGAGAAATTTACAGTGCCAAATGCCCACATCAGAAAGCTAGAAATATCTCAAATTAGACACCACAACTAAAAGAACTATAGAAGCAAGAGCAAACCAACCCCAAAGCTAGCAGAAGACAAGAAATAACCAAAATCAGAGCTGAACTGAAGGAGGTCAAGACACGAAAAACCATTCAAAAGAGAAATGTAAATAGGAGTTGGTTTTTTGAAAAAAAATATTAAGATAGATAAGCCACTAGCCAGACTAATAAATAATAAAGGAGAGAAGATACAAATAAATACAATGAGAAATGACAAAGAGGATGTTACCACTGACACCACAGAAATACAAACAACCACCAGAGACTACTACAAACACCTCTATGGACACAAACTGGAAAACCTAGAAGAGATGGATAAATTCCTGGACACATACATTCTCCCAAGACTGAACCAGGGAGGAATTTATTTTCTGAACAAGGAATTAGTAACAAGCTCCAAAATTGAATCAGTAATAAATAGTCTACCAACTGAAAAATTGCCCAGGACCAGGTCGATTCACAGCCAAGTTCTTCAAGATGTACAAAGAAGAGCTGGTAACATTCCTACCAAAACTATTCCAAAAAATTGAGGGGGAGAGACACCTCTCTAACTCATTCTATGAGGCCAGCATCATCCTGATTCAAAAGCCTGGCAGAGACACAACAAAAAATAAAACTTTGGGCCAGGCATTGGGGGTCATGCCTGTAATCCCAGCACTTTGGGAGGCCGAGGCGGGCGGATCACTTGAGGTCAGGAGCTCACGACCAGCCTGACCAACATAGTGAAACCCATCTCTACTAAAAATACAAAAAAAATCAGCTGGGCGTGGTAATGCCTGCCTGTAGTCCCAGCTACTTGGGAGGCTGAGGCAAGAGAATCACTTGAACCAGGGAGGCGGAGGTTGCAGTGAGCCAAGATTTTGCCGTTGCACTCCAGCCTGGGCAACAGAGTGAGACTCCATCTTAAATAAATAAATAAATAAATAAATAAATAAATAAATAAATAAATCTTAGGGCCAATAACCTTGATGAACATTGATGCATCAATCATCAACACAATACTTGCAAACTGAATCCAGGAGCAATCAAAAAGCTAATACACCATGATCAACTAGACTTTTCCCTGGGATGCAAGGTAGGTTCAACATATGCAAATCAATAAATGTGATTCATCACATAAACACAACTAAAGACAAAAACCCCATGATTATCTCAATAGATGCAGAAAAGGCTTTGTTAAAATTCAGCATCTCTTCATGTTAAAAATTCTCAATAAACTAGGTATTGAAGGAACATACTTCAAAATAATAAGAGCCATCTATTACAAACCCACAGCCAACATCATACTGAATGGGCAAAAGCTGGAAGCATTTCCATTGAAAACTGGCACAAGACAAGGATGTCCTCCCTCACCGTTCCTATTCAACATATTAGAAGTTCTGGCCAGAGTAATCAGACAAGAGAAAGAAATAAAGGGCATCCAAATAGGAAGAGAGGAAGTCAAACTATCCCTATTTGCAAGTGACGTGATTCTGTGTCTAGAAAATCTCATAGTCTCAGCCCAAAAATTCCTTCAGCCAATAAACAACTTCAGCAAAGTCTCAGGATACAAAATCAATGTACAAAAATCACTAGCATTCCTATATGCTAACAACATCCAAGCTGAGAGCCAAATCAGGAACACAAACCCATTCATAATTGCCACAAAAAGAATAAAATACCTAAGAATACAGCTAACAAGGGAGGTCAACGATCTCTACACTCAGAATTACAAAACACTGCTCAAAGAAATCAGAGATGACACACACAAATGGAAAAATAGTCCATGCTCATGGATAGGAAGAATCAATATCATTAAAATGGCCATATTGCCCAAAGCAATTTATAGATTCAATGATATTCCTATCAAATTACCAAGGACATTCTTAATAGAACTAGAAAAAACTATTTTAAAATTCATATGGAACCAAAAAAAGAGCCCAAGTAGCCCAGGCAATCCTAAGCAAAAGGAGCAAAGCTGGAGGCACCAAGGTTACCCAACTTCAAACTGTACTACAGGGATATAGTAACCAAAACAGGATAGTACTGGTACAAAAACAGACACATATACCAATGGGACAGAAAAGGGAGTCCAGAAGTAAGGCCTCTCACCTATAGCCATCTAATCTTCAACACAGTGGACAAAAACAAGCAATGGGTAAAGGACTCCCTATTCAATAAATGTTGCTGGGATAACTGTCTAGATATAGGCAGAAGATTGAAACTGAACACCTTCTTTACACCATATACAAAAATCAACTGAAGATGAATTAAAGACTTAAATGTAAAACCCAAAACTATAAAATCCCTGGAAGACAACCTAGGCAGTGCCATTTTGGACATAGGAATAGGCAAAGATTTCATGACAAAGATGCCAAAAGCAACCATAACAAAAGCAAAATTTGACAAATGGGACCTAGTTAAACTAAAGAGCTTCTGTACAGCGAAAGAAACTATCAACAGAGTGAACAGACAAGCTACAGAATGGGAGAAAATTTTTACAAACTATGCATTCGACAAAGGTCTAATATCCAGCATCTTTAAGGAACTTCAACACATTTACAAGAAAAAACAAACAACCCCATTAAAAAGTGGGCAAAGGACATGAACAGACACTTTTCAAAAGAAGACAATCATATGAAAAAAATCTCAGCGTCACTGATCATTAGAGAAATGCAAATTAAGACCACAATGAGATGACATTTCATGCCAGTCAGAATGGCTATTATTAAGAAGTCAAAAAATAACAGATGTTGGCGAAGTTGTAGAGAAAAATAAATGCTTATACACTGTTGGTGGGAGGGTAAATTAATTTGACCAATGTGAAAAGTAGGTGGCAATTCCTCAAAGAGCTAAAAACAGACCTACCATTCAAGTCAATAATCCCATTACTGGGTATATATGCAAAGGAATATAAATCATTCTGTTATAAAGACACATGCATACATATGTTCATTGCAGCACTATTCACAATAGCAAAGACATGGGATCAGCCTAAATGCTCATCAGTAGCAGATAGGATAAAGAAAATGTGGTACATATACACCATGGAATACCATAAAAAAAGAACGAGGTCATGTCCTTCGCAGGGACATGGACAGAGCTGGAGGCCATTATTCTTAGCAATCTAGTGCAGGAACAGAATACCAAATACCACTTGTTCTCACATAGAAGTGGGAGCTAAATGATGCAAATACATGGATGCAAATAGGGGAACAACAGACACTGGGGCTTACTTGAGGGTGGAGGGAGGGAGGAGGGAGAGGATCAGAAAAAGTAACGATTAAGTACTAATCTTTGTCCCTGGGTGACAAAATAAACTGTACAACAAACCCCCATGTTATGACCTATATAACAAATTTACATATGTATCCCTGAACCTAAAATAAAAGTTTTTTTTTAAATCAGTTTTGAGTCCTCTTGTTCTAGACTTTTTATCTAAATGAGTTCCAATTTGTCTATATCACTTATCAAAGTTTATTAGAACATATATTCATTCTGTTCCTGCCATCTTAATGACATCATGTTTCCCCTGCTTAATCCTTCTTTGTGTCTCTGTAGATTATTAATTTTTTATGTTAGATCATTTTAAAAGATGATTTTAATTAAAATAATACCTACAACCCCTTCTTCCCACCCACTCTCCTCTTCCCCAAGAGACAGACATTCTAATTTGGCATGACATTATCTGGCCTAACAGTGTCTGGCATATGAAGTGCCTAAAAGGTCATCTTCCATTGTTTTAGCCTTCTGGAGTAGTTGAATTAAGTTCAAACTCAGAATGTTTTTCAAATGTTAAGTCTCTCTGGGGATGTTTTTCATAACATCTTCGAACTGGCTAACACGACTAAATGAAACATGCTGCACTGGATTAAAAGGTTATTTCCCTAGTGTGTCAAGCTAACAGAGAACATGAAACTTCCCATCAGGCACTGGGCATCTCTGGTTGTCAGTCTAGCAACATTGTCTCCATTAAGTTCCTAACCCCCACCGCTCAGAGAACACTTTAGTCAAGAAACTACCCTTCACACTGAATCTTGAGTGGCAGAAAGGCAAAGAAAAGAAGATGTAGGAAGAGTCAGAAACAAGCAAAAGAAATAAGGGACTCTGTGAGCTAATAACCTGAGTCTAGGTAATCAAGACCAAAGACCGATGGAAACCCATTATTTGAAATTAAGGAAGAAACCTCATACAGGATCAGAGCCAAGCAAAAAATGGACAATGGTCTAAAATGGGCAAAGAGTAATTCTGGTAAGTTAGAATATTGAAGGACAGGACAAGAGTCTCTATTCCATGGAGATAAGATACCCGCAATTTACCACATTAGAATGGTTACCTAAGAAAGACTGTGGAAATAAATCAGAATAACTGAATAATGGCAAAAGGGAAGCCTTTCTTGGATCACTGATGAATTGAAGAATATGATGACATCAACCTCTGCACCTGAGACCAATAAAATAAATAAAACCCTAGGCCATCCCATGCAAATAGACAAGTTAGTTAGGAAACAAGAATAACAGTGCTGTCTAGTAGAACTTTCTGTGATAATGAAAATGTTCGGTATCTGCTCTGTCCAATATTGTAACCACTAGCCACAGGTGATTACTGAGCACTTGAAATTTTTCTAGTATTACTGAAGAACTGAAGTTTTAATTAATTTACATTTAAATTTAAGTAGCTGCATATGACTAGAGGCTATTATATTGGAGGGGACAGATTGGATGTTGCAAGTGAGCCCAAATCCTGGCACAGAAAAGGTAAGTGTACACTGTAGTTGCAGGAAACAGCGTTCATCCTTGCCCTCTCCAGGACCTGTTTCGCCCATCAGTAGGTGAACTTGCAGAAGGCTAGCCCCTAGAAGTTCTCCCCTACTGTGGATTTGGCTGCTAGATTTGGGAGGAGTCCTGCAGAGCTGACTATTGTTCAAGAAATGTGGGCTTCGGAATTGCATGTGCAATGGGTGTTTCCTATGCAGACTTTAATGAGCACAGCACCCCCAGAATGCCACGTGTATGGCTTTGGGCATCAGCCAGGATTGGCTTGAGTTGGGTGCTACCTAGTGAACTATTTCAAACTATGGTGCTCTGAGGACTTCTTTGCTGCCTTGGGTATGGGTAACAGTAATGAGTTGTGAGGGGTCAGAATAGAGAGTTAATAGTATAAATGATTGCTAGGCTATTACAGAATTCTAACTAGAATGGCAACATACTTATTCTTAGGCCCAACCCCTCTTCTTTTCTGATATTCCACTCTTCTTAGCCCTGTATCCTTTCCCTTGCTCCTGGATAGCCCATTCCTTGTCTCATGTGGCAAATAAAAGGAATATGAGAAAATGCTTCTAATGGGGGTGGGGGGACATGGCCTTATTAACACGTGTGTTTGGGTTCCTGGGTGCTTTTGTGGAATTATTGAAATTTTCCTTTCCTCTGTTGAATAAAAATTAAACAGCAGTTGTAAAAGTATTGTACAGATGGTCAAAGTCATCTTAAAGTACTTTCCCCATATATAAGTAGCCAATAACTATCATGTACCCACAAAAATTAAAAATTTAGGCCAGGTGCGGTGGCTCACGCCTGTAATCCCAGCACTACGGGAGGCCGAGGCGGGCGGATCACGAGATCAGGAGTTGGAGACCAGCCTGACCAACATGGTGAAACCCCGTCTCTACAAAAATACAAAAATTAGTCGGGTATGGTGGATCACGAGATCAGGAGTTGGAGACCAGCCTGACCAACATGGTGAAACCCCGTCTCTACAAAAATACAAAAATTAGTCGGGTATGGTGGCACGTGCCTGTAATCCCAGCTACTCAGGAGGCTGAGGCAGGAGAATCACTGGAACCCAGGAGGCAGAGGTTGCAGTGAGCGTGACTGCACTCCAGCCTGGATGACAGAGTGAGACTCCATCTCAAAAAAAAAATTTTTAATTTAAAATTTACCCCAGTGGAGTTCACTTACTGATGGAGGATGCCTGAGTCCTTTGACCTTTGGCAGTGACAGGTCTTCTGGCTGTGAAAAGGTCTAAGCATTTATCAGCCTATCAGTTTGAGCATGACTGCTGGGCTCCACTACAAGCATATCTGCAAAAGGAGTGTGATGAGGGTGGGATCTGAAACAGTAGTTTTACCACTTGGCATGGATTGCCTAGCAGTTGTGTACTTAGTGAAAGCAAGTCCAGAGTTAAGTGGGAAGTGCACTTATCTTCATGGAGTGATCAGAGATGGATTTATTTATTTATTTATTTTTCCTGTAGGGCCCAAGCCTGTGAACCAAAGGGATTTTTTTTTTCTTGGTGAAAGAAATTCACGTTGAACCAATATCTAGAAGACCTATCTGGGGATCAACAAGGCTAGGAGAATATTTTGAAAGTAAAATCAAAATACAGAAATAAATATTTGAGCCAATCTAAGACTTGTCCCACTGAGAGATACCTGCTTTGCCAAGTACATGCCTACCTCTCTAAGATTGTAAGTGCTTTGAGGCTACAGCTTGTGTTTCTCACTTCTGTTTTCCTCATGGCATAGTCTAACATATAAAACAGGTATTTAATAAATGTGAAAAAACTTAACATACATCCACACCCATGTGACAGTCCCAGCCTTCCAGCAAGCTGTTTGTATTTTGTTTCCACATAGCCAAGAGAGGTAAGGAAGTGGAGTGCTCAAGTAAGCCCCAGATTCACAGACCTTCTTCAGTGTTGAACTATGCTGTTCTTCACTGCTTAGAATATAGAAAGGGTATCACTGTTTCAAGTACACATGTTAGGATGGCCTGGGAACTACCCTGATATTAAGAAGGAAGGCCAGAGATTTTATGGATGGTAAAACTGAGGCTCCCAGTTACCTGTAACAGCTACCTCAGTATCTCATGGGAAAACTACAGTGGGACCAAGATTGTTTCCTGGGCCAGGACAGTAGTATCACTTTTTTTAATGGGATGTTTTGTATTTGAGTATGCATTGTCTTCAATTTACTTGGAACCATTTATGCATTATTCTTGTGTACTTACCTAAAAATATCTGATCTGTAGGGAAATGAATAGATAGTTCTATAATTCTTAGGGGTTCTGAAATATAGTAATTAATTTGATGTTTATCTCTTTATGGTCTTGTTTTCTGCTTTGGAAGTTAGAATGAAGTCAGAAATGAGTAAAAGAAAACTATGATCACTTGGAATTTTATATATGTATATATATGAAGAAAAAGAAGGCTGGGTGCGGTGACTCACGCCTGTAATCCTAGCACTTTGGGAGGCCGAGGTGGGTGGATCACAAGGTCAGGAGTTCAAGACCAGCCTGGCCAAGATGGTGAAACTCCATCTCTACTAAAAATACAAAAATTAGCCAGGCGTGGTGTCAGGCGCCTGTAATCTCAGTTACTCAGGAGGCTGAGGCAGGAGAATCACTTGAACCCAGGTGGCAGAGGTTGCAGTGAGCCGAGATCGCACCACTACACTCCAGCCTGGGTGATAGAGTGAGACTCCGTCTCACAAAAAAAAAAAATAAAAAAATAAAAATAAAAAAAGAGAAAGAAAAGAAAAAGAAAGAAAGTTGGGCCAGGCACAGTGGCTCACGCCTGTAATCCCAGCACTTTGGGAAGCTGAGGTGGGCAGATCATCTGAGGTCAGAAGTTCAAGACCAGCCTGGCCAACATGGTGAAACCCCATCTCTACTAAAAATACAAAAATGAGCCGGGTGTGGTGGTGCATGCCTGTAGTCCCAGCTACTCGGGAGGCTGAGGCAGGAGAATCACCTGAACCCTGGAGGCCGAGGTTGCAGTGAGCTGAGATCACACCACTGCACTCCAGCCTGGGCGACAGAGCGAGACTCCATCTCAAAAAATAAAAAATAAAGAAACTTTTGTACTTGTCATGGTATCCCTAGTCCCTCTATTCTCCCCCCAAAATTTCAAATGGTATCTTAACTGGTCATTATTAAATAGCTGAATTTATTTTAGCACTTCCAAAGAATTCCCAGCTTTTTTCATCTTCCAACTTCCAGTCCTTTATATTGCATCCTGCTTCCATGATGGAAGAAGAAAGTCACCATAATTTTTTTGAGTGTACATGAATGTCCTGTGTGTGTGTGTGTGTGTGTGTGCGTGTGTGTGTGTAAGGAGGAAATGTGTTGCTTGGGTGGGTATGCCTTGGGGTGACAATACAGAGCTCTAGAACCAGAGGC
Source organism: Homo sapiens (assembly GCF_000001405.40). Taxonomy (NCBI): domain Eukaryota; kingdom Metazoa; phylum Chordata; class Mammalia; order Primates; family Hominidae; genus Homo; species Homo sapiens. The sequence continues at coordinate 74,753,634 of NC_000023.11, read as the reverse complement.
TGGAAGAGCAGTGCCTACTTCTCAGATGGATTTTGGCTTTATCTCTACTTTTCACTTCTCCTCTTGGGATAAGTAAGAACAGCTTTCTTATTTCTGACAGCATTTCCTCCAATAAAGACAAACAAAAAGTTAGTAGCCCTCTGATTAGTGGTTATTTTTATTGATAACTTACATTCCACTTGGTAAGTAACTTGGTGCTATGGGGATATTTCTGGACTAGAAGGCAACATACATCCCACATCCAAGAATGTGTATGTGTTACCAAATCACTATGTAACACTGGCAAGTAGTTTCCCCTTTCTGGGACTTGGTTACCCCACTTGTAAAATGGGGAGTTTGGGATGAGACTATCTTCCAAGATCCTTCCAGCCCTGTGGTTTAGTGATTACATTTCTGAAAAGAATGTAATAACATTTTTTAAAATGCAGTTAACAGGATAAATTAGTAATAAGAAAATAGATTAGAAACCATATGGAGAAAGTCAAAAGATAATTTAGCCTAAAGTTATTGCGCTCAAGCATTAAATGTAACTCAGTGCTGCCTGGCAACAAAAGCACTCTTTGATTAGGATATAGTCCTTATATAAATGCATTCTCAGAAAGGGCCAGGCTATAGTGGTGTGGTTCTTCAGAGGACTCGCCATCTTCCACACACAAATGGGTCTTCCAGGTTGATCTCTCTGTTCCTAATATACCATTATACTGCCCATTTGGATCTAGAGTCAAGGAGAAAGTGACTGTCTTTAGAAAGAAATACCCCACCTGAGAAACAGTGATTATACTCTTCTGTCACTCTTTCCTCAGATTTGAGAAAGAAAGCAGGCAGAAGTCCTGAAAATAAAATTCTTTCACAAAGGCAAAGGGACTCAGATGTGTCAGTGAAGTTGAGCTACCTATAGTTATAAGGTTTAAAAGTTAAGACTAGTGAGGAGGCTGGCTATTCTTGACTTGAACCTAATAGTGCCTCTGCTTGTTCTTTCTACCCCTAATTCCAGTCTTAATGAATATTGTTTCCTGGCATTTGTATAGTGCTTTAATATATACAGTGCATTTGTACATGCTTTCTCATTGATTCATCGTCTTATGCACCTACTCTTCTTGAAAATTTCTTTAGAGTGATGTCACAAAAAATGGTACAGATAAAACCGGTACAGAGAGAAAGAAAAGGGAAGGGAGACCCAAATGTTGAGGCACTGAGCTAGGACACAAATGCAGCCACTATCACTTCTGCCTAGGAACATGATGGCAAAGAGGGTCCCTCTTAGATTGGTGGCTGCCAAAAATGAAGGCAGGTGATACATACGGAGCCCTGTCGCCGCCAGCAGCACCCTACTTGCTACCCCTGACAGGATTGGGGTATGTGTGTATAAAAATCAGAGGCATACAGGAAAGGACATGAGATGGAAGGGATTAAAGAGTTCCCTCAGGCTCATCTCAGTATCACACAAAACTTAAATCAGAATTTATTCTTGCATGTCAATTTTTTGTAGTACATGTAATTAGTTTCAATTTTTAAAGACGAAAAAATAGGCTGGGCATAGTGGCTCATGCCTGTAATCCTAGCACTTTGGGAGGCCGAGACAGCCGGATCACCTGAGGTCACAAGTTCCAGACCAGACTGGCCAACATGGCGAAACCCCGCCTCTACTAAAAATACAAAAATTAGCTTAGGAGGATAAGGCAGGAGAACCGCTTGTACCTGGGAGGCAGAGGTTGCAGTGAAGCAAGATCGCGCTGTTGCACTCCAGCCTTGGGGATAGAGCGAGACTCTGGAAAGGAAGGAAGGAAGGAGGGAAGGAAGGGAAGGAAGGGAAGGAAGGGAGGAGGGAGGGAGGGAAGGAAAGAAGAGGGAGGGAGGGAAGGAAAGAAGAGGAAGGGAAGGAAGGAAGGAAGAAAAGAGGGAGGGAGGGAAGGAAGGAAGGAAAGGAAGGAAGGAAGGAAGAAAAGAGGGAGGGAGGGAGGGAAGGAAGGAAGGAAAGGAAGGAAGGAAGGAAGGAAGGAAGGAAGGAAGGGCGTGATGGTAGCCTGTAATCACAGCTACTCGAGAGGCTGAGTGGCAGGCGGAGGTTGCAGTGAGCCGAGATCATGCCACTGCACTCCAGCCTGGGTGACAAAGCCAGACTCTGTTTCAAAAAAAAAAAAAGAGAGAGAGACAGAGAGAAGAAAGAAGCAAGAAAGAAAGAGACAAAAATTAAATGAATTCTAGATTGTTAGGAACTAAAAGAACCCTTAGATATAATCTAGTTTTTCTCCCTTATTGTATAGCTAGTAAAACTAAGTACCAGAGAAGGGAGGGAGCTTGTCTGAGGACACCTAGCTAATGATCGTACTCTGTCCATTATACAGTATCCCCTCTTCTATATGAGTTTTTTGTGCATATCTTTTGAATTTTGGAATTTTTTTTTTGAGACAGAGTCTCACTTTGTCCTCCAGGCTTAAGTGCAGTGGCACGATCTTGGCTCACTGTGGCTTCAACCTCCCGGGTTCAAGCAATCCTCCTGCCTCAGCCCACCAAGTGGCTGGGACTACAGGCACGTGCCACCATGCCCGGCTAATGTTTTTGTATTTTTTGTAGAGACGGGGTTTCCCCATGTTGCCCAGGCTGGTCTCAAACTTCTGAGCTCAAGCAATTCGCCCACCTCAGCCTCCCAAAGTGCTAGGATTACAGGTGTGAACCACCACGCCCAGCCAGAATTTTGGAATCTTTATCATGAGAGAGGAAATATTTAATAGAGTCATACCATACTTTTGAGATATATAGAATTCTTTACAGTGTAGCTGTAGTAATCTCTTCTTGATGTCTTTCTCACCCTTAATATTGTTAAAACTTGTATCGTTGCTCATTTAAGCATGTTTCCTGTACTTAACATCATCATACCTCCGTATTTCTAGCTTAGGGTCTTAAAATCCTGATAGATATCTGAAAATAGAATTAGCCAAGCAGAGTTATGGATTAGAATGTGCTCCCTGTACTGTTGCTGATTCTGCCATCCATTATTCTGACTAAAGCTAGACTGGGAAGAATCAGACTAGACAGAGCTAGCTGGGCTAGCTTGGAAAACTGTCTGTGGGCCTATTTGCTATAGCAGTACCATCTCCTTGCTTCATTACAGTCCCTAACCCAACCTGAAGATTCCCCATCTGTAACAGCTTGCTTGTCAGTTGCTTTCTTTCCAGTGTGACAGCTAAGGTCCTGGTCAGCTTCATTAGACATGTTGTACCTGATAATGGGTCTTCATACTGGCCTTGCTTTATTCCCAAGAAGATCCTGGCACCGATATTTCTGAGACTACCCTGGTCTGGAATCCAACCACCCATGATTCTTCTTTCACAGTCATCTATTAACTCTTTGATCTGTCTTTTCTCTCTATATTCTGACTACTGCTCCCTTACCTGTCACATCTAAATCATCTTTCAGGTCTATACAGCACACCTATGTAGTTCTACTTACATCTAACATCTCCTTTCCATTCCTATTTCCTCCTCCTGAATTCTAATCTTTTTGACATCTCACACCTGAACATTTTTTCCTATCTTCCCCCCCTCTGTCTCTCCCACTTTCACTGGTCCTAATATTCTTCACTACTCAAAACCCTTCAGCATCTTCCTGAATTACAATTTAGTTGGCCTCCACAGTATATTTCAGTTTATCTTTCCACTATATTTTCTTGTTTGTACCTATTTCAGCCAAACATTATTCCCTAAATTCTCTCCCATCTTTTCCTACCATTCAACATCATTGTTTAACCAGTTTTTATAAAGTACATACCATGTTATAAGCACTATGTGAGCTAGGCCCTGTGGAGTTGGGGGTGTTGGTGCTTAGTCTTTTGGGGGTATCAGATATAAAGTAGTAAAGCTTGTATAAGATGATAAACACAGAGGAGATAAAAATTCTTTGAGAATACAGAGAATGACAGAGACTAATTTTGTTTGGAGTGGGGAATCAAGGAATGTGTCAAGGAAAAACTGAGAAGGGAAGAGTACAGAGAGGTGAAAGGGAGGTTGGGAAAGGGGAAGGGAAGGAATGGGAAAAGGGGACAGAGATTCCAAACAGAGAGAATATCAAGTGCAAGACACAGGGAAGCAAAAACAAATGGTTTAATATTAAGGGAGTGGAGAGGGTTAGAATATTTAGGAACATAGGGGGAAGTGAACAGAATGAAAAGAGGATACAACTGGAGAAGGTGAGGATTGATTGAGGAGAGTGTTTTGCAAAGCAAAACAAAGTTTTAAGGTACCTTGTCAACTTGCTATGATTCTATAGCAGTTGTTTAGAAGATAGACTGGAGTGGGAGGGAGACTTGTAGCATTTCATGAAGGTCCTTCTGCCTGGAATACTTTTCTCTCCGCTGAACTTCCCCATCCTCACCTCCAGAAAGGTCATCCTTCAAGGTTCACCTTAATGTTGCTGCTTTTAGTGAAGCCTTCCCAAATCTCCCGCCTCTCTAGAATTCTAGAATTGGAGTAATTTCCCTCCATTTGGGATTCCCATAGCAACTTTCTGCCCCTCTTTCAGTGTATTATACTTACAATTTGTTTGTAGCTTGCTTTCCCCCTCTAGACTCTGAGCATCTTGAGAACAGAGATCTAGCCTCATTTATCTGTCTTTTCTATGCTGTACTTGATAGAATACTGTGATCACAGGTAGTACTAATAATTTTGATGAATTGATTTAAACTGGTATCCCAGAGATTGGCACTACTCAAACTCCAAAGGCTATATTGCCCCAGACCCATAGACAAAAACAGGACTTACTTTCTTGCCTTGATTTTTTTCACCAGTTGGGAAAAGCCAAGGACATCCTCAACACAAATGTTGGTGTGGGTCACCTAGACTCTGAGACCTTAGACTTCAAGGCCGCTGGGGAAGAGGATAGCAGCCTACAGGATCTATGAGCCTTTCTCAAGCCCAGCTGAGGGGAAGGGCAGATAGGAGGGATTGCTTTTCCAGTCTAATGGAGCATTTCCTTGCTTCAAAATACCATCTCCATGCTAATGTTATTTTAATGCCATTACACTGTGTAATTTACTGTGATCAGCAAAGCAATTTGTTGTACATTCTTCCAAAAGTGTTAATCAATTTTAGCTCAAAATAGATTTTAAAACCCCACCTAATTTACTGTCCTAAAATGCTGATCAGTGGGGGAAAGCTAAAGCAAGCCCAGAGTTGTTTGTATTGTAACTGTAAGAAATTATAATTCCTCCCCAAAATTATTTTTATAAGCAGCCAAGGTATAAGTAAATAGGTATGTAGAAAAATATATACCTTTAGTTGTCCTGTTTATAGCTGAGATTTGAAAAATCATAGGAAAGGACTAAAGGATTGTCTGCTCAAGGTCTAGCCTACTAATTCTGGAGAACAAAGGCCCAAATTATTGATAATCACTAAGTTAATATCTGTGATACTCAGTTTTCCCTTTTCAAAAAAAGTTATAGACTCTAATAGAACCAAACTTATGAGGTAATTAATTATACATCCAACCTCCCATGTCCCCACTCTACCTCTTCTTTATCTTTTGCCAAAGTGTATCTCCTCTCTGTTCTCAACCTTATAAGATTCCCTTTACTTCAGAGTCATAAATCTTGGGTGCTTGGCCAGATTTTTCCATTAGAGGCAATTTATGTTCTTAGGGAAATAACATCCCAGAGTAAAGTTACAGCAGCACTAATATGTCCCCTGACATAGTGTTCTTGTCCTGCCTGAAAAGACTGGATAATTGGCTAGACACAGTTGCTCATGCCTGTAATCCAGCACTTCAGGAGGCTGAGGCAGTTGGATCGCTTGAGATCAGGAGTTCAAGATCAGCCTGGCCAACATGGCGAAATCCCATCTCTACTAAAAATACAAAAATTAGCTGGGCATGGTGGTGCGTGCCTGTTAATTCCAGTTACTTGGGAGGCTGAGACACGAGAATCGCTTGAACTCTGGAAGGGCCACTGCCCTCCACCTGGGTGATGGAATGAGACTCTGTCTCAAAAAAAAAAAAAAAAGTTTGGATAATTGTTGATACTTAAATGTATTGTTCCTATATATATTTCATGGTACATTAATTTTTACTGATAACAGATGCTTATCTGTGGCAGCTGTTCTGTATTTTCCTACCTGAAAGGGTATAGAAGTATAGATCAGTAACATGTGGAAACTTGTATTTGTCTAGCCCTGTTTTAGTCAGGGGTTGGAGTTGGTAAGAATCATGGAGATGGCATTTTGTGTTTTAAGAAAAAACACCTAGTCTCTTGGTCAGGAAACTTGGGGGGTTTTTTTCATAGATCTCTCATTGTGTTGTTTTACAACCTTGGCTGTCATAGTCTCTCTTTCCATACCTTGGACTTCCTGGTGATAAAAATGGACTTGCTTGTAGTTAACTATAGACATAAGGGATAAGAAGACATTAAATTATTGAAATCTAAAAGTAATTTGCCCCTTATCAAGTTCCTGCCAAGATGGACTTAGTGGAGGGGCAAAAGAGGGGTAAATGATACCTGAAGTTCTACTGAACTCCAAAACAAAAATGCACAGAGTAATCCATGATGGCAATATGATTCCATCTGATTTATAGGGTCGTCTTTGAAGCAGAGGCAGCTATCCAATCTGTTCATTCAGTTCTACTACAAATGAGCCCTCCTTGACAAAGGGTGGGGACTTGGACATTGCTATCCACTCCTCTCCATCTTTTAAAACTCTCCAGCCCTTTTCTGTGTAAATACAAGTAAGCATATATTTTCTCTTTTCCCTGGCACCCATGGTTTATTGCCTATGCATCAAATCAGATCTCATATAAAATGAGAAGAAAATGTGGCAATTCTAATATATAAGTGTTAGGGGAAACCCAGAGTCATCTAACATTTTTAAAACTGAGAGACTGCCTAATACAGTCTTTGTATTTTATAGATAAGGGAATAGGCCCAGATGGGTAAAATATTTTATAGATTGAATCACGTGGAACTGTTACTGCTTCCTGTTTCTCAATGCTGAACCTACTTTTTAGAGTATATTGCATGCATTAGGATAAATGACTATACAATTGAGATTCTTATAATAGCTGCTTGACTATCAATACCATATGCTTTTTAATAAAGGGATAGATACTCAGTTGGGGAGAAGGTCTAGGGACAGGGGGAGGGCTAGATGTTGTAGTGGCATGTGGCAGATACCCCCATCTCATCTCCTATCATTTTGCACATAAATACCACTCAGGTAGGTGGGCAGGAGATGAAGGGCTACAGATAGATATATGTCCTATGACCTAAAAATATCAGATGATGCTGGGGCCTTTTCAGAAAATCTAATCTTCTTTGTAGTCACATTTTTTAAAAATTTGCTGTGAGTTTGGAGGAATACTTGTCAAAGTCCAAGTTAAAGTCCTGGAAGTCGAGAAACCAAGGAATTCTCTACCTTCTTCATCCTTAGCAGTCAAATTTTAAGGCACAGAAAGAGAAAATCTGAATATGATGTATATGTGTGTATGTATATGAATTGCCTTGTTTTTGAAGAGCATCTGATCATTTGAAATAGAAATGAGGCAAACAAAAATAAAGTTAATTGCCACACACAAACACACATACAAACACACCTTATCTCAGGTTAGTCTTGTCTTTGCTTTGTGTCCTTCTTAATCAGGCAACCATGATTAGGTTAAATGCATTACTATTTGGAGGAAGGGATACGTTTGTCTGCTTCCTTGGATTTCAGTTTTGAATAATATTGTGGCACAGAGGTGATAGAAGGATCTAGGATGTATGAATGAGTGTGAGTTTCCAAACTGACTTTATGTGGTAGGTATAAATTGTGAAACAAAAACAATAGCAGTGATGAAGTCAATCTGGAAACAGGTAAATCCCAGTGAGCCTTTTAAGACCCCTCTAGCTGAAATAACCTATAAAACACAAAATAAAACAAATTTAATGACTGATATTATATATTTGAAATGTGCAGGTTGGACAGCATTTGGACTTGGAATGAAACAATAAGAGGTTATATTCATGGATAACCAACAAGATAAGGCTATTGTTGCCTCAGCCAACGGAGAAAACACTCTGATTAATGGGGTCAAAGAAAATGGTAAGGGAATTTAATTATAGTATATTAATATCTCTCCTGGTAGTCCTCTGTTATTACTATGGATTTTCAGTACCCACAAAGTTGGGACAGGTTGAGTCCAGGATGCCTCTGAAATGAATGTTAATTGTAAACTTTATTCCACCAAATATCTAACTTGGCTATAAGAGTCTCTAAGAGGCATTGAATCTGACCACTTTGCCCTCCCAAATCATATCTGCCAGATGAAGATCCTCAAAATTCCTAGTGAATTAGAAATATGCTGTGATGTGAGGCTTAGAACTTCTAGAGTGGCCGGGCGCAGTGGCTCATGCCTGTAATCCCAGTACTTTGGGAGGCCGAGGTGGGCAGATCATTTGAGGTCAGGAGTTCGAGACCAGACTGGCCAACATGGTGAAACCCCATCTCTGCCAAAAATATAAAAAATTAGCCGGGTGTGGTGGCAGGTGCCTGTAATCCCAGCTACTCGGGAGGCTGAGGCATGAGAATCACTTGAACCCAGGAGATGGAGATTGCAGGGAGCCGAGATCACGCCACTGCATTTCAGCCTGGGCAATAGAGCAAGACTCAAAAACAAGAAAGAAAGAGAGAGAGGGAGAGAGGGAGAGAGAGGGAGGAGAGAGAAGAGAGAGAGAGAGAGAGAGGAGAGAGAGAAGAGAGAGAGAGAGAGAGAGAGAAAAGAAAAGAAAAGGAACTTGTAGAGTCACTAGGAGCTTCCAGAACATGGATCTGGAGGACAGGCCTGAGCCTCGTAGCTCAAAAGTATTAATGTTCCATCTGAGCATTTTCCCCTTGAAAGCCTTGACTTTCCAATTGATCAAGCAGTCCAATTCTTTTCTCATTTCTGAGGAGAGCTTTGCCTTTTTCTGAGGAAGAAACTCGGCCTAAATAATTATTATTTTTCATTTGCATGAATGTTCAATATAAAATCAGCGTTGTTCTTTAACGTTGTAGTTTTTATTTGTAAAGATAGAGATGTGAAGGCTTAGCTTATATAATAAGATCAAGTACCAGAAACTGATCAAGGGAAAGAGAGTTAATGAGTCTGGTCTAAGACTCTTAATTTTATTCCTGTCATTTCTTTCCCTTTTTTCTAGACTCAGAGGACCAGGATGTGGCAATGAAGTCATTTGCAGCTCTAGAAGCTGCTGCACCTATCCAGCCTACACCGGTGGCACAAAAAGAGACCCTGATGTATCCCAGAGGTCTCCTGCCTCTACCCTCTAAGAAGCCCTGTATGCAGAGCCCGCCCTCTCCTTTGGGCCTGATTGAAGCACCCGAACATGCTGCTAATAGTGCTTCTGTGAATGCCATCTCCCTCACATCTGGCATTGCAAAAGGCCTGAACACATGGTCACTTCCCAATGAATGTGAGAAAGCTCCATTTGCCATAATGGAGCCTGCAGGCATGTCAGCTCTGAATGGGGACTGTCTCATGCAGCCAAGTCGGACTTGCTTAGGCTGCTTCATGGAATCCAAGGATGCAGTAGATCCTGAGCCAGGGATCAGTCTGAAAGTTGGTGATCTAAATAGGGATTATGAAACGTGTGCAGTCTCTGATATAGGGATTCAGTGTATTAATGCTGGAGAAAATATGAAATATGGAGAGCAGCTGCTCTCAGACCAGCTCCTAGGCTTCCCCCTGCATAAGTCAAGGGCAGGAGACAGACGAGAAACTGAGAAACCTGACATTGACTTGGAGGATCCGGCTCAGAAAAGCTATTATGAGGCATTACTGTTAGACAAGTGCAATACAGAAGAAGCTTTGCTTGCAAATTCCAATCAGGATTGGGGTTACTTCGAGACTTTTATTAGTGAAAGTAAGATTGAACTGCTTGACCTCTGTTCCAAAAATGAGCTGTCTGTCAACCTATTCTCTGAAGAAGATGTGGATAACTACATGTTTGATGATGATGAATCAACACTAGGCAGTGATGTCTGCTCCCTGAAAATTCGATATGAATCCTTTCAGGACAATGTTCGAGACAAGACTACTCTTTTGATGCAGGAAGATGCCCAATTCAACTTTTTTCCCAGCGTCTTTACTACCTGCCCCAAGCGAGAGTCTAAGAGTGGGGCCCTGAAGCAGAGCAGTGATTTTTCCCAATTCAAGGTCCCTGATGTGAGCATCATCTGGGGGGAGGAAGATAAAAACTTGGACAAGAAGAAAGGCAAAGAGGAAGGACAGGAAGACAAAGGTGTAGAGAAGAAAGATGGAAAGGATAATGGAGAAAAGCCTGCCTTAAATAAACCATGCAGTGGGACTGAAGTAGAGCAACTTAAGAATCCAAAGCAGGGCCATCTTGCTAATTCCCTGGAGACATCAGGGAGTTTCAGTGATGATAGTTCCTTCATTGAGATCTCATATGATGCTATGGGTGAGATCAAGGACTGTAGTCGCTATATGGCTCGGGACACTAATTCTGGCAGCTCCTCCTCCCAACAGAACTATGGGCTGCGAGCCAAGAGAAAAGTCAGATACAGTGAAGATTATCTATATGATGTTGACTCACTAGAGGGTGAAAAAGTAAATGAGAGGAAGGAATGGCTGCCAGTTGGTTCCAAAGAGGAAGATGATGATGAATGGTGTCCCAAAAAGAGAAGAAAAGTAACCCGTAAGGAGCCCCCTGTTATTATCAAATATATCATCATTAATCGCTTTAAAGGTGAGAAGAACATGCTGGTGAAGTTGGGTAAGGTGGATGCCAGTGAGACAACAGTGAATTTGAGTGAGAATCAGCTCAACAAATATGCCAAGCTGGCACCCTTGAAAGGCTTCTGGCAAAAGAAGAAGAAGCAGAGAAACACCAACACGGACTCCATCAAGACACCTTTTTCCCAAAAGCAAAGCTTTGAACCAGGTAGCTTTGAGGTGTCATTTCTGCCACCTGCTCGCAAACGAAAATCTAAACTTGGCAACAGGCACAGGATTCAAAGAATCCCATCCATTGAAATTTCAGCAAGTAGTAAACAGATTTCATTATGTAATGATCAGAGGCACGCTAGTAATCATAAAGAAGATGGAGGCCTAAAAGGTACACTGAAGTCAGCACCTCTGGGTGCTCCTAGCTGTGCAAATGGATCACATTTAAATGACATCACAGGCCCTGACTCAGTGAAAGTCAAAGCCCAAGACACAGAGTTTAAGGGGCCAGAGAGGAAAGTGCTCAATAAAATCAAATTTAAAAGTGAAGCTAGGTTAAAATCTAAGAAAGTCAAAGCTGCTGGGCAAGAAAGCAAGCCAATTGTTCAAATGAGCCCTCTCTTGGAAAACCAATCCTCAAAGGCTAATTTAAAGAATGAAGTTATTCCTGGGACATCAAACAGTTCCCGTCTATCTGAATTTCATGAGGCAAAGGCTGCTAAGAGTTCCACTTTTCTACCAACGACATGCTCTTCTGAAATGCCTTTATCATCTGCTAATGTTACCACTAATATACCTGTTATCCCGGGAGGGTATCTGCAGACATTGTTAGATGCTTCTGACTTGTCAAATAACACTAGTATCTCATACTTCAGCCACCATTCTCCAGAGCAAAATGAAGGCAGCCTCACTCAAACCGAAAAATCATTTGTACCCCTCCAGCCTACCCAGGACTGTGTGCTCACCTCATCCTCTGACTCTGAGCTGCAGCAGTCATCTCATAACTTCAAAATGGAATCAAGCAACTATAGAAATGTGTGGCCCAACAAGGCTACTTCTGGCACCCAGGAATTCATGGCTGAAGTCTCAAGGGAGATAGCCCCAACCCAATCCAGTGAATTTGGAGCCTCCCAAGTAGTCTCCATGGAAAATAACCTCACACCTACAACATACAATCCAATCTGTCTCAATAGTGGTGGCAGTAATTGCAACAAGGTCCTGTATGACTCCATGCAAGATACCCAACTCCCATCTGATGACTCTTACCAATTATGTCACTTTAATAATGGAGAGATCTGCTTTCCTTTCCAGCAGGGGCCAGTCAATATGGATGATGGTCGGCTCTTTAGCTTTGATTCAATGGCCCCACTCTCTGTCAGCTCAAGTAATTATTGCTCCTTAAGCTTGAAGTCCTGTGAAAAGGATGGCGATGATGATATCACTGATGACTTCCTGGCCCATTGCAGCCCTAAGCTGGTGATCCAGCAAAGCATTGATGAGATAGCACCACTAAAGGAGTCCACTGACCTCCTGGATATATCCAACTTCACCCCTGACAAATTCCGCCACTCTTCCCTTTCAGAGATGTCCCCACCGGACACCCCTAGTCTTTCCCCTCAAATTACCAGATGTGAGAGTATGAAGACACTAGGAACACTAAAGGGGTTCCAAGAGGGTGTCCCAGGACCATTGGACAGTGTGGAAAAAATCAAGTGGGACTGCAGTACCCTTTCACGGCAGGTCCAAATGGAGGATGGATTTACTTTAAATAATCACCAGTTTCAGTTCCATATGTTCAATGATGAGGATTCTGTCAGCCTGCTCCAAAAAAACCCTTGCCTGTCAACATTTAATGATCCATCTGGTCAAATTAGTACCAACAACAAAGTGTCAAAATCAAGAAAGAAAAGTTCACCCAGCAAGAGTGGGGCTATGAACCAAAGCTCTTCTCAGAAAAACACCAGGAAAAAATCCCTCAAAGGTAACAACAAGGGGATTGAAAAACCACCTGGCAAAAACTCCCGCCAGGTCCCTAAGTCCACAAAGAAAGGGAAATACATGGCTGCCATCAATGGAGAGAAAATGCAAATTGGCATTGGCCGTGGGGGAAGCCAAACCAACACCATATCCTCCACTGGGAAGACATTGGCTGAATGTATCCAACATGGTGGCCCTATGGCCTCTATGAAGATGCCAAGTCAAAAGGGACTTTCTGGAGATTGGGCCTTGGGGAAGGAGAGCAGCCCAGGCTGGAGTGATATGAGCATGGGCACCAACACCAACAGCCTTCTGGATGATGACCAACGGGAATTTCAGGAGCCTTCCTATATCTTGTCCAACATTGCCTCTGGTATGGCAGATGTGCAGAGATTCATGATGGCCTCCATAGAGCCCCTTTGGGAACCCATGGAGCACCATGGGGATCCCAACATATTCTACTCCCCTGAGTCCAATAGTCTAAAATTAAAAACCCTCAAAATATTGGCTGGGACACCACAGGAGTCTAAGAAAAAGATCAACAGTGGGTCCCAAGGAGCCACTAAGAATCACAGGTCAATCAAGGGTGTGAGCAAAAGCAATGGGAAAACAGCAATAGGTGATCCTGGTCGTGCAAACATGCCTGGTTATAACGAGGACTCTCGCTCTACCTTCTTTGATAAAAAGTATAGTAACATGAGCACTTTAGGCAATAACGGACCGACACACAAAAAGTTGTATCGTCACAAATCCAGCTCCAAGGCCCTGAGAGATGAGAAATGTAAGGGAAAGCACATGGAGCGAGAACAGGTCCACAAGGATGAGTCTGGGACAGCTTCTTTTGAAAAACTGAGGTAATACTGCACCAGTATGGCTGAGATGATGCACCCTTAGCTCTCCTACTACCTACTAAGCCCGCAGTCCCTCATTTTTTCCCTCTTGAAAGCAAAAATTTGCATGAAAGAAACTGTCCCATTCCCTTCTTTTTCAAAGTAAAAAGAAAATTTTAAAGTGCATGAAAATCCCTATACCTTTAAGCCACCCAAAAGATTGGGCAATTTTGTTGTGGCTTGGCTAGGGATAAGCTCTAACAAAGCTATTTCTTCTTCTGCTATTCATCACTAGTTACTACATATTAAGAAAATAGAATTAAAATATGCTCTTGAATGATTTTTGGAAGTGAAAGGCTTTGCAGTAAGACAGATTTTGAAAAATAGAATTTAAAAGTCATGTAGACAAAAAGCCAAGATCATTTAAACAAAAGAGCATTAGCTGGAAAACAAAATCTGAACATGTGGCAAATAGGAGGGCTTTCTAGTGCCCCATGCTATTTGTATCTTTTTCTACATCATACGGCATCTAGTATGATGTTAACAAATTTAGCTTGTATGATCCCTTTGTGGGACATACACTAAAACTAACTCAGATGGCATAAATTGTTTGATTTTTCTGCAGGGATTCCGACTACAATCTCCTAAAAGCAGAAACAACCTTTTGGGTTTTACCTGTGTTTGAAGAAGAGACTCGCATTTTCCAGAAAGACATTTGATGTTTGTGTTTTATTTCTTTCAAAATATGCCTTGTGGTATGTATGTTGACATGTAAGTGCTTAAAGAAAAGAATTTTAAATTGTGGGAATACGTCTTTGGAGCAAACTTTAATCTCATGTTCTATGTAAAAGACTTAAAAAGTCATACAGTTGCACAAGTAGTTTATGCACTATTTACCCACAAGGAAAAAATTGAAAACATTGTGCCAAACTACAAACAAGTGACTGTACTGTATATATTTTTACTTCTATATCAACATTTGGTTGTATTTGGGGAAGTTGTCCCTGTTAATTTACTAGAAACATTCCAGTGATTCTTGCTATTAACCACCCCCACTTATGTGGATAGCACCTGTAGATCATGGTGGAAAAATATGTTGTGTTACACAATTTACCAAAATTAAAGGATACTGTTTGAAATGTGCCAAATTTTCTTACCTCATCTCACAGATTCACCCACAGTTTAAAGCTCATTAATTATTTTTAAATGGATATATACACACCCAAACATATATATGTATATGTTTGTGTGTGTGTGTGTGTGTGTATATATATGTATATATATATATACACACACACACGTTCTTTTAAAGTTTTAGACTCTACTGTCCTGTGTGGAAACATGAACAGCTAAACAAGGCAAAATAAAGATTTTCTTGTTCCATTGTGTAAGGGTTAAAATTTTGGAAAAGTCTGAAGGCCACAACAGCTAAGTCCATCAGGGACCCAAGTATATGCATTTACAGAACGTTTTACAAGGAAACAAAACAGCTGCTTTCAAAGTTTGTTTTCTAAAAGCAAAATCTGTAGCTGAAAATTATTTAAAGTGCAAAGTTATATTGCTGATACTTTATATCTCAGTTTTATATATTTTATAATAGTCTGGGATAAATTATAAAAATAGCTATAAAATCAACACTAATGATAAATGAAGTATATAGAATGCTTTTATTTAAATAGTTTCCTAAATGTTTTATTCCAGTTTTGTCAAAAGTGCACTCATATCATGGCTTTAGTGTTCTTTCAGTGTTTAATCTTGCAATGCCAATGTCATTTAAAGAAAATGTTAAGGCATCCCAGTTCAACCAAATTTTTCTTCTTATGAGTAAAGTACATTTACTATCAGATAAGATGAACAATTTGTGGCAACAACTGATTTGGGCCATATACCCTTAGTCTGAGGATAACCAATATTTGATGCCACACACTAAACTTAAATCTCAATTTTAAGTACAAATTTTTAAATCACATTTTTTATTCAGTACTCCCCCTACTTTTTAAAAAAAATTTCACAGCCCCAACATTCCTCACTACTACTTTTTCTTCCCTTTTATTCACCACTTGACTTCTAACATTTGATCTCTTTTCTTTGCACAATTGAAGGCCTGTGCATCTGATGACTGATGCATTATGGCACAGATGAGATAATGGATGTGAGAGCGCTTTGTAGATCATAAAGTGCTATACAGATATAGGGGATTAATATTATTAATATTGTTAGTTGTTGTCGTTGTTACTATTCTTATTAATATTGTTACTAACCTATTAACTTGTGAATATATAGGCTGGGGTGGGAGGGTGGAGAATAAGTGGGAAGGGAAAAAGGGGATTTAACAAAAAAAGGGAAGATGTTTCAAAAGGAAAATTTTAAGCAAAATATGAACCTACCTAGTCAATGCCACCTAAATGTATTCACAAACAGAGAAGCAACATTTGAAAGTAGTCAGAGAGAAATGGAAGGAAGCCTGTCATGTATATAAGTATATACACTTCCCGGTCCATGATTCCTTTCACCAGCCTGCTCTATTCCTTACAGCTGGGTCGTAAAATGAACAAGCCTGTGTTCTTGATCATGTGTGTTCCCAGCGTCAGTCTCTTGTGTCTGTGGGGATGAGTGGGTGAGGAGCATTCTGTGAGGCTGGTACAGGCCCATTCCTAGGCTTTAATGCTCTGTTTGCAGTGAGCCCTGGAAAATTACTTAGTGGAAAGGCACCAGATGAAACATGTCTCCTGCCCCATAGCTACCATTCAAAAGGGAAAATAACCAAACTGGAAAACCTTCTTCTATTTCTCTATTCTGATAGCTAGCTGTACTAAATGCTATGGCCAGTCCCTAGAAACTGGTCTTTGTTTTGTTTTTGTTTTTGTTTTTGATTTTTCTGTTTTGCAGCTGAATTTTGGCTTGGAATCACCAACTCTGCCTGTATTGTGATCCCCAAGACTCCAGACCTCAGAGTCACCTGCTGGCTTAGAGGAGTGGAGTGCTTTCTATGTAATGAAAAGGTGGCAATTAATGAAAAAATAAAGAAAATGTTCCATTAATACAATGTGTTTTTATAAAAGTAAATATGGGAGCAGTTGTCCCAGTTTTTTTTCGGTATCAGTTCAGCTTTGGAGAATGGGGTGTGAGTGGGGTAGGACAGCCTGAAACTGTTGGAAACAATTTCCTTGTGAGAACTTGCTATCATAAGTCCTTTGGAATGGATATTCTTTCAGTTGCTCCTATGGAGCCCATTAAGGGCCAATTCTAGGGCATAGTTCATCCCTTTCTCCAAAGAGAATTGTTATTTTAAAGTACCTTTTTAATTGGCCTGCAGTGTATTATATGTTTTTAATATATAAATTAGTGACGCATAACCAGTCACTTTGTACTGAAACATAAAAAGAAACAGAGTTTGAGAAATGAGCAATAGGCCGAGGCAGAAGATGTTTATTCTCTTAATTGCATTTAATATTCCTCTCAGTACATTGTGTTCTGAGATGTTCATCATTTAGCATTTTGTTGGTCCTGTCTCTGCTCTCACAGTTCTTTTTCTTCCTGTCATAACCAGCTGCCTTAGTAGAGTATAAAAATAGTGTTTTGCCCTATCACTGGTATCTCAAGTCAGAAATATATATTATCCTTGGTCTGAAATTCCTGATTACCGCTCCCTTCTAACCTTCCCCCTCTGAGAAGCTGTTTCCTATTAATGCCTCCCTAACAGAGTCCCATTTAATCTTTACTTTCCTGGAAATGGTAACCTCCCTTATTCTTCTTACTTAATCTCAGACCTTGGTCTTAGAATTTTTCTTTTATGGTCTCATATCCCACCTGCCCAAATTGTCAGGGCTCAACAATCTTAGGCTGCTTTCTTCTGGAAGTTCAGAAGGAAACCTTCCCATTCTTAATTGCCTTTAATTGCTTTGGCTATTTTCAAATCTAATTTTTTAATTAAATTTTTTTTAATTTTTATAGAGTAGGGGTACAAGGACAGTTGTGTTACATGGATATATTGCTTAGTGTTGAAATCTGGGCTTTTAGTGTACCCATCACCGAAATAGTGTACATTGTACCCAATAGGTGGTATTTCATCCCTCAAATATAATTTTAAACACACACTCGTGCCCACATGGACAAATTATATCACATGACTGAGGAAACTTAGAAATTCCTTTTCCCTGAAGATCTGTTAAGAATAGGTCTCATCTCCTGCCCTGGTTAGGTGCTATATTATATGGAGAAGGGTATTGAGACTTTGGGGGTCATGTTTGGGCTGTGATAACTGGCTTGAACCAGTGACCATCCTTTCTGCCTCGCCAAGGTCTCTTATACCAGCTTCTTCACATATGCTGCTTCCTCCCAGCTTTCCCTTCTGACTTCTTGTTACTCTGCAACTATGTGTCAAGGCCTTACCTTTTCCTGATGTTTTCAAACCTCCTGCATTACTTTGATCATCACTTCTTCAGCCATCTCACTGAAGTCCTTGGTGCTAGCTGGGCTTTTGTGACAACTTTCACCTTCTCTGAACTTTTTCCTTGCTGGGAAGCATCTGCGTGTGTGAGGGGGCTACGGAGGGAAGTGTGTGTGTGTGTAAGAGAGAGGCAAAAGGATGCTTCAAAAGCTATAAACAACTCTAGCAAGCATCCTAAGTCCTATGTGAGGTTTTGCAGTTCTAGTGAATTTCTGTTTTAGTAGGTTTCAATTAGCATTTACTGCCTAAAGGAGAAAAACCATATCCAAGGACCTTTTAGCCATGCTTGCTATTACCAAGCTGGACCAGTGTGATGTAGATCCAACATGTCTTCAGCTTACAGATGCTCTCAGAACAGTTCCAAGAATTGAAGAGAGCTAAGTTTTTATGCTGAAGAGGAGAATGGAGCACTAGCTAGTCCTAACTATTGCTAGAAATAGAAATGTTTATTTTCTCCTTTATTATTGAGAAATTATCTAATTTAAGGAGTAACCATTTTCATTTAGGGATTTTTTTAATGACTGCCCATCACTACAGAAATATGTTCTTTTTATAAAATAAAACTAATGTGAGGTTGGTTTGTTTTCTAATCATAAAATTCACTAAGCCTATAGTTACATTTAGAAGATTTAGTACCAAAATCAAACTTTTAGTAACAAACAGGAATCTTGTCAACACAATGTAGGCCAGGGATTTTGTAAAGGTTTCTCAAAGACCCAAATAAGGGAGAAAAAAATTTTAGTTGGGCTGTTTAACTTGGGAAACACTGTCATCAGCTTGAGGGTCCTCAGCCAGCATGTGATTATTTTGATGACAGGACTCAGGCTACCCTTTAAGGCACATTTTTTACTCAGCATTAAACACTAGCTACAGTCGTGAAGCAGAGCTCCCATTGCAGCTACATACTTGAGATGTACTCTTGGTTTCAGAATCGTAACTAAGAGGTAAGGCATTGGAGAAGGACAATGTAAAAGACAGAGGTTTAGAACAAAGTTTATGGTGTGAATGAGGCTTTCAAAATCAGTATCTGGGTAAATTGATACTAAAGACACTGAAGAAACACTCATCCACATAAGATGGAAAGGATGTCTGTCCATCTAACAAGCTCAGGGGTTTCTGAGTCTCAGAATGACATCCCATTTCAAAAAGAAGAAAAGAGATATTGAAATCATTCTGCCTGTTTGAGAGATGACTGGTTATTTACAGCACAAAAAAAGGCTTAGAATGAAAACTAGAAGAGGCCTTTTGTTTTTCACTCCCAGTGAGGAGAGTAGAAATCTTAAGATGCTCTACTGGGCTACCTGTAGCACTGACTGGAGTTTGCTGCCTACAGAGTTTTGAATGTACTAGTCCTTAGTTTCCATAGAACTGAATGCACCTCTTTAGTAAGTTGCTGATTTATGGTGCTAAAGAAAATGATTATTCCCATTTTTTTCTTCTTCCCCAAGCCCCTTAAGCATTTAAGAAAATTTAAAATAAAAGCGTTAGAGGCCCTTTTTATGAATGTAACCTAAGTTTCTGTTTGACATATGACACTGCAACTTAAAAATGTTAGGAAATTATTTGCCTTTTTTTTTCTTTTAGAGTTAAGCTTTATAAATAATCTGTAGAATCAATTGAAGTTTAAAGCTTAAGGATCACTCTTAAGACGTCTACAAAATCTTGTATATTTTTAAGTGTGCCAATTTGTAACATATTTTGTAAGTGTATATTTTTCTTAGAAAAGTGCTGTGAAGTGTCTGTATGTGAGAGTTTTCCTTTTTCTGCACCACTAGGTGCTAATAAAAGGATATTTACTTCAAAGTTTCTGGTTTTAGAAACCACAATACAAAGAAAAAAAATACACTTTTGTTGGAAATTTTGTAACACAAAACATGTTGTGAAAGAGTGTAGTGATCTTGTGCAAAAAAAATGAACATTTGTGAGCTTCTTGCTGTTTTATAGATTTTCTTGTAAATTATTCTTGTAACACTTCTGGTTTTGTTGTT
This sequence comes from Homo sapiens, assembly GCF_000001405.40. NCBI lineage: Eukaryota > Metazoa > Chordata > Mammalia > Primates > Hominidae > Homo > Homo sapiens. Next base: position 74,733,685 of record NC_000023.11, on the reverse strand, counting down.
CTTGTTGCGAAGGTTTCAAATATTTGTGACTGAATGTACGGTGAAACTGTCATAATGTTACCTAGCTGAGTTTTGTTATTGTTTATGAAATAAATAAAAAGAAAAGTTTAAAATACTGCTTTAGAATCATATGTATTAGAAATCAAACCATTTCTAATTAAATCTATGTCCCAAATAAAACGTTCTTTATCATCTAGAGCAGTGTTTCTCAAACTATCTGTGGTGAGGGACCAATAGTTTTTGCAATCCATCACAGACCAATACTATTATAAAACACAACAAAAATGAATTTCTAAGAAAGTTAAATGGAAAAAAGATATGCAAAATAAAAGCCCAAATGTATTAGATTTAACATGTAAAATTACATTTCGAGATAAACATAACATAAGGGGAAAGAAACGAATTGCAAAAAGTTGGTACCCTGTTTGAGACAAGTCCACTCATCAATGTCAAATTGCCATAGAAGGTTCTAATCATACTTTGAATAATACTTTGACTAGACCAGCAGCATTGCCATCATCTGGGAACTTGTTAGGAATGCGAAATTCCAAGCCCTACACCAATTCTGCTGAATGAGAATCTGAATTTTAACAAGATCCCTAGGTGTTTTGTGTGCATGTTAAAGTTTGAGAAGCACTGGGCTAGAGTTTTGTGTAGGGGATTCTTTTGCCCCTCAAATTGAGGAATCATCTTCTAGTGTGTCCAGTCTTCAAAGACCTTAAAACAAATTGTGTCTTTGTTTTGTGATCCAGATGGAATCTGCAGAGATGCAGTCCTCTCAAAGTGTTAAAGCTGTTTATTGAAAGTAATAAATGCTGATTTGCCTGGTACCCAAAAGATGTCAGATTTTCCATAATTCCCTACAGTTCCTACATCATGTTACTTACCACTCACTCATGAACCTTGTTTCCTTTATTCAGGACTTTCCCGAACTCAGTCCCTACAGTACCCAGTATTTCAAAGTATTTGCTATGTCTAGAAAAATTGAACTTTGTTTTCAATTGCCCAAACTGTTTGAGTCACCCATCAGCCTGGAGTGTTGGCTAACCATAGCAAGATCATTGAGGCACACGTGAGCCAACAGTCACTTCTTTGGTTTTGAACACCACCGCTCAAAGAAATTGAAAAGTGTGCATGAGGAAATGTCTCTCTTCTCACTGGATAACCTCATCCACTTCTACCACTTCAGCTACCATCTAGATGTCCACAAATCTCCCCCATGTTCCTGGCTTATATTTTTAGTTGTAGGCTGGCTGTCTCTACTTGGACATTCTGCAACATCCTCAGACATTTATTCAAGTCTGAGTGTGCTCTAGCTCTTTACCCTCTGAGTGTGCCCTAGCTCAGTGAATGATGCTGCCATCCATCCAAGCCAGCAACTCATGCCTCTTCCAACCTCACATCCAACTGGCCACTCTCAATTCTCCTGCCTTTCTATCACCATTACCACTGCCTTAATTCAAGCTTTCATGGTATTTCACCTGGACTATTGCAACATTGCCCTAATTCAGTGACCTTTGGACTTGGATTTCACATCTGGAAATTTTGGGTTTTTTTTTGAGACAGTGTCTCATTCTGCCACCTAGACTAGACTGCAGTGGCACAGTCTTGGCTCACTGCAACCTACACTTCCCAGGTCAAGTGATCCTCCCACCTCAGCCTCCCAAGGAGCTGAGACTACAGGTGTGCTACCTGTACTACCACCACATCTGGCTAATTTTTGTATTTCTTTAGAGACCGTGTTTCACTATGTTGCCCATGCTGGACCTGGAAATTTTTTAACAAGAAAAAAGAAATGGAAAGGAGAGTCTTTATAGTAGCCAGCTTTTTATTGTGCTCAGTAGGGAGTATTTTAAAAAATCATTTGTTATCAAATCACAGAAGATCATTTAACACCAAAAGACAATCAGATAGTCCTTTGTTTAATATGTACTGTATTGTCTTTTTCTCTTCACCATGGACCATAAGACATTGAAACCAAACCCCCAACTCATTAATTTAAAGAGTGAAGGAGATTTTGAATTTCACGTCTAAGGCGGTGGGAGAGGATGGAGAACGAGGGGCAGAGCAGTTAAAGACCCTATGATCAGACCTATTTAATGCTCTGAGTCTTCATTTCTCCCAAGTTCTAGAAGTTTCACATGTGATAGAGATTCCAAATGCGTATTCTTCACTCCATGCAGGATTCAGAGGTGTATTCTGGTGAACATGGCCTTAGATAAAGATTCTTGCACTAAACTAGTGGCAGAGTTGGGGTAAGTGAGTGGTCCCATTCTTTTCCCTGTGGTTTCACATCCTTTTTGTTCTTCCCTGGCAAAAGTTGAGATCATACTAGAGCTTAGGGGGAAGATGGTAGGTCCTTTGTCTAAAGGCATTTGATCTGTCTTGGAACTGAGCTTTTGATGGACCTAATTTTGGGGAGATTATGGCACTATTTTAATACAGATTTCTACTTAAAAGTAATTGGAGCTATAGTTATTAAACTTTATAGGCCACATACCACTTTAAGAAACGAATTAAATCAGTGGGCCTTCTCCCCAGAAAAACAAACATATTCAGAATTTTACATAGAATTTTGTGGAAGTCACAAATTAAAAACTGCTATATTAGGGTCATGAATTCCCTAAAACATCTTCCCCACATCATAATGGAATCTCAGTCTATCTCCTCTTCACTGACCCAAGATGATAACTCATTTATTTATTGTCTACTATGTGTCAGTTATTTTACATGAATTACAATTTCTTACAACAACCCTGCAAAGGAAGCATCTTCCCTATTTTACATATAAGAAAATTGGGACAAAGATTGGTGCAGTAAATTTCCTCAAGATTGCACAACTGTTAATCTTCAAAGACTTTCACCAGAGCTGGCAAAGCCCTTTATGTTTGTCTTACCACAATCCCATGTCTGTAACTCAAAATTCATTTTCCAGCATAACCATATTAACTATACCATGTCAAAAATATAAATATTAATATTAATAGCCATTAATAAATAGTTCACTCTGTGTCAGATATTGTGCTAGATGCTAGGAAAACAAAGAATTGAAATATAAAGCACATGTGTTTCCCTCTAGGAGCTCACAGACAACAGACAGGTATAATTTAATAGTTTAAATTAAGAAACACCCAGTGGCCAATTTAAGATAAATGATCACATATAAAATAACTAATGATTTGCTGTCCTTAAATACCTTAGAGGAAAAGAACCTCCATCCATTGTTATGGAGGGAACAATGTCACAAAATGTCAGTAGCCAATATTTCACCTTCCATCCTTCTCCCTATTTTGGAATCAGAGTTGAGAGTGAGCTTAGATCCATCACTTACTAGCTATGTGATTTGGGATCAATTACTTTGTTGTTGTTGTTGTTGTTGTTGTTGTTGTTGTTGTTGTTGTTGTTGTTGAGACAGAGTCTCGCTCTGTCACCCAGGCTGGAGTGCAGTGGCGCAATCTCGGCTCACTGCAAACTCCGCCTCCCAGGTTCACACCATTCTCCTGCCTCAGCCTCCTGAGTAACTGGGACTACAGGCGCCTGTTACCACGCCCGAATAATTTTTTGTATTTTTAGTGGAGACGGGGTTTCACCGTGTTAGCCAGGATGGTCTCGATCTCCTGACCTCGTGATCCACCCGCCTCAGCCTCCCAAAGTGCTGGGATTACAGGCATGAGCCACCGCTCCCGGCCAGGACCAATTACTTTAATCTCTCTATATCCCAGAGCCTCTAATCACCACCCCCCTCCCCCCCACCCCAAACACACACACACAAACCTAGTATAACAATACTATTGTTCCCACAGGATTGTTGGGAAGATCAAAGACCTTCTTGTAAAGCCTTGGCACCAGTTGAGCGGTCAGGTCATAATTAACATTTGCTATTTTTTAGTAGATGTAAAGTGTTTTACTAATAGTTCTTATTTTGATTCCTTAGAAATAACTCCATCTCCCTTCCCCAAATATTTCTCCTTTTATTAGGTGTTCATCTAAGAAAATTAGCAAACTCCTGGCTCAAAGAGCCTTTGATCTTCATTTGGAGAAAGATAACATTTTAAAGATAAAATTAGAAGAGTCATTATATTGAACATTTATTATTAGAGTTAATTTATTATCAGTAGCCAAATAAGCTAGTTAAAGCTACACATTATTAATCCAGATTACCTGGGTTCTATGCCTGGCTTTGCCACTAAATTTGTTTAAGAATTTGAACAAGTCACTTCCCTTCTGGGCCTCAATTTCCTCATCTGGGAAATGGTGAGGTTGGGCTAGATAACATTTAAGAGCATAAAGTGTGAAGTCAGCCTACCCAGATTGAATCCAAGCTTTCCTCTTGATAATAATAAGACCTACCTCAACTTCCTCACCAGTAAAGTGAAAATAATTATGATGCCTATCTCACAGGATTTGAGGGAGAATTAAATGAGATAATGCACAAAAAGCATTTAAAATAGTGACTGGTGCATGTATAAAAGGCTCAATAAATATTACCTATTATAATATTGAAGGGTCCTTCCCTTTTAAAACCCATGGGCCGGGTGCAGTGTCTCATGCTTGTAGTCCTAGCACTTTGTGAGGCCCAGGCAGGCAGATCACTTGAGGTCAGGAGTTTGAGACCAACCCGGCCAACATGGTGAAACCCTGTCGCTACTAAAAATACAAAAATTAGCCAGGCGTAGGGGTGTGCGGCTGTAATCCCAGCTACTCAGGAGGCTAAGGCACATGAATCGCTTGAACCTGGGAGGTGGAGGTTGCAGTAAGCTGAGATCACCCCATTGTACTCCAGCATGGGAGACAAAAGTGAAACTCCATCTCAAAAACTAAAACTAAAAATAAAAATAAAAACAAATAAAACCCATGATTCATTTTATTATCTGGGTTGCCATAGCTGAATTAGAATTTAATGAAGTAACTATGTATATATTTGTTCATTATTCAATTAATTCATTCAACAAATTATTGTTAAGCACCATTTGTGTGTCAGCAACCATGGTAGCTACTGAGAGCAAAATGGGACTTTGACTCTTTCCTTATAAAACTTAATCAAGGCCAGGCGCGGTGGCTCATGCCTGTAATCCCAGAACTTTGGGAGGCCGAGGTGGGCGGATCACGAGGTCAGGAGATCAAGACCATCCTGGCTAACATGATGAAACCCCGTCTCTACTAAAAATACAAAAAATTAGTCGGGCGTGGTTGCAGGCGCCTGCAGTCCCAGCTCCTCCGGAGGCGGAGGCAGGAGAATGGCGTGAACCCGGGAGGCGGAGCTTGCAATGAGCGGAAATCCCGCCACTGCACTCCAGCCTGGGCAACAGAGCGAGACTCCGTCTCAAAAAAAAAAAAAAAAACTTAATCAAAAACGCACTTCAATTATAAGTATATAATTTAAAACTGAAATAAGAACTCTGAAGGAATATACTTTCATGAGAACCACTGATGAAGAAACTTGACCTGATACTGAGGGTGGCACCCTAAGCATGAGTAGGATTTACCTAGGTGAAGAAGAAGTTGGGGATGAGAGTGGGTAACATCCCAGAAAGAGCACATGTGAAGGTCCTTTGGTAGGAAAAGCATGCAGTATTCAGTACTCAAGGAACTAGAAGACAGCCAGTGTGGCTGGAAAGGAGTAGAGAGATGAGATCAGAGAGTACTGCTTTACACGTTCCAATTTGGTCACAATTTATGGAATTTTAACTATGCAAATTTAAGATAGTACAATACAAAATATTGAGAGTTTGACTATGCATGCAACTTTTGAAATAGTTCAAGTAAAAAAAATCATCAGGAAGAACATAATTAATTTCAAAGTGGGCAAGTATGTGAAAGATAAGCTGTGTTATGCTATTGCCACATTTTGGTGTCACTTTAGTCATTAAATAGAAATACCTTCTGTCTTTTGTCAGAATTATACTAACTTTGGATTATGTGAACTATTTATGCACACACTCCTTAAATAAAATGCAGACAAGCCTGACTTGTCTTTGGCTTTGAGTTAATCTCGATGGCCCTAATTTTAATCCCCTGATAGTTGGACCTTCAAGATTCTCCCCAGCTCAGGCATTGTTTCAAACCATAAAATACATAACCATTAATGCACAGTAACTTATATCAGTCTAACTGAATATGCCAAACTATTTTGAAGCTTAAAATTTTAAAAATATGCATCTGTTTCTGTACATTTCTTTAGTAAGTTCTAGAAAGGAAATATACCCATCATGTTGCATTTTACAAAGGAGTTACTCAATTAACAACTCAATCACTGGATCCCCACAGGAAAATCAGCATTGGGAATTAAATTTGCCTCAGGTTCTTAAAAAACAAATACACTTTCCTTTGTACTGTTTTAAGCTTAAAATTAAACAAAGAAAATTTATATTCTCACCACACGAGATCATGTTAAGCAGGTACACTTTTACAAATCTCAAAAGCTTTTATCACATGTTTAAATTAAAACTGCTTACAAATATTTTTAAAGTATTAAAACTACCAAAGTGAGAAAGTTGATTTACAATAGATCTGCTAAATCAGGCAGCATCCACTCTTCTGCAAATCAGTAACTTTGCATTGACTTACCAACTCTTCCCCGATATGTCCTGTTGATGAGGAGAACACATGACTATTTAGCCTTTCCTATTGATGGTATAATAAAATAACTTTTAAATTTTCACCCTCTTTTAGTTTTTTCTTTTCTTTTTTTTTTTTTTTTGAGACAGAGTCTCACTTTGTCGCCCAGGCTGGAGTGCGGTGGCATGGTTTCAGCTCACTGCAACCTCTGCCTCCCAGGTTCATGCGATTCTCCTACCTCAACCTCCCAAGTAGCTGGGATTACAGGTGCCCACCACCACACCTGGCTAATTTTTGTATTTTTAGTACAGACAGGGTTTCACCATGTTGGTCAGGCTGGTCTCGAACTCTTGACCTCAGGTGATCTGCCCAAAGTGTTGGGATTACAGGCATGAGCCACCACTCCCAGCCTTTTTGGTTGTTGTTTTTAGAGACAGGATCTCACTCTGGTGCCCAAGCTGGAGCGCAGTGGCATGATCATGGCTCACTGCAGCCTCAACCTCCTGAGTTTGCCTTTCTTAAAATAAATTCTTTTGCATTGATTATTTGGAAATAGTTATTTGAGAAGTGAGTTATTTCCCCATGATTCTATAATGGACAAAATAAAAAATTGGGAGAATTAGTTGTTCATAACCTCATAGTCATGGTATACTCTGTCCTGTTGACTAGATGGTTGAAAAATGGAGGTCTGAATGATAGATTCTTACAACATGCATTGAGATATAATTTACATACCATAAAATTCAGCCACCTAAGTGTAAAATTCAATAATTTTCAATAAATTTACCAAATTATTTAACAATTGCCATAATCCAGTTTTACAACATTTCCATTACCCCCATAAGATACCTTTTTATTCCAGAGCCATATACGACAAACCCACAGTCAAGATTATACTTAATGGGCAAAAGCTGGAAGCATTCCCCTTGTAAACAGGCACAAGACAAGAATGCCCTCTCTTATCACTCCTATTCAACATGGTATTGGAAGTCCTGGCCAGAGCAATCAGGCAAGAGAAAGAAATAAAGGGCATCCAAATAGGAAGAGAGCAAGTCAAACTATCCCTGTTTGCAGATGACATGATCCTACATCTAGAAAACCCCATAGTCTCAACCCAAAAGCTTCTTAAGCTCATAACTTCAGCAAAGTCTCAGGATACAAAATCAATGTGAAAAAATTGCTAGCATTCCTATACAACAACAGTCAAGCCGAGAGCCAAATCAGGAACAAAATCCCATTCACAATTGCCACAAAAAGAATAAAATACATAGGAAAACAGCTAACTAGGGAGGTGAAAGAGCTCCACAAGGAGCACTACAAACCACTGCTCAAAGAAATCAGAGATGACACAAACAAATGGAAAACATTCCGTGCTCATGGAGAGGAAAAATCAATATCTTTTAAATGGCCATACTTTCTCTGCTTTTAGAAACTGAAAAAAATAAAATGGCAATAGTGCCCAAAACAATTTATAAATTCAATGCTATTCTTATTAAACTACCATTGAGATTCTTCACAGAACCAGAAAAAAAAAAAAAACCATTTTTAAATTCATGGAACCAAAACAGAGCCCAAATAGCCAAGGCAATCCTAAGCAAAAAGAGCAAAGCTGGAAGCATCATGCTACCTGATTTCAAACTACACTACCGAGCTACAGTAACCAAAACAGTATGGTGCTGGTACAAAAACAGACACATAGACTAATAGAACAGAATAAAGAATCTAGAAATAAGACTACACACCTACAACTGTCTGATCTTCGACAAATCTGACAAAAAAAAAGAGCAATGGGTAAAGGAATCCCTATTCAATAAATGCTGCTGGAATAACTGGCTAGCCATACGCAGAAGATTGAAACTGTACCCCTTCCTTACACCATGTACAAGAATTAATTCAAGATGGATTAAAGACTTAAACATAAAATCCAAAGCTATAAAAACCCTAGAAGACAACATAAGCAATACCATTCAGGACATGTGCCCTGGTAAAAATTTCATGACGAAGACTCCAAAAGAAATTGCAATAAAAGCAAAAATTGATAAATGGGATCTAATTAAACTAAAGAGCTTCTTCACAGCAAAAGAAACTATCAACAGCATAAACAGACAACCTACAGAGAAAATATTTACAAACTATGCATCCGACAAAGGTCTACTTTCTGACATCTATAAGGAACTTAAAATCACAAAAAAAAGAAAAAACATTTAAAAGTGAGCAAAGAGCATGAACACTTTTCAAAAGAAGATATATATGTGGCCTACATGCATATGAAAAAAAGCTCAACATCACTAATCATTAGAGAAATGCAAATTAAAACCACAGTGAGATACCATTTCACACCAGTCAGAATGGCTGTTATTAAAAAGCCAAAAAATAACAGATCCTGGCGAGGTTGTGGAGAAAAAGAAACACTTATACACTGTTGGTGGGAGTGTAAATTAATTCAACCATTGTGGAAGACAGTGTGGCAATTCCTCGAAGACCTAAAGACAGAAATACTTTCGACCCAACAATCCTATTACCAGGTATATACCCAAAGGAATATAAATCATTCTATTATAAAGACACATGCAGACATATATTCATTGTCACACTGTTTCCAGTAGCAAAGACATAGAATCAACCTAAATAGCTATCAATGGTAGACTGGATAGAGAAAATGTGCTACATATACACCATGGGATACTATGCAGACATAAAAAAGAACAAGATCATGTTCTTTGCAGGGACATGGATGGAGCTGGAGGCCATTATCCTTAGCAAACTAATGCAGGAACAGAAAACCAAATACTGCATGTTCTCACTTATAAGGGGGCACTAAATGATGAGAACACATGGACATGTAGAGGGGAACAATACACCCTGGGGCCTATCGAAGGGTGGGGGTGGGAGGAGGGAGAGAATCATGAAAAAAAACTAACACCTGGGTGATGAAATAATCTGTACAACAAACTCCCATGACACAAGTTTACCTATTCAACAAACCTGCACATGTATCCCTGAACATAACATAAAATTTTTTTAAAAAAAAGATACCTTATTCCTATTTACATTGAATCCCTGTTTCCAGCTCCATATCAGAGCAACCACTAATCTTTCCATCTCTATAGATTTGCCTTTACATCACATTTCATTTAAATGGAATCATATAACGTGTAGTCTTTTGTGTCTGGCTTCAATTAGCATAATGTTTTTGAGTTTCATCTATGTGATAGCACGTATCAGTATTCCATTCCTTTTTATGGCTAAATAGTATTCCATTGTATGGCTATAGCATATTTTGTCTATCCAGTCATCAATTGAGACAATTGGGTCATTTCCACTTTCTGAGTATTGTAAATAGTGCTGCTGTGAACATTTGCTTACAAGTTTTTGTGTGGACATATGTTTTCAGTTCTTTTGGGTAGATTGCCAGGAGTGGAATTGCTTGGTCACTGGGACCTCTATGTTTAATATTTGGAGAAACGGCCACATTGTTTTCCAAAGCGGCTGTGATATTTTACATTCCCACAAACAATGATTAAGGGTTCCAGTTTCTCCACGTTGCAATCAACATTTGTCTGTTGCATTGATTACAGTCATTCCAGTAATTGTGGAGTGGTATCTCCTACTGGCATTGAGTATCTTTTCATGTGCTTATTAGCCATTCCTTTATCTTCCTTGGAAACATGTCTATTCCAATATTTTTTTGCCCATTTTTAATTGGATTATTTGTCTTATTATTTAATTTTTAGAGTTATTTTATATTCTAAATGCAACTTATTTTTCAGGAATATGATATGCAAAATTTTTCCCTGCACAGTGATTGTCTTCTTTTCTTTTTTTATCGATACATAACTTGTACATATTTTGGGGGTATACGTGATATTTTGATACATGCATACAGTTTGTAATGATCACGATCAAATCAGAGTAATTGGGATATCTATCACCTTGAACTTTTATCTTTTCTTTATGTTGACAACATTCCAATTCTTCTCATCTAGCTTTTTTGAAATATACAATATATTATTGTTAACTATAGACACCCTATTGTACTATAGAACACTAGATCTTATTCCTTCTATCAAACAGTATTTTTGTACCCATTAACATACCTCACTTCATTTCCCCTCCCCTCTACTATTCCCAGCCTCTGGTAATTGCCAATCAACTCTCTACCTCCATGAGAACCAGTTTTAGCTTCCATTGATAAGTGAGAACATGTGATACTTTTCTTTCTGTGCTTGGCTTATTTTGCTTAACATAATGAACTACAGTTCCATCAATGTTGCTGCAAATGACAGGATTTCACTTTTTTATGGCTAAATAATATCCCATTGTGTATACATACCACATTTTCTTTTTTCATTCTTCTGTTGATGGACACTTAGGTTGATTCCATATCTTGGCTTTTGTAAGTAGTGCTGCAATAAACATGGGCGTACAGATATCTTTTCAATATACTGATTTCCTTTTTTTTTTTTTTTTTTTTGGATATACATTCCATAGTGGCTGTACTAATTTACATTCCCACCAACAGGGTACGAGGGTTCCTCTTCTCCACATCCTCACCAGTATATGTTATTTTTCGTTTTTTTAATAAAAGTCATTTTAACAGGGGTGAGATGTTACATTATTGTAGTTTTGAGTTGCATTTCCCTGATGATTAGTGATGTTGAGTATTTTTAATATACCCAATAGCCATTTGTATGTTGTATTTTGAGAAATCTCTACTCATATCTTTTAGCCATATTTAAATTTGATTATTTGTTATTTTGCTATTGAATTGTTTGCCATTAATGGCAAAAACCACAATTACTTTGGCACCAACCTACGATTTTATCTTGACATAATCTCGTTTGTTTATTTTTGCATTTTTGCCTATGCTTTTGAGGTCTTACTTAAAAAGTCTTTGCCCCGAACAATGTTCTGAAGCACTTGGACAAAAAACAAAAGACCCAACTATATACTGCGTATAAGAAACTCACTTCACCTACGAAGACATACATGGACGGAAAGTAAAGGGATGGAAAAAGATATTCCATGCAAATCCAAACCAAAAAGAGCAGGATTATCTATATTTATATCAGATAAAATAGACTTCAAGTCATATACTATAAAAAGAGACAAAGTAGGTCAATTTATAATGATAAAGGGGTCAATTCAGCAAGAAGACATAACAATTGTAAATTTACACACATTCAACACTGGAGCACCCAAATATATAAAGCAAACATTAATAGATCTAAAGGGGGAGATAGATTGCAATACAATAATAGCAGGGGACTTTTAATAATGAACAATTTTGGAATATTGGCACCATTTCTTCTTTAAATGTTTGATTGAATTACCAGGGAAGCCACCCACATCTGGGTTTTCTTTATGAGAAATTTTAAATTATATATTCAATTTCTTTAGTTGTTATAGATCTATTCAGATTTTCTGTTTCTTTTAAAGTCTGTGTTGGTAATTTGTGCCTTTCTGGGAATTTGTCCATTTCATCTAAGTCTTCCAATTTATTGGATTAAATTTGTTTACAATATTTCTTTATAATCCTTTTAATGGCTGTACGTTCAGTGCTGATGTCCCCTCTTATATTCCTGATTTTGGTGATGTGTATCTTCTCTCTTTTGTTTTGGTCAGTTTAGCTAAAGATTTCTCAAGTTTTGTTGATCTTTTCAAAGAATAAATTTTTTTGTTTCATTGATTTCCCCAGTTGTTTTTCTGTTTTGTATTTTATTTATGTCTGCTCTAATTTTATTTACGCCTGCTCCCTATCTTTGTCATGGGTTTATTTTGCTCTTCTTTTTCTAGATTCTGAAGTTGGAATATTAGATTACTGATTGAAGAACTTCTTTTGTAATACAGATATTTAAAGCTATGTATTTTATCCTAAGCACTAAGTTAGCTACATCCCATAAACTTTTATATGTTGTGTTTTCATTTTCATTCAGTTCAAAATACTTTCTAATCTTCTTTGTGATTTCTTCTTTGATCCATGGACTATTTGGCTATATATTGTTTAATTTCCAAGTATTTCCGGATTTTGCAAATGCCTTTCTATTGATTTATAATTTAATTTCCTTGTGGTCAGAGAATATAATTGGCATGGTTTCAATCCTTTTAAGTTGCTGAGACTTATATAGGCATAGCATATAGTCTACCCTGCGGAATAGTTCATGTGCACTTTTGAAAGGATGTGAATTTTACTGTGGTTAGATGCAGTCTTCTATATCAGTTAGTCAAATTGATTAATACAGTTCTTCAAGTTGCTTTAATACTTACAGATTAACCATCTAGCAGTTCTATTAATATTGTAGTTTCTAACTATTATTGTCACATTGTCTGTTTTACTCAATTCTGTCAGCTTTGTTTTAAGTATTTTTAGGGCTTTGTTGTTAGATACAAACATGTTTATAATATTTACATCTTTCTGATAAATTGTCAATTTCTGCCTGATGTGGTGGCTCACGTCTGTAACCCCAGCCCTTTGGGAGGCCAAGGCGGGCAGATCACCTGAGGTCAGGCATTTGAGACCAGCCTGGACAATATGGCAAAACCCTGTCTCTACTAAAAATACAAAAGTTAGCCGGGTGTGGTGGCACATGCCTCTAGTCCCAACACTTAGGAGGCTGAGGCAGGAGGATCGCTTGAACCCAGGAGGTGGAGGTTGCAGTGAGCTGAGATTACACCACTATACTCCAGCCTGAGCAAAGAGTAAGATTCTGTCTCAAAACAAATTGTCAATTTTATCAAGACAAAATATTTCTCTTTGTCTCGTAACAATTTTTGTCTTAAAGCTTATTCTGTGTGATATTAAAATAGCAATTTCAGCTACCTTATGGTTACTGTTTGCATGGTGTATCCTTTTCCATCCACTTACTTTCAACCTGTTTGTGGCTTTAAATCTAAAGCGAATCTCTTGCAGGCAGGAAATAGTTGGATCCTGTGTTTCACTTATCCAATCTGACAATCTATGTTTACACCGGGTTCCTTAATTTATTTCTTTAATGTAACTTTATGTAGTTGGATTTATGTCTGCTATCTGGGTATTTTTTCCATACATGTCTCATGCCTTCATTAATCTTATCCTTTTTCTTTACTACCTATTTTTGTTGAATAGATATTTTCTAATATACCATTTTAATTCCTTTGTTGTTGTTTTTAATATATTTTGAGTTGTTTTCTTAGGGTTGTTGTTGGGATTATAATTTGCATCTTAAAATAATCTACTTTGAATTAATCCTAATTTCACTCTGGTAGTATATACAAACTGCTCCACAATAGCTCCCTTCCATCTCTTCTCAATACTATTGCTTTTGGACAAATTATATCTTTATATGTTGTTTGTTTTTTTACACGGAGTTTCGTTCTTGCTACCCAGACTGGAGTGCAATGGCACAATCTTGGCTTACTGCAACCTCCACCTTCAGGGTTCAAGCAATTTCCCCGCCTCAGCCAACCAAGTAGCTGGGATTACAGGTGCCTGTCACCACATTTTATATATTTTTTATATATACAAAAAATATAATTTTTTATATTTTTAGTAGAGAGGAGGTTTCACCATGTTGGCCAGTCTGGTCTTGAACTCCTGACCTCAAGCAGTCCACCTGCCCCGGCCTCCCAACATGCTGGCTTTACAGGCATGAGCCACCACACCTGGACATCTTTATATGTTATATGCCCAACAATACAGTTTTAAATTGTTTTACACAATTTAATTATTTTATTCAATGTTTTAAAAACTAAGAGAAGATTTAAATATATCTTTATTCTATTATATTTACTTATGGAATTACTTTACCTGTGTTCTTTATTTCTTCATAACAGATTCAAGTTACCATCTGGTTTTATATCTTTTCAGCCTGAAAACTTGGAATTTCTTGTAAGGCAGGTCTGACTGCAATGAACTTTCAGTCTTTGTTTAACTAAGAATGTTTTTATTTCATTTTCCTTTCTGAAAGATAGAATTCTTGGTGGACAGTTTTTTTCTTTCAACACTTTGAATATCATCCCATTGCCTTCTGGCTCCATGATTTCTAATGGGAGGTCAGCTGCTATTCTTCATTAGGGTATTTTTGTGAGTCATTTTGTATTGTTGCTTTCAAGATTGTCTGTTTTTCAACAGTTTTTTGTGGTGTGTCTAGGTGTGGACTTCCTTTAGTTTACACTACTTGTAGTTTGTTGAGCTTCTTGAAAGTGCAAATTAATGTTTTTGCCATATTTTGGGAGTTCTCATCCATTATTCCTTTGAATATTCTTTTCCGTTCCTTTTTTTCTCTCTTCTCTTTCCACTGCTCCCATCATGCATATGTTAGTGTGCTTAACAGGTGTATTAGGGTTCTCCAGAGGGACAGAACTAATAGGATACATGTATATATGAAAAGACATTTAATGGAGAGAATTAGCTCACATGATCACAATGCAAATTCCCATGATAGGTTGTCTGCAAGCTGAGGAAAAAAGAAGCCAGTAATGGCTCAGTCCAAGTCCAAAAGCCTCAAAAGTAGGGAAGCCAACAATGCAGCCTTCAGTCTGTGGCCAAAGGCCCAAGAGCCCCCAGCAAACCAATAGTTCAAAGGCTGAAAAACCTAGAGTCTCATGTCTAAGGACAGGAGGAACAGAAGGAAGCATCCAGCATGGAAGAAAGATGAAAGCCAGAAGACTCAGCAAACTAGCTTTTCCCACCTCCTTCGGCCTGATTTGTTCTAGCCATGCTGGCAGCTGAGTGGATGGTGCCCAACCACAGTGAGAGTGGGTCTTCCTCTCCCAGTCCACTGACTCAAATGTCAATCTCCTCTGGCAACACCCTCACAGACACATCCAGAAACAATATTTTACCAGCTGTTTAGGCATCCTTCAGTCCAATCAAGTTGACACCTAACATTAACCATCACAAAAGTGTACTAAATTACTCTAAGTCTCTGTTCATTGTTCTTTGTTCTTTTTTCTCTGTGTTCTTCAGGCTGCATATCCCTATTGATCTGTCTCCAAGTTCACTGATTATTTCCTATTTCAGCTCAAACCTGCTGCTCTGCCACTCTAGTGAATTTCTTTTATTATTATTATTATTATACTTTAAGTTTTAGGGTACATGTGCACAATGTGCAGGTTAGTTACATATGTATACATGTGACATGCTGGTGCGCTGCACCCACTAACTCGTAATCTAGCATTAGGTATATCTCCCAATGCTATCCCTTACCCCTCCCCCAACCCACAACAGTCCCCATAGTGTGATGTTCCCCTTCCTGTGTCCATGTGTTCTCATTGTTCAATTCCCACCTATGAGTGAGAATATGCAGTGTTTGGTTTTTTGTTCTTCCGATAGTTTACTGAGAATGATGATTTCCAATGTCATCCATGTCCCTACAAAGGACATGAACTCATCATTTTTTATGGCTGCATAGTATTCCATGGTGTATATGTGCCACATTTTCTTAATCCACTCTATCATTATTGGACATGTGGGTTGGCTCCAAGTCTTTGCTATTGTGAATAGTACCGCAATAAACATACGTGTGCATGTGTCTTTATAGCAGAATGATTTATAGTCCTTTGGGTATATACCCAGTAATGAGATGGCTGGGTCAAATGGTATTTCTAGTTCTAGATCCCTGAGGAATCACCACACCGACTTCCACAATGGTTGAACTAGTTTACAGTCCCACCAACAGTGTAAAAGTGTTCCTATTTCTCCACATCCTCTCCAGCACCTGTTGTTTCCTGACTTTTTAATGATCGCCATTCTAACTGGTGTGAGATGATATCTCATTGTGCTTTTGATTTGCATTTCTCTGCTGGCCAGTGATGGTGAGCATTTTTTCATGTGTTTTTTGGCTGCATAAATGTCTTCTTTAGAGAAGTGTCTGTTCATGTCCTTCGCCCACTTTTTGATGTGGTTGTTTGTTTTTTCCTTGTAAATTTGTTTGAGTTCATTGTAGATTCTGGATATTAGTCCTTTGTCAGATGAGTAGGTTGCGAAAATTTTCTCCCATTTTGTGGGTTGCCTGTTCATTCTGATGGTAGTTTCTTTTGCTGTGCAGAAGCTCTTTAGTTGAATTAGATCCCATTTGTCAATTTTGGCTTTTGTTGCCATTGCTTTTGGTGTTTTAGACATGAAGTCCTTGCCCATGCCTATGTCCTGAATGGTAATGCCTAGGTTTTCTTCTAGGGTTTTTATGGTTTTAGGTCTAACGTTTAACTCTTTAATCCATCTTGAATTGATTTTTGTATAAGGTGTAAGGAAGGGATCCAGTTTCAGCTTTCTACATCTGGCTAGCCAGTTTTCCCAGCACCATTTATTAAATAGGGAATCCTTTCCCAATTGCTTGTTTTTCTCAGGTTTGTCAAAGATCAGATAGTTGTAGATATGTGGCGTTATTTCTGAGGGCTCTGTTCTGTTCCATTGATCTATATCTCTGTTTTGGTTACTGTAGCCTTGTAGTATAGTTTGAAGTCAGGTAGCATGATGCCTCCAGCTTTGTTCTTTGGCTTAGGATTGACTTGGCGATGTGGGCTCTTTTTTGGTTCTATATGAACTTTAAAGTAGTTTTTTCCAATTCTGT
The DNA here is from genome assembly GCF_000001405.40 of Homo sapiens. NCBI lineage: Eukaryota > Metazoa > Chordata > Mammalia > Primates > Hominidae > Homo > Homo sapiens. Next base: position 74,716,577 of record NC_000023.11, on the reverse strand, counting down.
GAAGAAAGTCATTGGTAGCTTGATGGGGATGGCATTGAACCTATAAATTACCTTGGGCAGTATGGCCATTTTCACGATATTGATTCTTCCTACCCATGAGCATGGAATGTTCTTCCATTTGTTTGTATCGTCTTTTATTTCATTGAGCAGTGGTTTGTAGTTCTCCTTGAAGAGGTCCTTCACGTCCCTTGTAAGTTGGATTCCTAGGTATTTTATTCTCTTTGAAGCAATTGTGAATGGGATTTCACTCCTGATTTGGCTCTCTGTTTGTCTGTTATTGGTGTATAAGAATGCTTGTGATTTTTGTACATTGATTTTGTATCCTGAGACTTTGCTGAAGTAGCTTATCAGCTTGAGGAGATTTTGGGCTGAGATGATGGGGCTTTCTAGATATACAATCATGTCATCTGCAAACAGGGACAATTTGACTTCCTCTTTTCCTAATTGAATACCCTTTATTTCCTTCTCCGGCCTCATTGCCCTGGCCAGACCTTCCAACACTATGTTGAATAGGAGTGGTGAGAGACGGCATCCCTGTCTTGTGCCAGTTTTCAAAGGGAATGCTTCCAGTTTTTGCCCATTCAGTATGATATTGGCTGTGGGTTTGTCATAGATAGCTCTTATTATTTTCAGATATGTCCCATCAATACCAAATTTATTGATAGTTTTTAGCATGAAAGGCTGTTGAATTTTGTCAAAGGCCTTTTCTGCATCTATTGAGATAATCATGTGGTTTTTGTCTTTGGTTCTGTTCATATGCTGGATTACATTTATTGATTTTCATATGTTGAACCAGCCTTGCATCCCAGGGATGAAGCCCACTTGATCATGGTGGATAAGCTTTTTGATGTGCTGCTGGATTTAGTTTGCCAGTATTTTTTTTGAGGATTTTTGCATAAATGTTCATCAAGGATATTGGTCTAAAATTCTCTTTTTTGGTTGTGTCTCTGCCAGGCTTTGGTATCAGAATGATGCTGGCCTCATAAAATGAGTTAGGGAGGATTCCCTCTTTTTCTATTGATTGGAATAGTTTCAGAAGGAATGGTACCAGTTCCTCCTTGTACCTCTGGTAGAATTCCGCTGTGAATCCATCTGGTCTTGGACTCTTTTTGGTTGGTAAGCTATTGATTATTGCCACAATTTCAGCTCCTGTTATTGGTCTATTCAGAGATTCAACTTCTTCCTGGTTTAGTCTTGGAAGAGTGTATGTGTCGAGGAATTTATCCATTTTGTCTAGATTTTCTAGTTTATTTGCGTAGAGGTGTTTGTAGTATTCTCTGATGGTAGTTTGTATTTCTGTGGGATCAGTGGTGATATCCCCTTTATCATTTTTTATTGCGTCTATTTGATTCTTCTCTCTTTTTTTCTTTATTAGTCTTGCTACTGGTCTATCAATTTTGTTGATCCTTTCAAAAAACCAGCTCCTGGATTCATTAATTTTTTGAAGGGTTTTTTGTGTCTCTATTTCCTTCAGTTCTGCTCTGATCTTAGTTTTTTCTTCTCTTCTGCTAGCTTTTGAATGTGTTTGCTCTTGCTTTTCTAGTTCTTTTAATTGTGATGTTAGGGTGTCAATTTTGGATCTTTCCTGCTTTCTCTTGTAGGCATTTAGTGCTATAAATTTCCCTCTACACACTGCTTTGAATGTGTCCCAGAGATTCTGGTATGTTGTGTCTTTGTTCTCGTTGGTTTCAAAGAACATCTTTATTTCTGCCTTCATTTCATTATGTACCCAGTAGTCATTCAGGAGCAGGTTGTTCAGTTTCCATGTAGTTGAGTGGTTTTGAGTGAGTTTCTTAATCCTGAGTTCTAGTTTGATTGCACTGTGGTCTGAGAGATAGTTTGTTATAATTTCTGTTCTTTTACATTTGCTGAGGAGAGCTTTACTTCCAAGTATGTGGTCAATTTTGGAATAGGTGTGGTGTGGTGCTGAAAAAAATGTATATTCTGTGGATTTGGGGTGGAGAGTTCTGTAGATGTCTATTAGGTCTGCTTGGTGCACAGCTGAGTTCAATTCCTGAGTATCCTTGTTGACTTTCTGTCTTGTTGATCTGTCTAATATTGACAGTGGGGTGTTAAAGTCTCCCATTGTTATTGTGTGGGAGTCTAAATCTCTTTGTAGGTCACTCAGGACTTGCTTTATGAATCTGGGTGCTCCTGTATTGGGTGCATATATATTTAGGATAGTTAGCTCTTCTTGTTGTATTGATCCCTTTACCATTATGTAATGGCCTTCTTTGTCTCTTTTGATCTTTGTTGGTTTAAAGTCTGTTTTATCAGAGAATAGGATTGCAACCCCTGCCTTTTTTTGTTTTCCATTTGCTTGGTAGATCTTCCTCCATCCTTTTATTTTGAGCCTATGTGTGTCTCTGCATGTGAGATGGGTTTCCTGAATACAACACACAGATGGGTCTTGACTCTTTATCCAATTTGCCAGTCTGTGTCTTTTATTGGAGCATTTAGTCCATTTGCATTTAAAGTTAATATTGTTATGTGTGAATTTGATCCTGTCTTTATGATGTTAGCTGGTTATTTTGCTCGTTAGTTGATGCAGTTTCTTCCTAGTCTTGGTGGTCTTTACATTTTGGCATGATTTTGCAGCAGCTGGTACCGGTTGTTCCTTTCCATGTTTAGTGCTTCCTTCAGGAGCTCTTTTAGGGCAGGCCTGGTGGTGACAAAATCTCTCAGCATTTGCTTGTCTGTAAAGGATTTTATTTCTCCTTCACTTATGAAGCTTAGTTTGGCTGGATATGAAATTCTGGGTTGAAAATTCTTTTCTTTAAGAATGTTGAATATTGGTCCCCACTCTCTTCTGGCTTGTAGAGTTTCTGCTGAGAGATCCGCTCTTAGGCTGATGGGCTTCCCATTGTGGGTAACCCGACCTTTCTCTCTGGCTGCCCTTAACATTTTTTCCTTAATTTCAACTTTGGTGAATCTGACAATTATGTGTCTTGGAGTTGCTCTTCTCAAGGAGTATCTTTGTGGCATTCTCTGTATTTCCTGAATCTGAATGTTGGCCTGCCTTGCTAGATTGGGGAAGTTCTCCTGGATAAGGTCCTGCAGAGTGTTTTCCAACTTGGTTCCATTCTCCCCGTCACTTTCAGGTACTCTAATCAGATGTAGATTTGGTCTTTTTACATAGTCCCATATTTCTTGGAGGCTTTGTTCATTTCTTTTTATTCTTTTTTCTCTAAACTTCCCTTCTCGCTACATTTCATTCATTTCATCTTCCATCGCTGATACCCTTTCTTCCAGTTGATCGCATCGGCTCCTGAGGCTTCTGCATTCTTCACGTAGTTCTCGAGCCTTGGCTTTCAGCTCCATCAGCTCCTTTAAGCACTTCTCTGTATTGGTTATTCTAGTTATACATTCGTCTAAATTTTTTTCGAAGTTTTTAACTTCTTTGCCTTTGGTTTGAATTTCCTCCTGTAGCTCATAGTTTGATCATCTGAAGCCTTCTTCTCTCAACTCATCAAAGTCATTCTCCGTCCAGCTTTGTTCCATTGCTGGTGAGGAACTGCGATCCTTTGGAGGAGGAGAGGTGCTCTGCTTTTTAGAGTTTCCAGTTTTTCTGCTCTGTTTTTTCCCCATCTTTGTGGTTTTATCTACTTTTGGTCTTTGATGATGGTGATGTACAGATGGGTTTTTGGTGTGGAAGTCCTCTCTGTTTGTTAGTTTTCCTTCTAACAGACAGGACCCTCAGCTGCAGGTCTGTTGGAGTTTGCTAGAGGTCCACTCCAGACCCTGTTTGCCGGGGTATCAGCAGCGGTGTCTGCCAAACAGTGGTTTTTCGTGACCCGCGAATGCTGCTGTCTGATCATTCCTCTGGAAGTTTTGTCTCAGAGGAGTACCCAGCCATGTGAGGTGTCAGTTCTAGTGAATTTCTTTATTCAGTTATTTGACTTTTCAATTCCAGAATTTCCATTTGGCTCCTTTTTTCTAATTTCCAACTCTTTATTGATAGTCTCTATTTTATGAATCATTGTAGTAATAATTTCCCTTAACTTTTTTATTTTTTTCTTTGTTTTTTTTTTTTTTAATGGAGTCTCACTCTGTCGCCAGACTGGAATGCAGTGGTGCAATTCCCCTAACTTTTAAAGCACGGCTTCCTTTACTTCTTTGAACATATTTATAAAAACATACTTGAAGTCTTTTTTAACTAAGTTCAACATATGGTCTCCTTTAGAGACAGTTTCTGTTCGTAGATTTTTATTTCTGTGTATGGGCCACACTTTCTTATTTCTTTGCATGTCTCATAAATTTTTGTTGACAACTGAATATATTTTAGATAAAATATTGTAGCAACTATCGATTATGTTCTCCCCACGCCTCCCAGTGATTGCTGTTGCTACTGGAGGATCTTGTTGTTAATGTTGTTATTTTTTGTTTGTATATTTAATGATTTGCCTGGACTAAATATACAGTACTTGTCTTCCCTCCAATGTGCAACCACTGAATTGTCTAATCTGTTGTTTTTCTTAATTGTTTTTATTTTTAAGCTTGGCTTCTGCTATGGTCTGCATGTTTGTGTACACCCAAAATTTATATGCTGAAACCTAACCCCCAAGATGATAGTATTAAGAGATGAGGACATTGAGGTGATTAGGTCATGAGAGCTCCACTCTCATGATTGTGATTGGTGCCCTTATAAAAGAGGCTTACAGGAGCCCTTTTGCCTTCCTGCCATGTGAGGACACTGTGAAAGGACACAGTGAGAAGGTGCCATTTTTGAAGCAGAGAGTGACCCCTCACCAGTCTTCAAATCCACTGGTCACTTGATCTTGGATTTCCCAGCCTCTGAAACTGTGAATAATAAATTTCTGTTGTTGATAAATTACCCAGTCTGTGGCATTTTTGTTATGCATTTTGTTTCATGGCGTTTTTGTCACAATTGCCCAAATAGACTAAGACAGCTTCCTAGGAATCATCCCTGGATCAGCATTGCTTACTAGCCAACAAATATTGGTCAATGTTAAACAGGTTGTACTTGAAGACCTTGAGCGAATAAAGCTTCCACTTTTTGCTGAGATGATTTTGGGGTTGGGGCATGCATTCAAAGTTAATCCAGTTAATTGAGCTGCCTTGGCTTTTACTTTCTGCTTATGCAGAGCCTCTCCATCATTTGGGTGTGAGTAGATTACTAGGGCCCTCTCTGGTCTTTGCTCAGTATGTTCTTAGCCCTGCACATGCACACAGACTTCCGGATTCTTCAAGAATATGACAGCCTTTTCAAAACCTTCTAAAGTTGTCTCATTCCCCAGATCTCCACTTATCATTTTTGGTTGGTCTCTAGTTTGCTCAACCAGTATCATAGCCTCAGACAGCTATGGCATTAGCCTTTAATTTTTTGGCACTGGTCACTATTGTTTTCAATAATATCCCTGGGCATTTGGACTTCAGCAGAGCTCCAAGTCAGATCAGCCACCTCCAGCCAGTAGCCAAGCTAATTGTCTTCATAAATACTGCAGCACAGAATTAGGTAGGTGGGGTAGGGGGAGGAGGGATGGGAGCAACCTCAACTTAAAAAAAATCCCACTGTTTTTACTGAGATTCAGTAGTTTTTCTTGAATAAATGCTTTTCAATTTACTGTGTCCCTCTGCTTAATGTTCAGAGTTCTGAAATTGTTGTTTCAATAATTTTACCAGTTTATTACTGCTTTTTTTGAGATGGGTTCTCACTCTGCCATCCAGGCTAGGGTGCAGTGGCACAGTCATAGCTCACTATAACCTTGACCTCCTGACCTCAAGAAATCCTTTTTCCTCAGCCTTCCAAAGCACTGGGATTACAGGCATGAGCCACCATGCCCAGCCTATCATTGTTTTTGCAGGTGGTTAATTTGCCAAGGTCTTCACTCTGCCTGAATTATAGGTTTTGTTTCATTTGCAGTTTTTAAAATCTTGTTATTCCTCTTCCTCAAAAAATTTATTTTTAATTGACAGATAAAATTATATGCATTTATTGTGTACAACATGATGTTTTGAAGTATATATGTGTTATGGAATGGCTAAATCTAACTAATTAACATATGCATTACCTCATTTGATTATCATTTTGTGGTAAAAACACTTAACATTCACACTCTAAACATTTTTCAAGAATACACTATTGATGCTATGAGCCATACCTTAGACTTATCTAGCATTTCTCCAATGGCGTGGTATAGTGCTGAACATAGAACAGACGTGACTGGAAGGCTTTTTGATCACTAGAAAGCTACCATAGATTATTCCATCCAATGAGGAATTGATACATTTCACTGCACAAATAATTGCAAAGAAATGCAGAAATAATGTCTGACTAAATGTTCTGATGCACAGCCTGGGATATGAACCACAATTTTGTATGTTATGTTTGTGGTCTGCTTTAGAGTTTTCAATGCACTTTCTTATCCATGATCTCACTGATGCTTAAGACAACTCAGTGAAACAGGCAGGGGAAGTATATATCTCTGTTTTATATTTGAGGAAAATTTAGAAGGCCTAGCTATATAAAATTAGTGTTAGAACTAGGGTGTGAAATCATGTTTTTTATCTCCTCGTCTCTCTGATTAGTCACTTTCCCATAAACGTGACAATCACACAAGTTCCAATGTAAATATGATAATCATAACAAATACTACTAATAATAATTTAACAAGAATATAAAATGTTATCACTTACGTTTTCTTGAACTTCACAGAGAACCTAAAGACCAGTACAAATAAATGTCAAATATATTCCTGTTAGGGTGGACTAGGTTCTGCTATAAAAACAACCCCAAAATATGAGTGGTTGACACACAAAACTATATTTCTTATTCACACAACATTACCAATGCATATCAGCAAGGACACCCTGCTCATCCTTGTCATTTAGAGTCCCAGGCTTATGGAGGATACATTTCAACATACAACAGTGACTTGTAAAGCTTCTGGCTAAGGAGTTCTAGGTTACAGTGAGCTATGATCAGGCCACTGCACTCCAGCCTGGGTGACAGAGCAAGACCTTGTCTCTAAAATAAATACATAATAAAGTTTCTGGCCAAAAGCTTTTCACTCACATTTCGTTGGACAAAACAAGTCACTTGGCTTTATCTGACTTCATTGTAGGCAAAGATATGTAATCCCATTCTGTGCCAAGAAGGAGGAAAGATCTGGTGAAGAATATGAATGACTATTACCACCACCGCAAATATCCTTAAGTGAAATGCCAAGCCACCCAAAAAGACATGCTAAGAGAATGATGAAACAGAATTAGACCATCACTCAACTCCCATGTATTTAAGGAGTTGAGGTTGGAGAGTCATAGGTGGAGGATTTCTTTGGAGAATTGTTGGTGTACTGAGTGTTTCCCCTCTCTGTCTCTCATGAGGGATCAGATGGGATATTTTTTCTCACCTCAGCCAAGCGAGAGGGGACTCAAAGTGTGGAGCATTTCAAAAACAATTATCCCCTGGGGTGCAGAAAACATAAGGACTCGTATTTAAAATTCACACATGGGAGGACTAGAGGTGCAGGGCCATGGTTGCACTGCCTGTTCGACAGCAGAGCTGAAAAGCGTGATTTTCCAGGAAACAGACATTGTCCAGGAGTTAGGGAGCTAGACGGCAATCACTTTTAAAAGTAATAATGCCCAAGAGAGGTGAAATAAGCCCAAAAGAGCATTTATGTGGAATGGACTGAGGCTGAGGGAGGGAGTAAGAAGTGGGCAGCCTGAGAATAGTCACTGCCATCAGGGGTGCTAGTCAGAGATTCTTACTGGGAGGCTCTCTAAGAAATACACAAGGCCGGGTGCAGAGACTCAAGCCTGTAATCCCAGCACTTTGGGAGGCCGAGGCAGGTGAATCACGAGGTCAGGAGGTCGAGACCAGCCTGGCCAACATGATGAAACCCCGTCTCTTTTAAAAATACAAAAATTAGCTGGTCATGGTGGCACACGCCTGTAATCCCAGATACTCAGGAGGCTGAGGCAGGAGAATTGCTTGAATCTAGGAGCAGAGGTTGCAGTGAGCCGAGATTGTGCCACTGCACTCCAGCCTGGACAACAGAGTGAGACTCTGTCTCAAAAATATATATATATAATAAAATAAAATAAAATAAAACACAAAAGTGGCCCTTGAGAGACAAATATGACCAGTAAGCTGTTTTACAAGCTTCATACTAAGTCCTCTACATATTATCAGTTAATTTCTCACACCTTATGAGTTCAGGACTGTTATTATCTCTATTTTACAGATGTTGAAACCGAGGTATAGAGAGGTTAAGTAACCTGTCTAGGGTCACAAAGATAATAAATGACAGAGCCAGGATTTGAGCTAAGACTGTCCAATTACATAGCATAGCACCTAACTATCTAATCATCCTGCCCACCTTCTATGATGATAGCCCATGTGTGTCACCAATGAGCAATTAAGAGCTCTGCAAAGACTCATTTTGACTAGGTGATCCGACTTTAACCAAGATGGTCTGGGAGGATGAATCAAAAGCTAGATCTGGGGAATCAAGAAACACACATTTTAGGAGGCTCTGGTAACTTTTATTATAGTGTGGTATTACAAAAATTATTTTCTTACTACCTTTCACCTGGAAAATGAAATAAAATAGCCTTGTAATAAACAGTACAGGCCTTAATAAATTATGGTTGACTTGGATTGAAATGAATTATTTAAAAGAAAAACAACATAGATTACTCTAAGTCCTGAAGTACTTAGTTATACATGGGTCTGAAGTGTTACACACACACACATACATACACACAAATACCCCATACATAATACATGACATAATGTACAAGATGCATGGTATAGCATATGATCTGTCATTAATTTCATGACCACAATACCAAATGCATACTTAATATTGCCCTACTCCATTCCTAGCAATCCACTATATTCCCCTAATAAATTTTTTTCTCCCATACTCCAAAATAATTATCTCACTTTATCTTCTCTTCTCAAACTTCCTCTCCCCCTCCCCTTATCACTCCCAACTCATAAACTGACTTTCAGAGAACTGAAGGACAGTAATAAAATATACAATATGCATATCATTACAGTCTCAGAGGAGAGAAATAGAGAGTAGGGTGTTTTACTTCCCAGCAGCCAAAACCTGTATTAGCTTCCTAGGACTGACATAACAAAGTACCACAGACTGTGTGCCTTGAAACAACAGAAACTTATTATGTCACAGTTTTGGAGGCTGGAAGTTCAAAATCAAGGTGTTGGCAAGGTCATATTCCCTTTGATTTGGATAGGGGAGAATCCTTCCTTGTCTCTTCCTGGCTACCGATGATTTTCTGGACTCTGGTGTTCCTTGGCTTGTAACTACAGCACTTAAATCCCCGTCTTCATATCACATGGCATTCTCCCTGTGTGTGTCTCTGTCTCTGTGTCTCTCTTCTGTTCTTCTAAGGACACTAATTATATTAGATTAAGGGTCCAGCGTACTCCAATATAACCTCATCTACAATGACCCTATTTCCAAATATGGTCACATTCTGAGGTACTGGGAGTTAGTATTTCAACATTTGGAGAGGGGAAACAATTCAACCCATAACTTATATGATGATTATAAAAAAATACTCCATCTGATACTCCAGACAATATTTTAAAGCAAGTACAATACAGAGACCTAAATGGAAGTAAAGTTTCCACATTTCACTCAAGGTGGTAAAACTTTGCTACCAGACAGCTGTAATAAATCTCATAAGTATATTGCAATGCCCAGAGCAACCACTAAGAGGGCTATGCAAATTAATATGCTCAAAAATGTGGTAAATAAATTAAGATAAAATTTTGGAAATTGGTCAAGTAACCTCCAGTAGAGCAAGAAGAGAGAGACTAAGAGGAACAAGAAACAGTGTAAATAAACAGAAAACAAATAATAAAATGGAAGACTTCTTAAGCATTAACAAATCAACACCTTAAATGTAAATAGTCTAAACACACACTACTCAAAAAGCAAAGATTGTCCAAATAAATCTGAAAAAACAAAAACAAACAAACCATACACAACCCAACCATGTGCTGGTTACTAACAACTCATTTCAAATTCAATTGCATAGATATGTTAAAAGAAAATGATGGAAAGAAATATACCATGCAAGCATTAATTCTTAAAATAGGAGAAGTAGATACAAAAATGATGAAGTAGACTTCAGAGACAAAGAAAATCTTTATATATGATAATAAAATCAATTCACCAACAAGACTTAATGATCCCAAAAGTATACACATCAAAACCAGCCTCAAAATTTATTAGGAAAAAATTTATAGAGCTAAAAGGGGAGATAGACAAATCCACAATTATAATTAGGGATTTCAACAATTCAACTTGTAGAAATTGATAGAACTACTACACAGAAAATCAGCAGGGATGTAGAACTAGCAACAAGATCTAATTAGCATATATAGGAAGTTTTACCCGACAACAGAACAATACATATTTTTTAAGTGCTCATGAATCATTCACCAAGATAGACTATGTTACGGGCCATAAAACAAATTTCAACAAATTTTAAAGGATTGAAATCATAGAGAGTGTGTTCTCTAACCTTAATGGAATCAAATGAGAAATCAATAATAGAAGGACAACAGGAAAATATTTTAATGTGAGGAAATTAAACACACATCTAAATAATCCACAAGTCAAAGAGAAAGTCTTGAAAGAAAATAAAATACATAAAACTCAGTGCAAATGAAAATACGAAGTATCAAAATATGTGGAATGCAGCTAAAGCAGTGGTAAGAGGAGAAATTTATAGCAGTAAATTCTTACATTAGAAAATGGGCAGGAAGAGAACAAGATGGTCGAATAGAAGCATTCACCAATTGTCCCCCTTCGAGGACACAAATTTAACAACTATCTATACACAAGAAAAGTACTTTCATAACAACCAAAAATCAGATGACAATCAAAGTACTTGGCTTTAACTTCAAATGGCTCAAAAAGGCACTGAGGAGGGTAGGAGACAGTCTTTAATCACTGCTATCACCCATCTCCTATGCCCTGGCAGCAGCCATGCAGTGGAGAAAGAATCTGTGTGCTTGGGAGAGTGCAGCAATTGCCAGATATTGCATTTACCTCAATGGTGCTCTGTCATAGCAGAAGGCAAAACTGGGCAGAACCCAGCGGACACTCGCCCACAGAGGGATTATTTAAAGCAGCCTTAGCCAGAAGGGAATCACCCAACCCAGTGATGGGAACTTGAGTTCTGGCAAGCCTTGCCACCACAGGCTAAAATGCTTTGAGGCTCTAAATAAACTTGAAAGTCAGTCTAGGCCACAAGGACTACAACTGCTAGGTGAATCCTAGTGAAGAACTGGGCTCAGAGTCAGCGAACTGAGGGGGCACATGACCTAATGAGATGCCAGCCGAGGCAGCTAAGGGAGCACTTGAGCCACCCTTCCTTCAACCCCAGGCTTCATAGTTCGGGGCTCCAAAGGAGACACCCTTCCTTCTGCTTAAGGAGAGGAGACAGAATAGTAAAGAGAACTTTTTCATGCATCTTGGATATCAGCTCAACCACAGTAGGATAGGGCACCCGTCAGAGTCCTGAGGCCTCCTTCACAGATCCTAACTCCTGGACAATATTTCTAGACACACCCTCAGCCAGAAAGGAACCCACTTCTTTGAAGGGAAGAACCCAGTCCTGATAAGACCTATCACCTATTGACTAAAGAGCCCTTGGGTCCTGAATAACTAGCAGCAATACCCAAGTAGTATGCTATGGGACTTGGGTAAGACTCTGAGACTTGATGGCTTCAAGTGACACTCAACACATTCCCAGCTGTAGTAGCTACAGGTAGAGACTCCTTCTGCATGAGAAAAGTGGAGAGAAAAGTAAAGGGAACTTTGTCTTACACCTTAGGCACCAGCTTGGCCACAGGGGGATAGACCACCAAGCTGGCTCTTGGCATCCCTAGAACCAGGACTTGGCTCTTGAACAGCACTTCTGGACCTGATCTGGGACAGAGGGGAGCCCACTTCCCTGAAGGGTGAGTCCTAGGCCAGGCAGCATTCACCACAGCTGACTGAAGAGCCCTTGAGCCTTAAGGGAACATTAGCGGTAGCCTTGCAATACTCCCTGTGTGTTTGTGGGGGAAATGGCCATGGGGAGAGGCATCTTTGCCTGTGGAAAAAGAAGAAAAGAGTGGGAAAAATTGTAACTCCTGGTTTAAGTGTCAGCTCAGCTTCAGTACAGTAGAACAACCGGCAGACTTCTAAGGCTTTTGACTCTAGCCCCTGGCTCCCTGAAGGTACCTCTGGACATATCCAGGGCCTGGGGGAACTCACCACCTTGAAGGGGAGGACACAACCCTAGCTGGCTTTGCCACCTGGTGATTGTAGAGCCCTAGGGCCATAGGTGAACATAAGCAGTAGCTAGGTAGTTGTTACAGCAGGTGTTGGGCAAGACCGAGTGCTGTGCTGACTTCAGGTCTGACCCAGAACAGTCATAGTGGTTGTGGCCACAGAGATGCTAGTGTCATGCCACTCCCACCTCCAGGTGATTCAGAAAAGAGAGAGAAAGAGACTGTTTGGTAGAAAGTAAGGGAAGAGAGCAAGAGTCTTTGCCTGATAATCCAAAGAGATCCTCTGGATCTTGTTCAAGACCATTAAGGAGGTTCCTCTAAAAGTCTGCAAGAACCACAGCATTACTGGACTTAGGTGCCCCTATGCAGATATGGCTTACATCACTATACCCAAGTCCTTTCAAATCCACGGAAAGACTTTTAAAAACCCAGACTGCAATGAATACAATAAATATCTAACTCTTTCATGCCTAGACACAGACAAACATCCACAAGCATAGTGACATCCAGGAAAACATGACCGCCCCAAATGAAATAAGGAAGGCACCAGGGGCCAATTTTGGAGCAATAGAGATATGTGACCTTTCAGCTAGACAATTCAAAATACCTGTTTTGAGAAAATTCAAAGAAGTACAAGATAACACTGAGAAGAAATTCAGAATTCTATCACATAAATTTAACAAAAATATTGAAATAATTAAAAAGAATCAAGCAGTAATTCTGGGTTTGAAAAATGCAGTTGACATACAGAAGAATGCATCAGAGTCTTTTAATAACAGAATGGATCAAGCAGAACGAAGAATTAGTGAGCCTGAAGACAGGCTATTTGAAAATACATAGAGGAGACAAAAGAAAAAAAGAATAAAAAACAATAAAGCATGCCTACAGCATCTAGTAGATACCCTAAAAAGGAAAAATCTAAGATATATTGGCCTTAAAGAGAAGGTAAAGAAGAGATAGGGGTAGAAAATTTATGCAAATGCAAAATAACAATGTTGCAAACCTAGAGAAAGATATCAATATCCATGTACAAGAACATTATAGAACACCAAGCAGATTCAACCCAAAGAAGGCTATTTCAAGACATTTAATAATCAAACTCCCACAGGTCAAGGATAAAGAAAGGATCCTAAAAGCAGTAAGAGAAAAGAAACGAATAACATAAAATGAAGCTCCAATATGTCTGTTAGCAGACTTCTCTGTGGAAACCTTACAGGCCAGGAGAGAGTGGCATGAAATATTAAAAGTGTCAAAGGATAAAACATTTATTCTAGAATAGTATATCTGGCAACAATATCCTTTAAACATGAAGGAGAAATAAAGGCTTTCCCAGACACACACACACACACACACACAAAAGCTGAGGGATTTTATCAACACCAGACCTGTTCTACAAGAAATGCAAAAGGGAATACTTCAATCAGGAAGAAAAGAATTTTAATGACCAATGAACAGTCATCTAACATACAAAACTCATTTGTAATAATAACTACAGAAAAATGGAATAACACTCTAACTGTGGTGCTTGTATCTTAAATAGAAAGACTAAACAATGAACCAATCAAAAATAATAACTACAACTTTTGAAGACATAAAAGTACAATAAAATATAAATAGAAACAACAAAAAGTTAAAAGGTAAAGGGATAAAGTTAAAAAGTGTAGAGTTTTTATTAGTTTTTCTTTTCCTTTATTTATGCAAACAGTATTAAGTTATCAGCTTAAAATAATGGGTTATAAGATAGTATTTGAAGCCTCATGGTAACCTCAAACCAAAAAACGTACAACAGATACATAAAAAATAAAAAACAAAAAATTAAAACATACCAGTAGAGAAAAATTACATTCACTAAAAGGAAGACAGGCAGAAAGGAAAGAAGGAAGAGACCACAAAACAACCAGAAAAAAAAAAATTAACAAAATGGCAGAAGTAAGTTCTTACTTATCAATAATAACATTGAATAAATGAACTAAATGCTCCAGTCAAAACACCTAGACTGGCTGAATAGATAAGACAACAAGACCCAATTATCTGTAACCAAGAAGAAACACACTTCACCTATAGAGATACACATAGACTGAAAATAAAGGAGTGGAAAAATACGTTTTATGCTAATGGAAACCAAAAAGAGCAGGAGTAACTATACTTATATCAGAAAAAAACAGATGTTAAGACAAAAACTGTAAGAAGAGACAAAGGTCACCATACAATGATAAAGAAGTCAATTTAACAATTAACATTTTTAATTTTAACAATTTAACAATGTATTTTCAAAGAGCCTGTCTTTAGGCTCACTAATTCTTTATTCTGCTTGATCCATTCTGCTATTAAAAGACACTGTCCCTTTTTTAGAAGAAAAACAGAAAAAAATAAAGAAACATTTAAAAAGACTCTGATGCATTCTTCTGTGTGTCAATTGCATTTTTCTTTCGTTTTATTACACTTTAAGGTCTAGGGTACATGTGCACAACGTGCAGGTTTCATACATAGGTATACATGTGCCATGTTGGTTTGCTGCACCCATCAACTCATCATTTAAATTAGGTATTTCTCCTAATGCTATCCCTTCCCCAGCCCCCGATCCTATGACAGGCCCCAGTGTGTGATGTTCCCCACCCTGTGTCCAAGTGATCTTACTGTTCAATTCCCACCTATGAGTGAGAACATGCGGTGTTTGGTTTTCTGTCCTTCTGATAGTTTGCTTAGAATGATGGTTTCCAGCTTCATCCATCTCCTGCAAAGGACATGAACTCATCCTTTTTCATGACTGCATAGTATTCCATGGTGTACATGTGCCACATTTTCTTAAACCAGTCTATCATTGATGGACATTTGGGTTGGTTCCAAGTCTTTGCTATTGTGAATAGTGCCACAATAAACATATGTATGCATGTGTCTTTATAGTAGCATGATTTATAATCCTTTGGGTATATACTCAGTTATGGGATTGCTGGGTCAAATGGAATTTCTAGTTCTAGATCCTTGAGGGAGCACCACACTGTCTTCCAGAATGGTTGAACTAATTTACACTCACACCAACAGTGTAAAAGCGTTTCTATTTCTCCACATCCTCTCCAGCATCTGTTGTTTCCTGACTTTTTAATGATTGTCATTCTAACTGGCGTGAGATGGTATCTCATTGTGGTTTTGAGTTGCATTTCTCTGATGGCCAGTGACGATGAGCATTTTTTCATGTGTCTGTTGGCTGCATACATGTCTTCTTTAGAGAAGTGTCTGTTCATATCCTTTGCCCACTTTTTGATGGGTTTGTTTTTTTCTTGTAAATTTGTTTGAGTTCTTTGCAGATTCTAGACATTAGCCCTTTGTCAGATGGGTAGATTGCAAAACTTTTCTCCCATTCTATAGGTTACCTGTTCACTCTGATGGTAGTTTCTTTTGCCATTCAGAAGCTCTTTAGTTTAATTAGATCCCATTTATCTATTTTGGCTTTTGTTGCCATTGCTTCTGGTGTTTTAGTCATGAAGTCCTTCCCCGTGCCTATGTCCTGAATGGTATTGCCTAGGTTTTCTTCTAGGGTTTTTATGGTTTTAGGTCTAACTTTTAAGTTTTTAAACCATCTTGAATCAATTTTTATATAAGGCATAAGGAAGGGATCCAGTTTCAGCTTTCTACATCTGGCTAGCCAGTTTTCCCAGCACCATTTATTAAATAGGGAATCCTTTCCCCATTGCTTGTTTTTCTCAGGTTTGTCAAAGATCAGATAGTTGTAGATGTGTGGTGTTATTTCTGAAGCCTCTGTTCTGTTCCATTGGTCTATATCTCTGTTTTGGTACCAGTACCGTGCTGTTTTGGTTACTGTAGCCTTGTAGTATAGTTTGAAGTCAGGTACCATGATGACTCCAGCTTTGTTCTTTTGGCTTAGGATTGACTTGGTGATGCAGGCTCTTTTTTGGTTCCATATGAACTTTAAAGTAGTTGTTTCCAATTCTGTGAAGAAAGTCATTGGCAGCTTGATGGTGATGGCATTGAATCTATAAATTACCTTGGGCAGTATGGCCATTTTCACGATATTGATTCTTCCTACTCATGAGCATGGAATGTTCTTCCATTTGTTTGTATCGTCTTTTATTTCATTGAGCAGTGGTTTGTAGTTCTCCTTGAAGAGGTCCTTCACATCCCTTGTAAGTTGGATTCCTAGGTATTCTATTCTCTTTGAAGCAATTGTGAATGGGAGTTCACTCCTGATTTGGCTCTCTGTTTGTCTGTTATTGGTGTATAAGAATGCTTGTGATTTTTGTACATTGATTTTGTATCCTGAGACTTTGCTGAAGTAGCTTATCAGCTTGAGGAGATTTTGGGCTGAGACGATGGGGCTTTCTAGATATACAATCATGTCATCTGCAAACAGGGACAATCTGACTTCCTCTTTTCCTAATTGAATGCCCTTTATTTCCTTCTCCTGCCTGATTGCCGTGGCCAGAACTTCCAACACTATGTTGAATAGGAGTGGTGAGAGAGGGCATCCCTGTCTTGTGCCAGTTTTCAAAGGGAATGCTTCCAGTCTTTGCCCATTCAGTATGATATTGGCTGTGGGTTTGTCATAGATAGCTCTTATTATTTTCAGATACGTCCCATCAATACCTAATTTATTGAGAGTTTTTAGCATGAATGGTTGTTGAATTTTGTCAAAGACCTTTTCTGCATCTATTGAGATAATCATGTGGTTTTTGTCTTTGGTTCTGTTTATATGCTTGATTACATTTATTGATTTGTATATGTTGAACCAGCCTTGCATCCCAGAGATGAAGCCCACTTGATCATGGTGGATAAGCTTTTTGATGTGCTGCTGGATTCCGTTTGCCAATATTTTATTGAGGATTTTTGCATAAATGTTCATCAAGGATATTGGTCTAAAATTCTCTTTATTGGTTGTGTCTCTGCCAGGCTTTGGTATCAGGATGATGCTGGCCTCATAAAATGAGTTAGGGAGGATTCCCTCTTTTTCTATTGATTGGAATAGTTTCAGAAGGAATGGTACCAGTTCCTCCTTGTACCTCTGGTAGAATTCGGCTGTGAATCCATCTGGTCCTGGACTTTTTTTGGTTGGTAAGCTATTGATTATTGCCTCAATTTCAGAGCCTGTTATTGGTCTATTCAGAGATTCAAGTTCTTCCTGGTTTAGTCTTGGGAGGATGTATGTGTCGAGGAATTTATCCATTTCTTCTAGATTTTCTAGTTTATTTGCATAGAGCTGTTTATAGTAGTCTCTGATGGTAGTGTGTATTTCTGTGGGATCGGTGGTGATATCCCCTTTATCATTTTTTATTGCGTCTATTTGATTCTTCTCTCTTCTTCTTTATTAGTCTTGCTAGCGGTCTATCAATTTTGTTGATCTTTTCAGAAAACCAGCTCCTGGATTCATTAATATTTTGAAGTGATTTTTGTGTCTCTATTTCCTTCAGTTCTGCTCTGATCTTAGTTATTTCTTGCCTTCTGCTAGCTTTTGAATGTGTTTGCTCTTGCTTTTCTAGTTCTTTTAATTGTGATGTTAGGGTGTCAATTTGAGATCTTTCCTGCTTTCTCTTGTGGGCAGTTAGTGCTATAAATTTCCCTCTACACACTGCTTTGAATGTGTCCCAGAGATTCTGGTATGTTGTGTCTTTGTTCTCGTTGGTTTCAAAGAACATCTTTATTTATGACTTCATTTCGTTATTTACCCAGTAGTCATTCAGGAGCAGGTTGTTCAGTTTCCATATAGTTGAGCGGTTTTGAGTGAGTTTCTTAATCCTGCGTTCTAGTTTGATTGCACTGTGGTCTGAGAGACAGTTTGTTATAATTTCTGTTCTTTTACATTTGCTGAGGAGTGCTTTACTTCCAACTATGTGGTCAATTTTGGAATAGGTGTGATGTGGTGCTGAAAAGAATGTATATTCTGTTGATTTGGGGTGGAGAGTTCTGTAGATGTCTATTAGGTCTGCTTGGTGCACAGCTGAGTTCAAGTCCTGGATATCCTTGTTAACCTTCTGTCTCGTTGATCTGCCTAATGTTGACAGTGGGGTGTTAAAGTCTCCCATTATTATTGTGTGGGAGTCTAAGTCTCTTTGTTGGTCTCTAAGGACTTGCTTTATGAATCTGGGTGCTCCTGTATTGGGTGCATATATATTTAGGATAGTTAGCTCTTCTTGTTGAATTGATCCCTTTACCATTATGTAATGGCCTTCTTTGTCTCTTTTGATCTTTGTTGGTTTAAAGTCTGTCTTATCAGAGACTAGGATTGCAACCCCTGCTTTTTTTTACTTTCCATTTGCTTGGTAGATCTTCCTCCATCCCTTTATTTTGCGCCTATGTGGGTCTTTGCATTTGAGATGGGTGTCCTTAATACAGCACACTGATGGGTCTTGACTCTTTATCCAATTTGCCAATCTGTGTCTTTTAATTTGGGCATTTATCCCATTTACATTTAAGGTTAATATTGTTATGTGTGAATTTGATCCCGTCATTATGATGTTAGCTGGTTATTTTGCCCATTAATTGATGCAGTTTCTTTTTAGCCTTGATGGTCTTTACAATTTGGCATGTTTTTGCAGTGGCTGGTACTGGTTGTTTCTTTTCATGCTTATTGCTTCCTTCAGGAGCTCTTGTAAGGCTGGCGTGGTAGTGATAAAATCTCTCAGCATTTGCTTGTCTGTAAAGGATTTTATTTCTCCTTCACTTATGAAGCTTAGTTTGGCTGGATATGAAATTCTGGATTGAAAATTCTTTTCCTTAAGAATGTTGAATATTGGCCCCCACTCTCTTTTGGCTTGTAAGGTTTCTGCAGAGAGATCTGCTGTTATTCTGATGGGCTTCCCTTTGTGGGTAACCCGACCTTTCTCTCTGGCTGCCCTTAACATTTTTTCCTTCATTCCAACCTTGGTGAATCTGACCATTATGTATCTTGGGGTTCTTCTTCTCGAGGAGTATCTTTGTGGTGCTCTCCGTATTTCCTGAATTTGAATGTTGGCCTGTCTTTCTATGTTGGGGAAGTTCTCCTGAATAATATCCTGAAGAGTGTTTTCCAACTTGGTTCCATTCTCCCCATCACTTTCAGGTACACCAATCAAATGTAGATTTTGTCTTTTCACATAGTCCCATATTTCCTGGAGGCTTTGTTTATTTCTTTTTACTCTTTTTTCTCTAACCTTGTCTTCTCACTTTATTTCATTAATTTGATCTTCAATCACTGATATCCTTTCTTCCAATTGATCGAATTGGTTATTGAAGCTTGTGCATGTGTCACGAATTTCTCGTGCCATGGTTTTCAGCTCCATTAGATCATTTAAGGTCTTCTCTACACTGTTTATTCTAGTTAGCCATTCATCTAACCTTTTTTCAGTTTCTTAGCTTCTTTGCGACGTGTTTGAACATGCTCCTTTAATTCGGAGAAGTTTGTTATTACCAACCTTCTGAAGCCTACTTCTGTCAACTCGTCAAAGTCATTCTCCGTCCAGCTTTGTTCTGTTGCTGGCAAGGAGCTGCAATCCTTTGGAGGAGAAGAGGAGCTCTGGTTTTTAGAATTTCCAGCTTTTCTGCTCTGGTTTCTCCCTATTTTTGTGGTTTTATCTACCTTTGGTCTTTGATGTTGGTGACCTACAGATGGGGTTTTGGTGTGGATGTCCCTTTTGTTGACGTTGATGCTATTCCTTTCTGTTTGTTAGTTTTCTTTCTAACAGTCAGGTCCCTCAGCTGCAGGTCTGTTGGAGTTTGCTGGAGTTCCACTCCAGATCCTGTTTGCCTGGGTAGCACCAGTGGAGGCTGCAGAACAGTAAATATTTCAGAACAGCTAATATTGCTGCCTGATCCTTCCTCTGGAACCTTTGTCCCAGAGGGGCACCTGCCTATATGAGGTGTCTGTAGTCCCCTACTGGGAGATGTCTCCCAGTTAGGCTACACGGGGGTCAGGGACCCTCTTGAGGAGGCAGTCTGTCTATTCTCAGAGCTCAAACACCATATTGGGAGAACCACTGCTCTCTTCAAAGCTGTCAGACAGGGAGGTTTAAGTCTGCAGAAGTTGTCTGCTACCTTTTGTTCAGCTAAGCCCTGCCCACAGAGGTGGAGTCTAGAGGCATTAGGCCTTGCTGAGCTGTGGTGACCTCTGCCCAGTTTGAGCTTCCTGGCTGCTTTGTTTACCTACTCAAGCCTCAGCAATGGCAGATGCCCCTCCCCCAGCCAGGCTGCCATCTTGCAGTTCAATCTCAGACTGCTGCACTAGCAGTGAGCAAGGCTCCATGGGCATAGGACCTGCTGAGCTGGGCATGGGAGAGAATCTCCTTGTCTGCTGGTTGCTAAGACCTTGGGAAAAGTGCAGTATTTGGGTGGGAGTGTCCCATTTTTCCAGGTATAATCATTTTCCTTGGCTAGGAAAAGGAAATCCCCTGACCCCTTGTGGTTCCTGGGTGAGGCAATGCCCCGCCCTGCTTCAGCTCACCCTCAATGGTCTACACCCACTGTCCAACCAGTCCCAATGAGATGAACCAAGTACCTCAGTTGGAAATGTAGAAATCACCCATCTTCTGGGTCAATCACACTCAGAGCTGCAGACTGGAGTTGTTCCTATTCGGCCATCTTGGAACCTTCATCAATTGCATTTTTCCAGCCCAGAATTTCTGCTTGATTCTTCTTAATTATTTCAATCTTTTTGTTAAAGAGGATATACCTATTGTAAATATATATGCACCCAACAATGGAGCACCTAGAAATATGAAGCAAACATTATTAGAGCTACAGAGTAAGATAGACACCAATACGATAATAGCTGGAGGCTTCAACACTCTACCCTCAGCATTGGACAGATCTGCCAGACAGAAAATCAACAAAGAAACACTGGACTTAATCTACTCTATAGACCAAATGGTTCTAGTAGATATTTACAGAACACTTTATCCAATAGCTACAGAATACACATTTTTCTCCTCAGCTCATGGATCATTCTCAAGAATAGAATATATGTTAGGGCACAAAACAACTCCTGATACATTCAAAAAATTCAGAAAATAAAATAACATTCAGCATCTTTTCTGACCACAGTGTAATACAACTAGAAATCAATATAGACATTTTGAAAACTATACAAACATTTAGAAATTAAACAATATGCTCCTGAATGACCAATGAAGAAATTAAGAAGAAAGTTGAAAAATTTTGTGAAACAAATGGCAATGGAAACACTACACACAAAACCGATGGGATACAGCAAAAGCAGTGCTGAGAAGGAAATTTATACCCATAAGTACCTAAATCAAAAAAGACAAAAACTTCAAATAAGCAATCTAATGATGCATCTTAAAAAACTAGAAGAACAAGAGAAAACCAAACCCAAAATTAGCAGAAAAAAAAAATAATGAAGACTAGAGCAGAAATAAACAAAATTGAAACAAAAAAATAAAAGATCCAAAATAGAAAAAGTTTTTTTTTTAAATTCAACAAAATAGACAAACCTTTAGCCAGACTAAGAAATAAAGAAAGAAGATGCAAATAAAATCAGAGATGAAAAAGGAGACATTACATCCAATACCACAGAAATTCAAAGGATCATTAGAGGCTACTAAGAGCAACTTTATGCCAATAAATTATAAAATCTAAAAGAAATTGATACATTCCTAGACACATACAACCTACCAAGACTGAACCAGGAAAAAATTCAAAACCTGAGGTGACCAATAATAAGTAACAAGATTGAAACCATAATAAAAATTCCCCTGCAAAAAAAAAGTTCAGGACCTAATGGCTTCACTGCTGAATTCTACCAAATGTTTAAAGAAGAACTAATACCAATTCTACTCAAATTACTCTAAAAAATAGAGGAGGAAGGAAAACTTTCAAAATCATTCTATGAGGAAAGTATTACCCTGATACCAAAACTGACAAAGACACATCAAAAGCAGAAAACCGTGGGCCAATATCTGGCCAGACGTGGTGGCTCATGCCGTAATTTCAGCACTTTGGGCAGCTGAGGCAGGTAGATTACTTGAGGTTAGGAGTTTCAGAACAACATGGCTAACACAGTGAAATCCTATCTCTATTAATAATACAAAAATTAGCTGGGTGTGGTGGCAGGTGTGTGTAATCCCAGCTACTCAGGAGGCTGAGGAAGGAGAATCACTTAAACCTAGGAGGTGGGGGTTGCAGTGAGCCAAAACCACACCACTGCACTCCAGCCTGAGAAATGGAACAAGATCCTGTCTCAAAAAACAAAAAACAAAAAAACGAAAAAAAATATAGGCCAATATCTCTGCTAGTGATGCAAAAGTTCTCAACACAATACTAGCAAACAAAATACAACAACAAATTAAAAAGATAACTCATCATGATCAACGGGGTTTATCCCAGGGAAGCAAGAATGGTTCAACATATGCAAATCAATCACTGTGATACATCATGTCAACAGAATGAAGAACAAATCCATATGATCATTTCAATTGATGCTGAAAAAGCATTTGATAAAATTCAATATCCCTTCATGATAAAATCCTTCAAAAACTGTGTATAGAAGGAACATACCTCAACATAATAAAAGCTATATATTACAGACCAACAGCTAGTATCGGAATGAATCACAAAAAATTGAAAGTCTTTCCTCTAAGATCTGGAACATGACAAGGATGTCCGCTTTCACCACTGTTATTCAATGTAGTGCTGGAACTTGTAGCTAGAGTTATCAGACAAGAATAAGATATAAAGGGCATCCAAGTTGGAAAGGAAAAGTCAAAGTACCCTTGTTTGCTGATGATATAATCTTACATTTGGAAAAACCAAAAGCCTTCACAAGAAAACTATTGGAACTAATTTAAAAATTCAGTAGGGGGAGGAGCCAAGATGGGCAAATAGGAACAGCTCCGGTCTACAGCTCCCAGAGTGAGCGATGCAGAAGACGGGCGATTTGTGCATTTCCAACTGAGGTACTGGTTCATCTCACTGGGGAGTGCCAGACAGTAGGTGCAGGACAGTGGGTGCAGCACACGAAGCATGAGCAGAAGCAGGGCGAGGCATCACCTAACCGGGGAAGTGAAAGGGGTCAGGGAATTCCCTTTCCTAGTCAAAGAAAAGGGTGACAGACGGCACCTGGAAAATTGGGTCACTCCCACCCTAATACTGTGCTTTCCCAATGGGATTAAAAAATGGCACACCAGGAGATTATATCCTGCACCTGGCTCAGAGGGTCCTACACCCACGGAGTCTGGCTCATTACTAGTACAGCAGTCCCAGATCAAACTGCAAGGTGGCAGCGAGGCTGGGGGAGGGGCGTCTGCCATTGCCAAGTTAGTTGTTTGATTAGGAAAACAAAGCTGCCTGGAAGCTCGAACTGGGTGGAGCCCACCACAGCTCAAGGAGGCCTGCCTGCCTCTGTAGGCTCCACCTCTGGGGGCAGGGCACAGACAAACAAAAAGACAGCAGTAACCTCTGCAGACTTAAATGTCCCTGTCTGACAGCTTTGAAGAGAGTAGTGGTTCTCCCAGCATGCAGCTTGAGATCTGAGAACGGGCAGACTGCATCCTCAAGTGGGTCCCTGACCCCCGAGTAGCCTAACTGGGAGGCACCCCCAAGTAAGGGTGGACTGACACCTCACACGGCCAGGTACTCCTCTAAGACAGAATTTCCAGAGGAATGATCAGGCAGCAGCATTTGCGTTTCACCAATATCCACTATTCTGCAGGCACCACTGCTGATACCCAGGCAAACGGGGTCTGGAGTGGACCTCCAGAAAACTCCAACAGACCTGCAGCTGAGGGTACTCTCTGTTAGAAGGAAAACTAACAAACAGAAAGGACATCCACACCAAAAATCCATCTGTATGTCACCATCATCAAAGACCAAAGGTACATAAAACCACAAAGATGGGGAAAAAACAGAGCAGAAAAACTGGAAACTCTAAAAAGCAGAGCGCCTCTCCTCCTGCAAAGGAACGCAGCTCCTCACCAGCAATGCAACAAAGCTGGACGGAGAATGACTTTGATGAGCTGAGAGAAGAAGGCTTCAGACGATCAAACTACTCCGAGCTACAGGAGGAAATTCGAACCAATGGCAATGAAGTTAAAAGTTTTGAAAAACAATTAGACAAATGGATAACTAGAATAACCAATGCAGAGAAGTCCTTAAAGGTCCTGATGGAGCTGAAAATCAAAGCACGAGAGCTACGTGATGAATGCAGAAGCCTCAGGAGCTGATGTGATCAACTGGAAGAAAGGGTATCAGTGATGGAAGGTGAAATGAATGAAATGAAGTAAGAAGAGAAGTTTAGAGAAAAAAGAATAAAAAGAAATGAACAAAGCCTCCAAGAAATATGGGACTATGTGAAAAGACCAAATCTACATCTGATTGGTGTACCTGAAAGTGACGGGGAGAATGGAACCAAGTTGGAAAACACTCTGCAGGATATTCTCCAGGAGAACTTCCCCAACCTAGCAAGGCAGGCCAATATTCAAATTCAGGAAATACAGAGAACGCCACAAAGATAATCCTCAAGAAGAACAACTCCAAGACACATAATTGTCAGATTCACCAAAGTTGAAATTAAGGAAAAAATGTTAAGGGCAGCCAGAGAGAAAGGTCGGGTTACCCACAAAGGGAAGCCCATCAGACTAACAGCGGATCTCTCGGCAGAAACTCTATAAGCCAAAAGAGCGTGGGGACCAATATTCAACATTCTTAAAGAAAAGAATTTTCAACCCAGAATATCATATCCAGCCAAACTAAGCTTCACAAGTGAAGGAGAAATAAAATCCTTTACAGACAAGCAAATGCTGAGAGATTTTGTCACCACCAGGCCTGCCCTAAAAGAGCTCCTGAAGGAAGCACTCAACATGGAAAGGAACAACTGGTACCAGCCACTGCAAAAACATGCCAAATTGTAAAGACTATCAAGGCTAAAAAGAAACTGCATCAACTAATGAAAAAAAAAAACCAGCTAACATCATAAAGACAGGATCAAATTCACACATAACAATATTAACTTTAAATGTAAGTGGACTAAATGCTCCAATTAAAAGACACAGACTGGCAAATTGGATAAAGAGTCAAGACCCATCAGTGTGCTGTATTCAGGAAACCCATCTCATGTGCAGAGACACAAATAGGCTCAAAATAAAGGGATGGAGGAAGATCTACCAAGCAAATGGAGAACAAAAAAAAGCAGGGGTTGCAATCCTAGTCTCTGATAAGACAGACTTTAAACCAACAAAGATCAAAAGAGACAAAGAAGGCCATTACATAATGGTAAAGGGATCAATTCAACAAGAAGAGCTAACTATCCTAAATATATATGCACCCAATACAGGAGCACCCAGATTCATAAAGCAAGTCCTGAGGGACCTACAAAGAGACCTAGACTCCCACACAATAATAATGGGGGATATTAACACCCCACTGTCAACATTAGACAGGTCAACAAGACAGAAAGTCAACAAGGATACCCAGGAATTGAACTCAGCTCTGCACCAAGCGAACCTAATAGACATCTACAGAACTCTCCACCCCAAATCAACAGAATATACATTCTTTTCAGCACCACATCACACCTATTCCAAAATTGACCACATAGTTGGAAGTAAAGCACTCCTCAGCAAATGTAAAAGAACAGAAATTATAACAAACTGTCTCTCAGACCACAGTGCAATCAAACTAGAACGCAGGATTAAGAAACTCACTCAAAACCGCTCAACTATATGGAAACTGAACAACCTGCTCCTGAATGACTACTGGGTAAATAACGAAATGAAGTCATAAATAAAGATGTTCTTTGAAACCAACGAGAACAAAGATACAACATACCAGAATCTCTGGGACACATTCAAAGCAGTTTGTAGAGGGAAATTTATAGCACCAACTGCCCACAAGAGAAAGCAGGAAAGATCTCAAATTGACACCCTAACATCACAATTAAAAGAACTAGAAAAGCAAGAGCAAACACATTCAAAAGCTAGCAGAAGGCAAGAAATAACTAAGATCAGAGCAGAACTGAAGGAAATAGAGACACAAAAATCACTTCAAAATATTAATGAATCCAGGAGCTGGTTTTCTGAAAAGATCAACAAAATTGATAGACCGCTAGCAAGACTAATAAAGAAGAAAAGAGAGAAGAATCAAATAGACGCAGTAAAAAGTGATAAAGGGGATATCACCACTGATCCCACAGAAATACACACTACCATCAGAGAATACTCTAAACACCTCTATGCAAATAAACTAGAAAATCTAGAAGAAATGGATAAATTACTTGACACATATATCCTTCCAAGACTAAACTAGGAAGAACTTGAATCTCTGAATAGACCAATAACAGGCTCTGAAATTGAGGCAATAATCAATAGCTTACCAACCAAAAAAAGTCCAGGACCAGATGGATTCACAGCCGAATTCTACCAGAGGTACAAGGAGGAACTGGTACCATTCCTTCTGAAACTATTCCAATCAATAGAAAAAGAGGGAATCCTCCCTAACTCATTTTATGAGGCCAGCATCGTCTTGATACCAAAGCCTGGCAGAGACACAACAAAAAAAGAGAATTTTAGACCAATATTCTTGATGAACATCAATGCAAAAATCCTCAATAAAATACTGGCAAACGGAATCCAGCAGCACATCAAAAAGCTTATCCACCATGATCAAGTGGGCTTCATCCCTGGGATGCAAGGCTGGTTCAACATATGAAAATCAATAAATAAAATCCAGCATATAAACAGAACCAAAGACAAAAACCACATGATTATCTCAATAGATCCAGAAAAGGTCTTTGACAAAATTCAACAGCCCTTCATGCTAAAAACTCTCAATAAATTAGGTATTGATGTGACGTATCTGAAAATAATAAGAGCTATCTATGACAAACCCACAGCCAATATCATACAGAATAGGCAAAGACTGGAAGCATTCCCTTTGAAAACTGGCACAAGACAGGGATGCCCTCTCTCACCACTCCTATTCAACATAGTGTTGGAAGTTCTGGCCACGGCAATCAGGCAGGAGAAGGAAATAAAGGGCATTCAATTAGGAAAAGAGGAAGTCAGATTGTCCCTGTTTGCAGATGACATGATTGTATATCTAGAAAACCCCATCGTCTCAGCCCAAAAATCTCCTCAAGCTGATAAGCTACTTCAGCAAAGTCTCAGGATACAAAATCAATGTACAAAAATCACAAGCATTCTTATACACCAATAACAGACAAACAGAGAGCCAAATCAGGAGTGAACTCCCATTCACAATTGCTTCAAAGAGAATAGAATACCTAGGAATCCAACTTACAAGGGATGTGAAGGACCTCTTCAAGGAGAACTACAAACCACTGCTCAATGAAATAAAAGACGATACAAACAAATGGAAGAACATTCCATGCTCATGAGTAGGAAGAATCAATATCGTGAAAATGGCCATACTGCCCAAGGTAATTTATAGATTCAATGACATACCCATCAAGCTACCAATGACTTTCTTCACAGAATTGGAAACAACTACTTTAAAGTTCATATGGAACCAAAAAAGAGCCCGCATCACCAAGTCAATCCTAAGCCAAAAGAACAAAGCTGGAGTCATCATGGTACCTGACCTCAAACTATACTACAAGGCTACAGTAACCAAAACAGCACGGTACTGGTACCAAAACAGAGATATAGACCAATGGAACAGAACAGAGCCCTCAGAAATAACGCCGCATATCTACAACTATCTGATCTTTGACAAACCTGACAAAAACAAGCAATGGGGAAAGGATTCCCTATTTAATAAATGGTGCTGGGAAAACTGGCTAGCCATATGTAGAAAGCTGAAACTGGATCCCTTCCTTACAACTTATACAAAAATTAATTCAAGATGGATTAAAGACTTAAATGTCAGACCTAAAACCATAAAAACCCTAGAAGAAAACCTAGGCAATACCATTCAGGACATAGGCACAGGGAAGGACTTCATGACTAAAACACCAAAAGCAATGGCAACAAAAGCCAAAATTGACAAATGGGATCTAATTCAACTAAAGAGCTTCTGCACAGTGAAAGAAACCACCATCAGAGTGAACAGGCAACCTACAGAATGGGAGAAAATTTTTGCAACCTACTCATCTGACAAAGGGCTAATATCCAGAATCTACAATGAACTCAAACAAATTTACAAGAAAAAAACAAACAACCACATCAAAAAGTGGGCAAAGGACATGAACAGACACTTCTCAAAAGAAGACATTTATGCAGCCAAAAAACACATGAAAAAATGCTCACCATCACTGGCCATCAGAGAAATGCAACTCAAAACCACAATGAGATACCATCTCACACCATTTAGAATGGCGATCATTAAAAAGTCAGGAAACAACAGGTGCTGGAGAGGATGTGGAGAAATAGGAACACTTTTACACTATTGGTGGGACTGTAAACTAGTTCAACTATTGTGGAAGTCAGTGTGGCGATTCGTCAGGGATCTAGAACTAGAAATACCATTTGACCCAGCCATCTCATTGCTGGGTATATACCCAAAGGATTATAAAACTTGCTGCTATAAAGACACATGCACACGTATGTTTATAGCGGCACTATTCACAATAGCAAAGACTTGGAACCAACCTAAATGTCCAACAACGATAGAGTGGATTAAGAAAATGTGGCACATATACACCATGGAATACTATGCAGCCATAAAAAATGATGAGTTCATGTCCTTTGTAGGGACATGGATGAAGCTGCAAATCATCATTCTCAGCAAACTATCACAAGGACAAAAAACCAAACACTGCATGTTCTCACTCATTAGTGGGAATTGAACAATGAGAACACATGGACACAGGAAGGGGAACATCACACACTGGGGACTGTTGTGGGGTCGGGGGATGGGGGAGGGATAGCATTAGGAGATACACCTAATGCTAAATGACGAGTTGATGGGTGCAGCACACCAACATGGCACATGTATACATATGTAACAAACCTGCAAATTGTGCACATGGACCCTAGAACTTAAAGTATAATAATAATTTTTAAATAAATAAATAATAAAATAAAATAATATAAAATAAAAAAATTCAGTAAAGTTGCGGGACACAAGATCAACATACAGCAATCAGTAGCATTTCTCAACAGCCAACAATCTGAAAAGGAAATCAAGAAAGTAATCCCACTTACAATAGCTACAAATAAAATTAAATACTTAGGAATTAACCTAATCAAAGAAGTGAAAGATCTCTGCAATGAAAACTATAAAGCACTGATGCAAAAAATTGAAGAAGACAGAAGAAAATGGAAAGACATTCCATGTTCATGTATTGGAAGAATCGATGTTGTTAAAATGTCCATACTACCCAAAGCAATCTACAGATTTAATGCAATTCCTATCTATTTTCTATTTCTTTACAGAAATTTTATTTCTATACAGAAATAACAAAAACAATACTAAAATGTATTTAAAACCACAAAAGACCCAGAATAGCCAAAGCTATCCTAAACAAAAAGAACGAACCTGAAGGAATTACATTACCTGACTACAAATTATACTACAGAGCTACAGAAGCCAAAACAGCATGGTACCAGCATAAAAACAGACACGTAGACCAATGCAACAGAATACAGAAACCAGAAACAAATTCACACACCTGCAGTGAACTCATTTTCAACAAAGGTGCCAAGAACATACACTAGGGAAAAGACTATAAATGGCGCTGAGAAATCTGGATATCCACGTACAGAAGAATGAATCTAGAACCCTGTCTTTTGCCGTATACAAAAATCAAATCAAAATGGATTAAAGACTTAAATCTAAGACCTCAAACTATGAAACTACTACAAGAAAACATTGGGGAAAATCTCCAGGACATTGGCCTGGGGAAAAATTTGTTGAGTAATACCCTACAAACACAGGCAACCGAAGCAAAAATGGACAAATGGGATTACATCAAGTCGAAAAGCTTCTGCACAGCAAAGGAAACAATCAACAAAATGAAGAGACAACCCACAGAAGGGGAGAAAATATTTGCAAACTACTCATCTGACAAGGAATTAATAACCAGAATATATAAGGAGCTCAAACAACTCAATGGGAAAAATGTCTAATAATTCAATTTTTAAATGAGCAAAAGATTTGAATAGACGTTTCTGAAAATAATACATCACAAATGACAAGCAGATATATGAAAATGTGCTGAACATTATTGATTATCAGAGAAATGAAAATCAAAACTACAGTGAGATACTGTCTTACCCCAGGTAAAATGCCTTTTATTTAAAAGACAGGCAATAATATATGCTGGTGAGGATGTGGAGAAAAGGGAACCGTCATACACTATTGGTGGGGATGTAAATTAGTACAACTACTAATGGAGAACTCAAAAAAACTAACTATAGAGCTACCATATGATCTGGCAATCCCACTCCTAGGTATATACCCAAAAGAAAGAAAATCAGTATATCAAGGAGGTATCTGCACTCCCATATTTATTGCAGCACTATTTACAATAGCCAAGATTTGCAAGCAACCTAAGTGTTCATCAACAGATGAATGGATAAAGCAAATGTGGTACATATACACAATGGAGTACTATTCACCCATAAAAAATGAAATCCTGTCATCTGCAACAACACAGATGGAAATGGAGATTATTATGTTAAGCAAAATAAGCCAGGCACAGAAAGACAAAGATCACATGTTCTCACTTATTTGTGGGAGCTAAAAATTAAAATAATTGAACTTATGAAGCTAGAGAATAGAAGGATGGTTACCAGAGGCTAAGAAGGGTAGTGGGTGTGGGGTAGGAAGTGGAGGTGGTTAATGTGTACAAAAAAATAGTTACAAAGAATGAATAAAACCCAGTTTTTGCTAGCATAACAGGGTGACTATAGAGAAAATAATTTAACTGTACATTTGTAAATAACTACGATGTTATAATTAGATTGTTTGTAACACAAAGGATAAATGTTTGAGAGGATGGTTACCCCATTTACCCTGATGTAATCATTACATGTTGCATGCTTGCATCAAAATATTTCATGTAACCCATAAATATACACACCTAGTTTGTACCCATAAAAATTTTTTTAAAAAAGAAAACAGGAAACATCTCAAAACAATCATCTAAGATTCACCCTGAAGAAACTTGAAAATTCTTACCACTGAGTTTTTAAAAAGCTTTAAAAAAGAAATTTATAAAACAGAAAAAGAGCAAAACAAACCCAAAGCAAGCAGAAGGAAGGAAATAATAAAGATAATATGAGAAATCAATAAAAATTAAAAACCAAAATCTAGCTCTTTGAAAAGATCAATAAACTGCATGTGAATCTACATTATCTCAAAATGAAAAGTTTATTTAAAAATAATTTGAAAAATAAAGTACTTTTTTGAAAACAGTAAAAATAAAAAGCATTAACTATTGATGGGAATATAAATGGTACTCATAAGTTACCTTTCCTCTCCATCCTATTTAAAATTATCCCTCCACATTTGTATCAGTCAGTGTTCTCGAAACAGACCAATAGGAGATAAATATGTAAATATACATATATTTATAAGTATATATATAAAGACATATATAGGATATATTTCAAGGAATTGGCTCACATAGTTGTGGGGGCTGGCAAGTCTGAATTCTGTAGGACAGGCTGGCAGGCTGGAAACTCCAGCAGGAGTTGATGCAGCAATCTTGACTTGGAAATCTGTAGGGCAAACCAGCAGGCTAGAAACTTGGCAGAACGTGACACTTTAGTCTTGACATATTTCTTTGCCAGAAAAACTTCAGGATTTGCTCTTACAGCCTGAGACTCATTGGATGAAGCCCATCCACATTATGAAGGGTAATATGCTCTACTTCAAATCAAATTATTGTACATGTAAACCACAAAATGCCTTCATAGAAACACCTAAATCAATGTTTGATTAAATAACAGTGCTATAAACTAGCTAAGTTGACGTATTTTTTATTGTTTTTATTGTTTTTTTAAAAAGGGAGTCTCGCTCTGTCACCCAGGCTGGAGTGCAGTGGTGCAGTCTCAGCACACTGCAACCTCCACCTCCTGGGTTCAAGGGATTCTCCTGTCTCAGCCTCCCAAGTAGCTGAGATTACAGGTGCCTGCCATCATGCCCGGCTTATTTTTGTATTTTAGTAGAGACGGGGGTTCACCATGTTGGTCAGGCTGATCTCAAACTCCTGACCTCAAATGATCCACTCGCCTCGGCCTCCCAAAGTGCTGGGATTACAAGCATGAGCCACCACGCCTGGCCCAAGATGACATATAAAATGAACCATAACAATCTACCCCTCACCAAATAGGCACCCATACATATATCTCCAAATAAAGATAATAACAAATTCATGCTTCCATCTAACAAGACACAACTCTTGTTACAACTCTGTACAACTGAAAATGCACTAACCCTTTCCTCGTGAGAGGATGCAAAGTCCCTGGGTTATATTCATTCTTCTCCTTGATATCCTGTGACTTAAATACTGTGATGTAAGGTTAATTATTACTAATACATTTTATTTTATATGATAAGAAGATGAGAGAGAAGAAATGAAAATTGACATGAATATACACACAAACAAGCATATTTATGACAAAGAAAAATTCTATGAGTATTTCCCCCTTATTATAAGGAAGAACTACTCATAATAATTACAATTCTTGGCCGGGCATGGTGGCTCACACCTGTAATCCTAGTACTTTGGGAGGCCGAGGCGGGCAGATCACCTGAGGTTGGGAGTTCGAGGCCAGACTGACCAACATGCAGAAACTCCATCTCTGCTAAAAATACAAAATTAGCAGGGCGTAGAGGCGCATGCCTGTAATCCCAGCTACTTGGGAGGCTGAGGCAGGAGAATCGTTTGAACCCGGGGGGCGGAGGTTGCGCTATTGCACTCCAGCCTGGGCAACAAGAGCAAAAACTCCATCTCAAACACTAGTACTACTACTAATAATAATAATAATAATTACGATTCTCGTTTCTGCAACTGATCATCTGCAACTCCTAGCTGGTATTTAAAACAACCTTCTTCCATTACCCATTCCATATTCCCTTTGCCCTCAGCAAATATCTCAGCTTCTTATGGTTCCTTCCCTGGTGGGCTGGGGTAGGGTGACCCAAACCTTCATTCCGGAGAGTTCTGAGCAATTAGTAGTCCCATTGAGTTGAATTATAGTAGTGCTTTTTAGAGATGGGAGTCTCACTATGTAGCTGAGACTGGCCTTGAATTCCTTGGCTCAAACAATACTCCTGCTTCAGCCTCTTGAGTAACTGGGACTACAGATGTGTGCCACCATGCCCAGCTGTAGCTTTCCGTTGACCTTAATCACAGGACCTGGTAGTACTAAGAGATCTTCTAATGGGTCTACTGTATTCCAGACATACTCATACTTACTTACCTCTATTGTGAAGTAAGAGCCCAACAAGTTGCAAACTGTTTCCTTGGTAATCAAGATCAATCACGCCAGCAGTACAGTAACTCCCTTTGTTGCCCATTAACTTAGAGGCACAAGAAGCCCAAAGTAGCAGGGTAACAATCTTAAATTACAGTTCAATTGAATTATTGTATCTCCTGGTGGTAGCATCCCACCCTTTGGAACTAAGACCTCAAGACCAGCATGGCATAAGGTCATGGGGACAGGAAGCAAAAACTTTGCTAGTGGATAACTAGGGTATAGTAAGTAATACCACTCCAATTTTCACCCCTTGATTCCTGGACCTGTGAATCCTGTCTACAGGAGAAAGAGCACCATATATTTGACACTTATTTAGAGCATATATAGCCTCCTAAAGAGCATGCCCCAGTCCTGCAAGGTGGTGCCATGTAGTTAATACTATAACCAAGCCTTTAAAAGGCCATTACATTATTCTACCAAACCAGTTGCTTCAGGATGGCTGGGAACATGGTGAGGCCAGTGAATTCGATGAACTTGGGCCCACTGCTCCAACTTCATATGTAAAGTGAGTTCCTTAATCAGAAGCAATGTTATGTAGAATAACATGGCAGTGGATAAGGCATTCTGTAAGTCCACAGATGGTAGTTTTGGCAAAATCATTGTGAGCAAGGAAGGTAAATCCATACTTAGAGTAAGTTTCTATTCCAGTAAGAAAAAATGCTGTCCCTTCTATGATAGAAGTGGTTGAATATAATCAACCAGACATCAATAACTTGCTGATCACCCTGGGGAATGACTCAGTGATGGTCTCTGCTGCTGACAGATTGAGTACTCTGAGCAGTGGGTATAGCCAGGTCAACCTTAGTGAATTGAAGTCCATGTTGCTAATCCCATGAGTAATTTATATCCCTACCACCATGACCACTTTGTAAATGAGCCCGTTGGGCAATGACAGAAGTAGCTGAGGAAGGTGACTGACTGTTATCCACAGAACAGGTCATCCTATCCACTTGATTATAAAAATCTTGCTCTGCTGAGGTCGCTCTTTGGTTAGCATTCACATGGGACACAAATATCTTCAGGGTTTTTTTTTTAACCCATTCATAGAGGTCCACCCACATATCTTTTTCTCTTACCTCCTCATCACCAATTTTCCAATCATGTTCCTTCCAAGTCCCTAACCATCCATCTAAACCACTGGACACCGTCCATGAACCAACATACACTCAAACTTCTGGCCATTTCTCCTTCTAAGTAAAAATGAACAACAAGGTACAATATGCAGTGCTCTATGTTCTGCCCACCGGGAGGATTTCCCTTCATCGCTGTCTTTCTGGGATATCCCAGAAAGGGGTTATTAGTGGCAGAGCTGCCTACTTTCAGGTGGTGGCTTCATATCATGGACAACCATCTGTAAACCAGGCTCATTTCCTCTTCTTCATTCAACTTATCACAGAGAACTCCTATGAGGCAATAGGCGCAGGGTGGGAGAGAGGGGGTAATATACTAAGAGTGGGGCCATAGGCATTTGGGCCACTTCTTCATGTAGCTTACTTGTGCCTTCTGGGCCTGCTCAAGCCCAACTTTGTATACAATTTCCATTTGGTGATTGAGTGCTGGTGTGCATGCCCAACTTTATGGCTTGGTGGGTCAGATAATACTCAGTTCATGAAGGACAGCTCAGGTCACATTGTAGCATCAGCATGGTGACCAAAGGTTAATTTTTCAGTCTCTACTAAGGCCCAGTAGCAAGCCAAAAGCTGTTTCTCAAAAGGATAGTAGTTATCTGCAGAGGACAGCAGAGCTTTGCTCCAAATTCCTATGAATATGTGTTGCAATTCACCTATAGCGGCCTGCCAAAGGCTCCAAGAAGCATTTCTATCTGCAACTGACACTTCAAGCACCATTGAATCTTCTGGAACATATGGCCCAAGTGGCAGAGCAGCTTGCATGGCAGCCTGGACCAGTTGCAGAGACTTCACTTGTTCTGGGCCCCACTCAAAACTAGCAACTTTTTAGGTCACTCAGTAAATGAGCCAAATGAGAAATATGTTGCCTCAAAAGTTTAAAGAGGCCCATCAGGTGTTGTGCATTTTTTCTGGTTGTAGAAAAGGCCAGATGCAAGAACATAATCTTTACCATAGAAAGGATATCTTTATATGCCCCGCATCACTGGAGCCATAGAAATTTCTATGAGGTAAAAGTTCATAGAAAAAATTTCACTGATGTAAAAGTTATCTTATTTTAAAAAATTTCTTTCTCACCCTCTGATGTGTAAATGTATTACCAATAAGTCTAGAGTAGTTGCTATTGCTTGCTCACTAGGTCCAATCAACATAATGTCATCCATGCAATGAATCAGTGTGATGTCTTGTGGAAGGGGAAGTCAAGCATGTTTCCTGTGAAGTAAATTATGAAATAAGGTAGAGAACTGATAGAGATAAGAAAAGTATTGCCAGCTTTGCCAGATTAAGCAAACTTCTTCTGGTGGTCTTTACTAACAGACATTTAGAAAAAAGGCATTTGCCAAATTGATAGCTGCATAGCAGATACCAGAAGATATATTAATTTGTTAAAGCAATGAAACTACATCTGGTGCAGCAGCTGCAATTGGAGTCACTACCTGGTTAAGCTTTTGAAAATCCACTGTCATTCTCCAAGATTCAACTTTTAAAAAATTGACACATAATAATTATACATATTTATAGGGTACAACATGATGGATGTTTCCATAAATGTATAAATTGTATAGTGATCGAATCATGGTAATTACCATATCCATCACCTTAAGCATTTATCATTTCTCAAAAATATGAAATACTTCACAAATTTGCATGTCATCTTTGCACAGGGGTCATGATAATCTTCTCTGTATTGTTCTAATTATAGTATATGTGTTGTTGAAGCAAGCAAAAAATCCATGTGTTTTCTATATAGGCCAAATAGGTAAGTTGAATGGGGATATGGTGGGAATCATCACCCTTGCATTTTTCAAGCCGTTGGTGGTGGCACTGATCTCTACAGTCCCTCCAGGAATGTAGTATTGCTTTTTGTTTAATATTTTTCTAAGCAGAGGCAGTTCTAGTGAGTTCCACTTGACCTTTTCTACCATAATAACCCTCAATCCACAAGCCAGGGAATCAATGTGCGGATTCTACCAGTTGCTGCCGACTGTGTCTATTCCAATTATATGTCCCAGAACTGGGGAAATAACCAGAGGATGGTTTCAGGAACCTACTGAGGCCACTGTGAGGTAGATGTGAACTAAAACTCCATTAAATAACTGATCCCCATAAGCCCCTAATCTGACTGGTGGACCACAGTGCCATTTTGAGTCTCCTGGAATTCACGTCAGTTCAGACCTTGTGTTTAGTGATTTCTGAAAAGTCTGATTATTTCATTTCCCCCAGTGTCCTCTTTACTATTGTAAGTAGTCATTAGTGCATTTAAACCTAATCAGATCAGAGAAGCAATTTTGGAAACTTCAGAACCAATTCAGAAAACCCATCCTTAAGATTCTGTTCCTCTAGAACCATTCTTGGTAACAAAAGCTATGTCAGTCAGTGTTCTTCAGAAAAATAGAACAAATAGGACAAATAGAATCTTATTTTTAAAGATAACTCTCTTATAAATAAGATTTATATTTTATCTTTTTTATTATTTTATTTATCTTTTTTATTTTGTCTTTATAAAACTTATAAGTGAGTTGTCTTTAAAAATTGGCTCATGCAATTGTGGGGGCTGGCAAGTCTGAAATCCACAGAGCAGGCTGTCGGACTAGAAACTCTGCAGGAGATGATGCTACGGTCTTGAGGCAGAATTCCTTCTCCTCCAGGAAACATCATGTTTGTTCTTAAGGCCTTCAAGTGATTGGATGAGGCCCAGCCACATTATTGAGGGTAATCTCCTTTACTTCAAGTCAACTGATTCGTACATGTTAATCACATCTATAAAATACCTTCACAGCAACATCTAGATTAGTATTTGATTTAATAACTGGGTAGTATAGCATAGCCAAGTTGACACTTAAAAAATAACAATCACAGCCAGATGCGGTGGCTCACACATGTAATCACAACACTTTGATCTGCCAAGGCGGGCAGATCACCTGAGGTCGGGAGTTTGAGACCAGCCTGACCAACATGGAGAAGCCCCATCTCTACTAAAAAATACAAAATTAGCCTGGCATGGTGGCACATGCCTGTGACCCCAGCTACTCTGGAGGCTGAGGCAGGAGAATTGCTTGAACCCGGGAGGCGGAGGTTGCAGTGAGCCGAGATCACACCATTGCACTCCAGCCTGGGCAACAAGAGTGAAACTCCATCTCAAAAAAAAAAAAAAAAATTAACAATCACAACACTCTGTATTCCGTTTCCTTGCCTTATTTTTCTTCTAACTTATCTGCATATAACATGTTCTATATCTTATTTAGGCATTTGGGGTTTTATCTGTTTCCTCCCAACTTCAATGTAATATCCAGAAGGAAGGGACTTTTGTCTACTTTGTTCAGTTTGCTCTGGTTTGAATGTGTCCCCTCCAAAATCCAGGTGCTGAAACTTAATGGCCAATGTGATGGTATTAAGAGGTAGGGCCCTTGAGAAGTAATCAGGTAATGAGGGCTCCTCCCCTCAAGAATGAGATTAAGGCCCTTAGAAAAGATTCTTCATGCATCATTTGGCTCACTTGCCCTTCTGCCTTCCACCATGTGAGAACATCATGTTCCCTTAACAAGGAGGATGCAGCAACAAAGCTCCATCTTGAAAGCAGCGCTCCTCAGAAAACTGAACATATCCAGTGCCCTGATCTTAGAGTTACCAGACTCCAGAACTGTGAGAAGATAAATTTCTGTTATTTATAAATTATCCAGTCTCAGGTATTCTTTTATAGCAGTACAAACAGACTGAGACACTGTTGCATACATAACCCCTAGAATAGTGGCTGGCACATATTTTGGAGTAAATAAATATCTGTGGAATACATGAGTAAGTTTGTTGAAGCTATTCAGAAAGCAATTTGGCAACATCTGGTAATACTGAAGATGTGCATTTAAGGATATTCATTACAACATAGTTTACAATACCAAAAAGTTGAAAACAAGCCAAATGTCCCTTGATAGTGGAATGGGTTTTTAAAAATTGTGTTATATTCATACAACGTAATTCTCTTGTTCAGTTAAAGTGAGTTAGATAAAACTACATGTAGAAACATAGATAAATTTCAAGAACCAATTTTTTTTTTGAGATAGAGTCTCGCTTTGTCGCCCAGGCTGGAGTGCAGTTGTTGGCCCACTGCAACCTCCACCTCCCAGGTTCAAGCGATTCTTGTGCCTCAGCCTCCCAACTAGCTGGAATAACAGGCATGTGTCACCATAACCAGCTAATTTTTGTATTTTTAATAGAGACAGGAGTTCACTGTGTTGACCAGGCTGGTCTCAAACTCCTAACCTCAAGTGATCCACCCACCTTGGCCTCTTAAAGTGCTGGGATTACAGGTGTGAGCCACCATGCCTGGCCCAAAACCAAAACATTAAGTAGAAAAAAGTTGCAAAATGACAGGTACACTATGATACTGTAAAATTTAACAGTATACAAGACAATACCATATAATGCTTATGGATGCATAGAAAGGTAGGAGGGGCTACTTGCCAATATCAGATTATCTGTAGGGAGGGAAAGAGATAGATGAGATGGGTCAGGGACTTTAATTTTACCCATAAATGTTATATTCTTTAAAAAATTAAAAAATACAAAACATTTTAATATTCATTAAGTCTAGGCGGTAGAAGCATGAATGCTTGATTTTTGTAATTCATTTGTGTGCTTGAGATATTAAAAACAAAAATCAAAATATAATATAATAGAAAATATTTCAAATATCAACTACAAAAAAACTCAGAATTAAAACATGTGAATCATAAAAGATCTGTATGAAAAAATCTTGTATATACTTTTGAGGGATACAAAGTCTTTGATACATGCCCTATTATTGGATAGGATGACTCACATTATATATACGTTAATTCTTCTCTTTATATTAGTCTATAACTTTAATTTGATACTAATCAAAACACCAGTAGGATTTTTGAAATG
The DNA here is from genome assembly GCF_000001405.40 of Homo sapiens. NCBI lineage: Eukaryota > Metazoa > Chordata > Mammalia > Primates > Hominidae > Homo > Homo sapiens. The sequence continues at coordinate 74,676,876 of NC_000023.11, read as the reverse complement.
AGACAAACCGATTCTAAAGTCCATATAGCAAAAACGGACATTCAAGAAAATCCTGAAAATTCCATTAAAAAAAGAGTAATGAGGAGGGATTGGCCTTATGAGATATTAAAATATACTATAAAGACACAGAAATTAAAAGAGTCGTGTGGTACTAATACGTGAATTAAATGCCCAAACCATACCTGACATCTGACCATTTCTGTCTATCATGCTGTACCTCTCTAGTCAAAGTCACTATTTTATCTCACCTAAATTACTACAGCATCCTTGTAAATGGTCTCCATACTTGCTCTCTGCCCACTCTTCCTCTTCACAGTCCATTCTCCACACAGTAACTAGAGTGATCTTTTAGAAATATAGACTGTCATTCCCCTTCTTAAAACCATGAATAAATAAATAGACACATCAATGAAACAAAAGTGAGTTCAGAAATAGGTTCGAATATCTAAAAGAAACTGGTATATGATAAAGTTGGAATGCCATATCAGTAGAGAAAAGATAAAAAGTGTTGGGACAACTACATAGTCACCTGAAAAAAATATTGGATCCTGCACTTAACTCTTTACCTTAAGATGAATTTTTAAAAACTTTTATTTTACGTTCAGGGGTGGAAGTGCAGGTTTGTTACATAGGTAAACTTGTGTCATGGGGGTTTGTTGTACAGATTATTTCATCACCCAGGTATTAAGCCTAGTACCCATTAGTTATTTTTCCTGATCCTCTCCCTCCTCCCACCTTCCACCCTCCTAAAGACCCCAGTGAGTGTTGTTCCCCTCTGTGTGTCCATGTGTTCCCATCATTTAGCTCCCATCTGTAAGTGAGAACATGCTGGCATATGATTTTCTGTTCCTGTGCTAGTTTTCTAAGAATAATGGCCTCCAGCTCCATCCATGTCCCTGCAAAGAACATGATCTTGTTCTTTTTTATGGTTGCATAGTATTCCTTATACACTGTTGATGGGGATATAAATTATTTCAGACATTGTGAAAGACAGTGTGGTGATTCCTCAAAGACCTAAAGACAGAAATACCATTGACCCAACAATCCCATTACTGAGTATATACCCAAAGGAATGTAGATCATTCTATTATAAAGACACACGCACATGTATGTTTATTGCAACACTATTCACAATAACAAAGATATGGAATCAACATAAATGCCCATCAATAATAGACTGAACAAAGAAAATGTGGTAAAATGAATTTTTAAAATGTTATATTAACAAATGGAACCATACAAAATGAACCAAATCTTAAGTGTGGAATGGAGCAGACAGTGACTGCATGGGAGCACAAAATGGACACCCAGGGTATTGGTCCTGTTTTGTTTATTGATCTGGGTGCTGGTTAATGGAAGTATATAGCTAGTGAAAATTCATTAAATCATACTTATGATATGGATGATAATGTGCAATTTTCTGTACAGTATGTTTCAACCAAAATTTATGAAATATGTAAAATAATGAAGCTACAGTAGAAAAAGATTGATGAATTTTATTTCATAAAAGCCTGTTTTTCCACTTTTTGCAGATAGGCTCTTGCTCTGTCACTCAGGCTGGAATGCAGTGGCATGATCATAGCTCACTTTAATCTCAAATTCTTGGGCTCAAGCAATCGTTTTGCCTCAGCCTCCCAAATAGCTAGGAGTACAGGTGTGTACCACCACTCCTAGATAATTTGAAAAAAAAGTTTAAGAGACAGGGTCTCACTATGTTGCCAAGGCTGGTCTCGAAATCCTGATCTCAAGTGATCCTCCTGCCTTGGCCTCCCAAAGCACTGGAATTACAGGCATAAACCACTGCACCCAGAACAAAATCCATGGCTTTTAATATTCCACACATATGAGTGAGATCACATGGTGTTTGTCTTTCTGTGTCTGGCTTATTTCACTTCACATAATGTCCTCCATGTTCATCTGTGTTGACACAAATGACAGGATTTTCTTTTTTTAAAGGCTGAATTTGATTCCATTGCATGCACATACCACATTTTCTTTATCCGTCCATCCATTGAGGAACACTTAGGTTGATTCTATATCATGGCTATCGTGAATAGTGCTGCAATGCTCGTGGGAGTGCAGATATCTCTTTGACATACTGATTTCAGTCAGTGGGACTGCTGAATCATATGGGAGTAACAAAGTTTTAGTTAGACAGGAGGAATAAGTTTTTGAGATCTGTTGCACAACAGGGTGACTGTAGTTAATCATAATGTATTGTATATTTAAAAATAGCTAAGAGAATACATTTCAAAAGTCTCAGCGCAAAAATTAAGTGAGATGATAGATAAGTTAATTAGCTTGATTTAATCATTCCACATTATATACATATATCAAAATATCACATTGTACCCCAAAAATGTATACAATTATGATTTATTAAAATAATATAGATAAATAAATAATCATTCTTATCTGCATGGGAAAATACTATAAACAAAAGGCAAATGAAAAACTGGGAAAATATTTATAATACGTATAACAAAGAGCTAATTTCCTTTACATATAGTTAGTAAGGGAAATGAACAAAATAACAATAGAAAAATGGGCAAAATAGGAAAAGAGGAAGTCAAATTGTCCCTGTTTGCAGATGACATGATTGTATATCTAGAAAACCCCATTATCTCAGCCCAAAATCTCCTCAAGCTGATAAGCAACTTCAGCAAAGTCTCAGTATACAAAATCAATGTACAAAAACCACAAGCATTCTTATACACCAATAACAGACAAACAGAGAGCCAAATCAGGAGTGAACTCCCATTCACAATTGCTTCAAAGAGAATAAAATACCTAGGAATCCAACTTACAAGGGATGTGAAGGACCTCTTCAAGGAGAACTACAAACCACTGCTCAATGAAATAAAAGACGATACAAACAAATGGAAGAACATTCCATGCTCATGGGTAGGAAGAATCAATATCGTGAAAATGGCCATACTGCCCAAGGTAATTTATAGATCCAATGCCATCCCCATCAAGCTACCAATGACTTTCTTCACAGAATTGGAAACAACTACTTTAAAGTTCATATAGAACCAAAAGGGAGCCCGCATCACCAAGTCAATCCTAAGCCAAAAGAACAAAGCTGGAGGCATCACGCTACCTAACTTCAAACTATACTACAAGGCTACAGTAACCAAAACAGCATGGTACTGGTACCAAAACAGAGATATAGACCAATGGAACAGAACAGAGCCCTCAGAAATAACGCCGCATATCTACAACTATCTGATCTTTGACAAACCTGACAAAAACAAGCAATGGGGAAAGGATTCCCTATTTAATAAATGGTGCTGGGAAAACTGGCTAGCCATATGTAGAAAGCTGAAATTGGATGCCTTCCTTACACCTTATACAAAAATTAATTCAAGATGGATTAAAGACTTAAATGTTAGACCTAAAACCATAAGAACCCTAGAAGAAAACCTAGGCAATACCATTCAGGACATAGGCATGGGCAAGGACTTCATGTCTAAAACACCAAAAGCAATGGCAACAAAAACCAAAATTGACAAATGGGATCTAATTCAACTAAAGAGCTTCTGCACAGCAAAAGAAACTACCATCAGAATGAACAGGCAACCTACAGAATGGGAGAAAATTTTTGCAACCTACTCATCTGACAAAGGGCTAATATCCAGAATCTACAATGAACTCAAACAAATTTGCAAGAAAAAAACAAACAACCACATCAAAAAGTGGGCGAAGGACATGAACAGACACTTCTCAAAAGAAGACATTTATGCAGCCAAAAAACACATGAAAAAATGCTCATCATCACTGGCCAGCAGAGAAATGCAAATCAAAACCACAATGAGATACCATCTCACACCAGTTAGAATGGCAATCATTAAAAAGTCAGGAAACAACAGGTGCTGGAGAGGATGTGGAGAAATAGGAACACTTTTACACTATTGGTGGGACTGTAAACTAGTTCAACTATTGTGGAAGTCAGTGTGGCGATTCATCAGGGATCTAGAACTAGAAATACCATTTGACCCAGCCATCTCATTGCTGGGTATATACCCAAAGGATTATAAAACTTGCTGCTATAAAGACACATGCACACGTATGTTTATTGCGGCACTATTCACAATAGCAAAGACTTGGAACCAACCTAAATGTCCAACAACGATAGAGTGGATTAAGAAAATGTGGCACATATACACCATGGAATACTATGCAGCCATAAAAAATGATGAGTTCATGTCCTTTGTAGGAACATGGATGAAACTGGAAACGATCATTCTCAGCAAACTATCGCAAGGACACAAAACCAAACACCACATGTTCTCACTCATAGGTGGGAATTGAACAATGAGAACACATGGACACAGGAAGAGGAACATCACACTCTGGGGACTGTTGTGGGGTGGGGGGAGGGTGGAAAGATAGCATCAGGAGATATACCTAATGCTAAATGACGAGTTAATGGGTGCAGCACACCAACATGGCACATGTACACATATGTAACAAACCTGCACATTGTGCACATGTACCCTAAAACTTAAAGTATAATAATAATAAAATTTTAAAAAAAGAAAAATGGGCAAAACATTATTAGTTGACACTCATAATAAAGTACATACAAATGGCTTTCATATGGATGAAAGGTACACAATCTCCTAATAAAATAAATGCAATGACAAACTACTCTCAAGAGATATATTTTTTATTGCCTTTCAGATTTGCAAAGATTTTTAAATATAATAACACATTGTATTTTAAGAGTGTAGGGAAACTGGTACTTTGCACATTGCTACAGAGAACAAAATCTTTATGGTGTTTTAGTTTAGTAGTACCTAAAATTTGGTGTTTTAGTTTAATAGTACCTAAAATACTTGTAAATGACATACCCTGGAACCTAGCAATATCTAAAGACAAACTGCAATGTGTTCACAAAATATATGTACAAGGATGTTTGTAGCATCATTGTTAATGGCAAAAGACTGGAAACAATCTAAATGTCCATTCATAAGAACCTGGTTAAATAAATTTCTGTAGGCTCATTCTATAGAATACTACACAGCCATTTATAACCATAAAGTACTGTGTGTACTTATACAAAAAGACTTCCGTAAAAACAAGATACATGTTATTTTTTCCTTTTTAATTTTATTTTTCAGCTTTAATGAAGTATAATACAAATAAAATTTGTATATATTCAAGGTGTATGGCATAATGCTTTGATGTGTGTATACATTGTGAAATATTACCAGAATCAAATCAATTAACATGTTAATCACCAAAGTTACCATTGTGTTTGTGTGTTGGGGGTGGTGAGGACACAGGATATACTCTCTTAGCAAATTTCAAGTAAACAATAAAGTACTATTAACTATAGTCACCATGCTGTACATTATATCCCAAGTACTTATTTTAAAAGGGTGCAAAACAGTGTGAATAGTATGGAGCTAACATTTGTATATTCCTAAGTCCCTGAGAGTGATACCATTAAAATACTCCGTTCAGGAAAAAAATTTTTAAAATAAAGTTTTTCTTTGCAGAAGAATAGCAGCTAACAAATATAGAAAGATGATAGATTTAGAAAATCATCATTTCTCCACCTCAATAATTTTTTTAAAAAGAGAAAGAAAATTATCATTTTGCAGTCCCAATGTAATAATGAATTTAGATAAGGATCATCAGTGGATGCTAAAATTATTGGGTGAAAATTGTTAGAGAAAAGGATATGCATAAAGTCTCAAAGTATCATCCCATTGATAATTTACTGATTACAAAGGAAAAAATGTTTTGTCAGTGGAGAAATTTTAACCAAGTTATCAAACTCAGTTCCACTATTATTAGGACACTTGGGCATTATTACGTGCCTCCTGATGTGATGCAACATGAAGTGCACAACAGTATCTATGAAACATTCTTGCTCAAAATGTTCGATCTAATTTTTTTTTCCTGAGTAGTTTATCGTGTAATAGAATACCACAATTTGTTTATCTGTTTTTCCTGTTAATGGGCATTTGGGTTGTTTCTAGTGTTTGACTGCTATGAATAAAGGTTCTATGTCTTTTCTGGACATATCTTACTCTTTAGTACAGTGGCATAATTCAGATACTATAGCTTGTTTCCCCTTCTTTCTTCATTCTGTTCCTGTTTTGGCTGCAGATCGAGCATTGATGGGTGAGGATTTATTGAGGCCTCAAGTTTTAATAAATGGTACCAGCTGTCCATATTATGTTGTTCTTTATCTTATTCTAAACTACATTCATTGTCAGAGACGGTAACATAGTACAACTCACCTAGAGACGTGGGTGACTTCCATGCCTTGCTTCTGAGGCCCCCTTTCCTCTACTACAAGTTCTTTAATTGGTTCTGAATGTTCCTTAGGTAGATCCTAATACTGGCTGTGAATTTCAAAGACTCAAAGAGTGATAGGCATTATTGTAAACCAGATTAAGAAGTGTGAGAGCATGAAAAGCCATTCATCGTCTGATTTTTGCTGGATCTACAACAACTGATGCATACCACTTGGTTTAAGTGACCAGCCCTATTTCACTATGGAAGTTAAAGTTTCACGACTGCTCTTTATGCTTATTGGATTTAGGGGAATTTTCATTGTTATATAAATGTTGAACTAGTTTCAACAGTGTTCTTTCATATTTACTCTGCAAATACAAAAACCAAAGCCTGTAGACAGTGGTCATTTCAAAATCTTTTTATGTTCAGATACTGAGCCTTCATAAAGGTTGACTACCTCAGATTTGTTGCACTCATTGTAGACTTCATGTGGATCACAACTTCTGGATAAGAAAGTTATAGCTATTAAGTATCAATGTGAACCTTGAAACCAGCTCTACTGGATTCTTATCAGAAATCCTGCAGAAAGTCAGCCATCTGGGTTCTGATTTGCTATAAAAGATGAAGATTTAAGTTCCTTAATTAACCTGTCATGTTCCCTGCCCTTAAGGAATACCCTGTGTAGTAGGCTGTGGCTATATTAGACTTTCTGGAACACACCGCTCAAAAGAACTGATATGTTCGGATCATCTGTGTAAGGCTGTGATTTGTAATTTAAACTTTTAGTTGTATTCTGAGGTAACCACAAAATAAATTCAGCCAAACTGGGGTCCACTGAGTGGGAGAAGGGGTGAGGGAGAGAATAATCTTGTTTCTTTTAGTAATTTTTTATTTGGAAAGTGCTTTTCTTTGTTCTACATTAAGGCCTTTTTTACTTTGACTTGAAATAAGTTATTTGACAGAGCTTATAGCCTGGTTAAGTAACCTGAAGTATGCATTTGAACTGTGAAATGTCTCATGAATATGCCAATCCTGAGGGTGGAACCAAATATGTAAAGGGCAGTGGATGCTGGAGGCTCTACTTCAGGTGTTGCTAATACCTTCTCTAATCAGGTCTAAATTGTATAGTAACCTGCAGTGAGAAGAATATGCTTTCTGCTCAGGCTAAGGGATTCACTGATCTGTCCTTATAAATGCAGAGCAACATGAGCAAAACCTCAGCTAAAACCCATTTAAGTTTCATGGATTGTGCATGTATCTTTGATAAGAATTCCTTATATACTTGTGCCCAAATTTTCAAGGTATTGGATGTTTCATACATGCCGTGATTTTCCCAGCTAGCTCTGTTTTCAACCTTTTGGTGTGTCTTTATGTTCATTTGGAGAGTCAGGGCGAAAGATGATGTAGCACTTCTGTTTTTAATAATTACAGCTTAAACTACCTAGTAGTTTTTGGTCCTTTAAAAGGGACTTGAGGAAGCTATCCCAGATTACAGGAAAGTTTCCACCTAATGAGATAGTCTGGCAGTTTCCTAGTTTTGTATCTTTGGTTCAATAGAAATATCTCAAAGTGGTATGTGACCACTTGATGCAGAGTCTGGGTTTCTCTATAATAAATCCCTTTGCCAAATACATGAGTTGCAGACTTGCTACTGGCAAGAGTGAAGCAAGTGGGTAAGTAAAACTATTCTGATGTAGGAGCGTTTTCCTATAGAAGTCAGTCTTGATGAAAGTGTCAGCGCAGGAATCAGACTCTAGGAGGGTTACAATATCTCCTGACAGGACCTGCCAACCATGTCTGAGCAATAATATTGTCATTATTTGAGGTGGCAGGCAGGATGCCTACCTTCTGATGCATTTCGGTGAGTAGCTGAGCCAGCCAAGGGGAGGTTGAATGATTAAATCAGAAATGGGATTCTTGGTAAGCTAAAGACTTTATTTGGGAAGCAAAAACCTTAACAAATAATCTCTTCATTGAGCCAAATATTTTCCCTGAAAAGTATGCATTTTTCCAGCAAAATTTTGTTGGGGGTTATGTTATTGAAGAATAAACCGAGATGAATAAGTGGAGGTGTTATGTAATGGCATACTGTACTCGAAATCTGAAGACCTGCAGCAGATTTAAATTCCAACTCTTGTTATAACTGTTTAAAAGATTGTGAAAATATCAAAATGTATGTGAATCAAGTTTTAATATACTGTATGATGGGTGGATGAAGCTGTCCATTGTACCATTTCTTTGACTTCTCAGGCATAGTTTGGCAGTGCAAGAACTCTGTAACATTAACAAATTCAATAAAAAGTAAATATATGGGAAAAAAAGTGTGAGAGCCCTGAAACATAGGGAATATGGCTGTTTCTATGATTGAAGTAGCAGGAAAAAAGCCAATAAAATTAATTACCACAAATCCAAAGGAAAAACTCAGAACCTCAGAACAACAACAAAAAAATAATGCTCTAAAAAAAGACCGTGGCAGTAATGCCTTGGCCTTCAGAATCTGGTTGGCACAGCAACCGATTAAGGACCTTGGCAGCAGGCAGAACAACTGCAGTGTGTTTTAAATGAACAGAGAACCACCATCCAGGAGACTGTTTTAGCTTTAGAAATATCAGGAAACAAACCAAGGTATTATCAGGAAGTGAAGGTAGAAAAGGCCTAAGATCTTAGAGATCAAACTCTCCCTAAATGAAAGGCAAAAAGAGAGATTTACCCCCCAAAGATGTCCCCATGCCTAAAAGCAGGATTGATGGATGGATAGATAGATAGATAGATAGATAGATAGATAGATAGATAGATAGATAGATAGATAGATTAGATATAGATATATAGATATATTTAAGGTATACAACATGATGTTTTGATGTCAGACTAGGAAAGCGTGGGACATATTTTCTGTTATTAAGTCTAGAAAGGTAACTCAGACTTAGATTTAATGAAAAATAAAAGGAAAAATATGAGCAAACTGGAATGACCTCTCATTACCACACCCCTTCCCACAAGGAAAACCAGATTCAAAAAACTATTGAGGTGCCCCCTGAAAACTGTAGACAAAGGGTCAATAATAGGAGCAGATTACAATTCTTCTTTTAATGACTGATTACAAAACATTTAGAAAGAATCAAAAGAGAGGAAGACCACGGTGAGCAGGTATTATTTAGTGAGCTTCAAGTGACACAGTGACTGTAATTTGGAAAGCAGGATAGCCTGGGCCAGAAGGGAAGGTTCTTATGACATTTAGAGAGTTAAGGCTCTCAGGGAATGGGAGAGAAAAATGAAACTCACTAAGGCAGGATTTCAATATATGTGAGTCTGGTCTGTGTTAAATAATGGAATGATGCAAAGATACCTCCTAGAAAAAATTCTCCTACTTAGGAATATGAAAGTGGGTAAGGAGGTTTTACTTGAATAGCAGATACTTTCTGCAGTCCTAGAATATTCTTTCTTCACAGTTTTCACTATGGGAGGAATCCCATAAGGTAAATCCTGAGGGAGTATGTTAAGAAAACACATGTTAAGACCACAAAACAAGAGAAAGGAAAATGAAGAACAAAAGACACTATGATCCAGCAAATAATATTAGCCCTACATAGATAGAGAAGACACAGGACCTTAAGAAATAAATGGATGAGGGTTGGACTTGGTGGCTCATGCCTGTAACCCCAGCACTTTGGGAGACCTAAAGCAGGAGGATCATCTGAGCCCAGAAGTTTGAGACCAGCCTGGGCAACATGATGAGACCCTGTCTCTACAAAAAAAAAAAAAAGAAAAGAAAAGAAAAATTAGCCAGGTATGGTGGCACTTGCCTATGGTCCCAGCTACTCAGGAGACTGAGGTGGGAGAATCACTTGAGCCTGGGAAGTCAAGGCTGCAATGAGCCAAGAGCATGCCACCGTACAGAGAGAGAGAGAGAGAGAAAGAGAGAGAGAGAAAGGAAGGCAGGAAGGCAGGAAGGCAGGAAGGCAGGAAGGCAGGAAGGCAGGAAGGAAGGAAGGAAGGAAGGAAGGAAGGAAGGAAGGAAGGAAGGAAGGAAGGAGAAAACAGAAGGAAATGAAACGTTGTTCTACATACTTGCCAGTGGGGGGAAAAGTGAAGAAAATGGAATGATGGGCATGTGCCACTGCTGCTAGGGAAAAAAAAGCCAAAAGAATGTTGTATTACAGGTTTAAAAAGACCTAAAGAATTTAAACCTGAAGAGAAGGCAAGGCTTGGGGAAAGAGGACATGGATGAGGATATATTGGTGCTCACAGGATGGCACAGCCTTTGGAAGCATCAGCAACAGCTTCAGTTTAGGGATTTGTAGGCCTAAGGAACCTACAGCAGACAGCAACAACAGCAGTCACAGTGGCATAAAACAAATCCCTTGGGATCTTACCAGGGCCACAGATATACAGAGATGAACTGAAGATTGAGACTGTGAAGATTGCTAAGCCATGAATTTCACTTAGAGAACTACCTGTTATAAATGTGGTGGTGCCTTCTCACAAGAGGGGGTAGATTAGATTGTTAGGAATGCAAGAGTCAAAGGGATATGAAAATACAGATATTTTAAATATATAGATGGATAATGAAGGAAAAGGGGCCCTTAGGAAGGACTGAAGGACTGAAGGGGCCACCACAACAAATATCTAAATTCCACAACAAGATAGGAAGACAGCCTGTTCGTCCCAGATATCTGAGTCCAAAACTTGTGATCTTAAAATCCATTTAAAAAATTTTTAAAAACAATTTAGTTTCCACATACAGCACTGATTAAAATTCATTTGGAGAAATCTCCCATGCATAAGAGAATTATTACCATCCCCCTATGGGGATATCCACCTATATGTACAACTCCCTCTCTCTGAGTGGTTGTAAAGCACAAAGTAAGAATGAAAGAAAAGGATCACAGCTTCCTCACCCCCACTCCCTTCCCTCAAGAAAGACCTAGTCAAATGATTGGCTCGAATCCCTTGAGCCATGTTTACTAATGTGTTAGAGAGAGTCACTATGGGTTAAAAGGTCACATACTGTAGATGGATTTCTCTTTCATGCTTTCCGGTCATTCAGAGAAATGGAAACACTAAGCTAAACCTCCTTGGTATCCAGCCATCTTACTTTCTTTCACTTGATTGTTCAGATACTTTCACTTTATTGCTCAAGTACTTACTGGTTCTTACCAATTCAGGAGTAAGCTATGATAAGATTGGAAACTGGTGGGAAAAGGTGAAGCCCTTTTTGGATCCTGAGCCTAAGTTATGTGCTGAAACCTAGCTTTACCAGAGAACCCTGTGCCAGAGTAGTGGGCACTAATTCCACTAAACACAAAGTGGTATTTTAATTCCTATCTGTCCTTGTCCCTTGTATGTATGGCTTCTTAACAAACTTTACATGAAAAAGGTAATGAGGTTAAGTAAAAATGTGATTATTCTTGAGTCCCTATCCATAATACCAAATTATTACCATTTAAAATCATACCTAATAGGCCATGCGCAGTGTCTCATGCCTGTAATCCCAGAACTTTGAGATGCCAAGGCAGGAGCTGAGGAGTCGAGGGGTTTGAAACCAGCCTGGCCAACATAGTGAAACCCTGTCTCTACTAATAATACAAAAATTAGCCAGGTGGGTGGCCTGTGCCTGTAGTCCCAGCTACTTGGGAGGCTGAGGCAGGAGAATTGCTTGAACCCAGGAGGTAGAGGTTGTGGTGAGCCGAGATCACACCACTACCCTGCATCCTGGGCAACAGAGCGAAACTACATCTCAAGAAAAAAAAAAAGAAGAAGAAAATCATACCTAATATGCAGGTCTTGTGGGATTAGAGTTAATAGGACTGGCCACATCCATTAGGATACAAGTAACGGACTAGAAGTGAAATGAAGTGTGGTTGGTCCCTGGAAACATCATGAAAAAAAAATGCTTTAGTCTGCAGTTAAAACTTGCCATACAATCCTTCTCAATTCCAGTTCATTCCTTTGATGACCATTTAGCATCTCTCTCTCTGAAAACCCCCACACAAATGGAATCCCAGTGGAAAGGAATTTAGCCTCTTATTACAAGCCTGATCAATCAATGAGGGATGGAGGGACAAAGTTGATTTCTTAATAACTGAAAATAATGCCTTTTTTGCCATTGTTGCTACCATTTCTTATGGCCTCTTGGTGGAGAAATGATGGATGGTTTCTTTATATATACTTTTCTGCACTAGCCATATTTTCTATAATGCATATTTATCTCTTTGACAATTAGAGAAAAGTAAAAATGAAGAAGAAAATGTCTCCTAAATTTAAGGGATTGAGTTAAGAGACAAACAGAGACAGAGGTAGATAAACAGAAAGACAGAGATTGAGTCTTCTCATTCTTCATAATTTTAGTCTTGTCTTAGAAATCAAAGTTATGGCATTCAGAGGACAATGGCCAATATTGAAATTCTATTATAAGGAATGATGTCAATCATAACAAGTGATAAATTATATAATGTACATTTTATATATTATATGTATAGTTTGGCTTTTCTAGAATTTCAATAAATGAAATTATACAGTATGTACTGTTTTATGTGTGACTTCCTTTACTCAGAATAAAGTTTTTGAGATTCATTCACACTGTTGTGTATATCAGTATTCACACCTTTTTTTTTTTTTTTGAGATGGAGTCTTGCTCTGTTGCCCAGACTGGAGCATGATCTTGGTTCACTGCAACCTCTGCTTCCCGGGTTCAAGTAATTCTCCTGCCTCAGCTTCCTGAGTAGCTGGGATTACAGGCACCTGCCACCACACCCAGCTAATTTTTGTATTTTTAGTAGAGGCAGGGTTTCACCATGTTGGCCAGACTGTTCTCGAACTCCTGACCTGAAGTGATCCACCTGCCTCAGCCTCCCAAAGTTCTGGGATTACAGGTGTGAACCACCATGCCCAGCCTCTTCCTGCCTTTAAAAAATAGTTTTAACAGAGTATTATTTACACACCATGAAATAAACCGTGGTATATACACTCAATGGAATACCATACAACAATAAGAAGGAATGAATTGGAAGGAAAGAGGATTTGCTTCACCATTCTAAAAGTCCAGCTCCTTCCAGTTCACTCTATTATATTGCTGCATATTTCATTTCTTTATGTGTGTGGTGTGAGGTAGAGGTCATAGTTCATTTTTCCCATACAATTGTCCACTTGTTTTCACACAATTTATTGAAAAGACTATCCATTTTCCATTGATTTGCCTTTGCACGTTTCTCAAAAGTCAATTGAGAAAATATTTGCAAACCACACATCCGACAGAAGCCTCATATCCAGAACATATAAATAACTTTCTAAACTCAATAGTAAAAAATAAAGAATCCAATCTTTTTAATGGACAAAAGACTCGAATAGATATTTATTTAATCAAAGAAGATCTAAAGTTGGCAAACACATGAAAAGATGTTCAATATCACTCACGATTAGGAAAATTCAAATTAAAACCACAAAAAGACGTATAAATGCTAAAAAGCACACATGAAGATGCTCAACATCATTAATCATCAGGGAAATGAAAATAAAGGCAATCATATACCTATTGGAATGGCTAAAACAAAAAATATTGGCAATGCCAAATGCTGGTGAGGCTGCAGAGAAATATGTCTCTCCTACCTTGTTGATACAAATGTAAGATGGTACAGCCATGCTAGAAAATAATCTGGCAGTTTTGTAAAATGTTAAAGAGATCACTTCCAGACAGAGATGTGGAATGTTCCATGGATCCTTTCCCCAGAGAAACAACCATAACTGGTGAAAATTATTTTTAGAACAACCATGTTAAAGTCTCCAGAAATTATCCCAAGGGCATAAAGACATAAGGAGACATTTATTCAAGAAAATTTAAATCTTAGTAAAACACAGCGAGGGTCTCAAGCTCAATGATAGAAGCTCCACTCTGGGCAGGTGCACTCAAGAAGATGAAATTTCTCCCCAGGAAATGTAGGCAATCAACATTTCTTATTCTCCCCAGCTCCATGTTACAGAGCTCAATTCCAATCAAAGGTGAGGGGATTGGGGCTCCCTTCCCCCACCCAGCTTTAACTCATAAGATGAAAGCACTAACCCAGGCATGACAGACCAAAAATACTAATCATGCTCGCCCCAGCTAGCTCATAGGATACTCTCCACATTAGAAGAAGCAAGACACACTCTACTTGTGAAGCAAATATGTCACTCTGAGAGAAGCAGGCCACTGATCCCTACCTCAGCTCTAGTTTTGCCTGGTGAGAGAGGTGAGCTGTAAAAACAAAAAGCTCTAAAGTTCTCACCAAAGCAACTGACTTTATTGGGAACACAGTGTGGGAAAGTTCAAACCAAAGCGTGCTCACAAAACAATAGAAATTTTGGTGGTAAGTAATTAAGAAGAAGCCAGTAGCCCCACAAGAACAACCTATAGACCAGTTTACCAGATAGAACCAGGGAAAAAAAAGACAGCTAAGAAAAGCCATCCAGGCATCACAAAAACGCAGAGTCTGACAACAAAAACCACTTCTGCAAAGGGGCCCGAATTTAATTGGATCATACTGAGGAGCAATTTATGCCACAGGGCATTGTCAAAAAAAAAAAAAAGTATAGCAACTAGGATTGAAAGCAGAGCAAGAAGGTGGAATAGAAGTCTCCAATGATTGTCCCCCACCCCACCAAGGACACCAATTTAACAATTATCTACATTAAAAAGCACCTTTATAATAACCAAAAATCAGGCAGTTACTCACAGTACGTAGTTTGAACTTTGTATTACTGAAACAGCCACTAAAGAGGTAGTAAAAACAGTCTTTTTTTTCTTTTCTACTTTCTTTTTTTTAATTTTTTTTTATTATTATACTTTAAGTTTTAGGGTACATGTGCACAATGTGCAGGTTAGTTACATATGTATACATGTGACATGCTGGTGTGCCGCACCCACTAACTCGTCATCTAGCATTAGGTATATCTCCCAATGCTATCCTTCCCCTCTCCCCCCACCCCACAACAGTCCCCAGAGTGTGATGTTCCCCTTCCTGTGTCCGTGTGTTCTCATTGTTCAATTCCCACCTATGAGTGAGAATATGCGGTGTTTGGTTTTTTGTTCTTGCGATAGTTTACTGAGAATGATGATTTCCAATTTCATCCATGTCCCTAAAAAGGACATGAACTCATCATTTTTTATGGCTGCATAGTATTCCATGGTGTATATGTGCCACATTTTCTTAATCCAGTCTATCACTGTTGGACATTTGGGTTGGTTCCAAGTCTTTGCTATTGTGAATAGTGCCGCAATAAACATACGTGTGCATGTGTCTTTATAGCAGCATGATTTATAGTCCTTTGGGTATATACCCAGTAATGGGATGGCTGGGTCAAATGGTATTTCTAGTTCTAGATCCCTGAGGAATCGCCACACTGACTTCCACAAGGGTTGAACTAGTTTACGGTCCCACCAACAGTGTAAAAGTGTTCCTATTTCTCCACATCCTCTCCAGCACCTGTTGTTTCCTGACTTTTTAATGATTGCCATTCTAACTGGTGTGAGATGATATCTCACTGTGGTTTTGATTTGCACTTCTCTGATGGCCAGTGATGGTGAGCATTTTTTCATGTGTTTTTTGGCTGCATAAATGTCTTCTTTTGAGAAGTGTCTGTTCATGTCCTTCGCCCACTTTTTGATGTGGTTGTTTGTTTTTTTCTTGTAAATTTGTTTGAGTTCATTGTAGATTCTGGATATTAGCCCTTTGTCAGATGAGTAGGTTGCGAAAATTTTCTCCCATTTTGTGGGTTGCCTGTTCACTCTGATGGTAGTTTCTTTTGCTGTGCAGAAGCTCTTTAGTTGAATTAGATCCCATTTGTCAATTTTGGCTTTTGTTGCCATTGCTTTTGGTGTTTTAGACATGAAGTCCTTGCCCATGCCTATGTCCTGAATGGTAATGCCTAGGTTTTCTTCTAGAGTTTTTATGGTTTTAGGTTACAAAATCAATGTACAAAAATCACAAGCATTCTTATACACCAATAACAGACAAACAGAGAGCCAAATCAGGAGCGAACTCCCATTCACAATTGCTTCAAAGAGAATAAAATACCTAGGAATCCACCTTACAAGGGACGTGAAGGACCTCTTCAAGGAGAACTACAAACCACTGCTCAATGAAATAAAAAGAGGATACAAACAAATGGAAGAACATTCCATGCTCATGGGTAGGAAGAATCAATATCGTGAAAATGGCCATACTGCCCAAAGTAATTTATAGATTCAATGCCACCCCCATCAAGCTACCAATGACTTTCTTCACAGAATTGGAAACAACTACTTTAAAGTTCATATGGAACCAAAAAAGAGCCCGCATCGCCAAGTGAATCCTAAGCCAAAAGAACAAAGCTGGAGGCATCACGCTACCTGACTTCAAACTATACTACAAGGCTACGGTAACCAAAACAGCATGGTACTGGTACCAAAACAGAGATATAGATCAATGGAATAGAACAGAGCCCTCAGAAATAACGCCGCATATCTACAACTATCTGATCTTTGACAAACCTGACAAAAACAAGCAATGGGGAAAAGATTCCCTATTTAATAAATGGTGCTGGGAAAACTGGCTAGCCATATGTAGAAAGCTGAAACTGGATCCCTTCCTTACACCTTATACAAAAATCAATTCAAGATGGATTAAAGACTTAAATGTTAGACCGTAAAAACAGTCTTAAATAGCTGATGCTACCCCTCCCACATCCTCCAGCAGCAGTGGCATGGTGCACAGAGTATTTCTGTATGCTGGGGAGAGGGAGAGCCAGTAATTGTGAGGCATTGAACTCAGTGCTGCCCTCTTATAGTAGAAAGGAAAACCAGACCAAACTCAGCTGATGCCAGCCTATGGAGAGAGAATTTAAACCAGCTCAGGCTATAGGGGAATTGCTGATCCTAGCAGTCAGAACTTGAGTTCCCGCAAGTATCACTATTGCAGGCGAAAGTGCTCTGGGGCTGTAAATAAACGTGAAAGGCAGTCTAGGCCACAAGGACTGCAACTTTTAGGTGAGTCCTAGTGCTGTAGTAGACCCAGAGCCAGTAGACTGGGGCTGCGGGTTGGGGGTACATGACCTACTGAGATACAAGCTGGGATTACTAAGGAAGTACTGGCATCACCCCTCCCCTAAAACCAGGCTGCACAGTTCACAGCTTGAAAAGAGACCACTTCCTTCCACTTGAAGAGAGGAGAGGAAAGAGTGTAAAGGACATTGTCTTGTTGGGAAAAAGCTGAGTGTTGGGAGGGAAACTGAGGCAGGGCTTGCCTAATGGCCTCTGGAACGTGTCTAGACTTGCTGGCTCCTTGCTTCCAGCCCTCCTAGGCTCCTATTCCCATTATTTCAAGTAGCAGAACATGTTCCTTATAAATGCTAAACATCACAGCTATAAATCATGTGCTTAATGCAACGTGCTCTTTTGACCTCCACATTCTCACCACCTGTTTCTTTGTTGGATCACCAATAAATACTGTGGGCTCCCGGAGCTTGGGGCCTTCGCAGCCTCAACAATAGCGATAGCCCTCTGATGTCCCACCTTTCTCTCTCAAACTGTCTTTTTCTCAATCCTTTGACTCCGCCGGACTTTGTCACCCTCTTTTTCTCAATCCTTTGACTCCGCCGGACTTTGTCACCACCACGACCTGGTGTTGGGTCTGATGACCCCAACATTGTCTTACATCTTGGATATCAGTTCAGCCACAGCAGGATAGGGCACCAGTCAGAAACATGAGGCCCTCTTTCCAGGACCTTGCTCTCAGATTTATAGATATACCCTTGGCCAGAAGGAAGCCCACTGCCTGGCAGCATTCATCACCTGCTAACCAAAGAGCTCTTGGGCACTAATAACCATCAGCAATACTCAGGTACTATGTTGAGGGCTTTGGCCAAGACACTGAGACTTTCTGGCTTCAGGTGAGACTCAGCACATTCCCAGCTGTGGTGGCTATGGGGCAAGGTTTCTTCTACTTAAGAAAAGCAGAATGAGAAGTAAAAGGGACTTTGTCTTGCACCTTAGGTACCAGCACAGCCACCGGGAGAAAGAGCACCAGGCGGGTTCTTAGGGTCCCCAGTTCCAGCACCTGACTCTTGGACGGCATTTTTAAATCTGCCCTGCGCCAGAGGGAAGCACACTGCCCTGGAGGTTGAGTCCCAGGCCAGGCAGCTTTCACCACAAGCTGACTAGAGAGCCTTGGGCCTTAAGGGAACATCGGTTGTAGACTGGCAGTCCTCCTCATGAGCCTATGATGGCAGAGGATATCGGATGAGACTCCTCTGCCTTTGGAAAGGGGAGAGAAGACTGGGAAAGACCCTGTCTCATAATCTAAGTGCAAGCTCAGGTACAGTTTTTAAATCTAGTCCTTGGCTCTTGGATGGCACTTCTGGACCAACCCAGAGCCTGGGAAAAATTACCATCCTGAAATAAAGGACACAACACTAGCTGGCTTTGCCACCTGCTGATTGTAGAGCCCCGGGACCTTAAACAAACATAGGAAGTAGCCAGGGAGTGGTTAAGGTGGGCCTTGGGTGAAACCCAGTGCTGTGCTGGCTTCAAGTCTGACCCAGCACAGTCATAGTGGTGGTGACCACGGGAGTGCTAGTGTCATAATACCCCTAGCTTCAGGTGGCTCAGCACACAAACAGACTCTATTTATTGGGGAGAAAGTAAAAGAAGAGAACAAGAGGGTCTGCCTGGTAATCCAGAGGATTCTTCCAGCTCTTGTTCAAGACCATCAAAGGTGGTACCTTCACGAGGCTGCAGGAACCACAGAGTTATTTGGTTTGGGGTGCCCCCTAAAGCAGATAGAGCTTAGATCACAACATCCAAGTCATTTCAAATATCTGGAAAGCCTTTCCAAGAAGGATGGGTACAAACAAACGCAGACTGTAAAAACTACAATAAATACCTAAATCTTCAATACCTGGACAGAGATGAACATCTACAAGTATTAAGACCATCAAGAAAAACATGACACAACTGAATAAACTGAGCAAGGTTCCAGTGACCAATCCTGGAGAAACATATATGACCTTTCAGACAGAATTCAAAGTAAGTAACTGTGTTGGCTGGGCGCAGTGGCTCACACCTGTAATCCCAGCACTTTGGGAGGCTGAGGTGGGCGGGTTAGCTGAGCTCAGGAGTTCACAACCAGCCTGGGCAACATGGTGAAACCCTGTCTCTACTAAAATACAAAAAAAATTAGCCGGGCATGGCAGCATGCCCCTGTAGTCCCAGCTACTCGGGAGGCTGAGGCAGGGGAATTGCTTGAACCTGGGAGGTGGAGGGTGCAGTGAGCCGAGGTTGTGCCACTGCACTCCAGCCTAGGCAACAGAGTGAGACTCCATCTCCAAAAACTAATAACTGTGTTGAGGAAACTAAAAAATGAACATAACACAGAAAAGAAATTCAGAAGTCTATTAGATAAATTTCACAAAGAGATCGAAATAACTAAAAAGAATCAAAGATAAATTCTATACTTGAAAAAGGCAATATTGGTGGGGGTAGGGTCCAAGATGGCTGATTAGAAGCAGCTGCAATCCACAACTCACAGAGAGCAATGAAAACGGCAAGTGCTGAGGTATCCAGGTTCTCACATTAGGACTGACTAGGCATTAGGCACCACCCAAGGAGATTGAGGAAAAGCCAAGTGGGGTGACAGCCCACTCAGGAGCGGCATGGAACCAAGGGAGTCCCCACCCCCAACCAAGGGAGGTGATGAGTGATTGCAAGACCCTGCCCAGGAAACCACACTTTTCCTACAGAAAATTGATCTGCAACCTGCAGATCAAGAAATCCCCTCATGGGCCCATGTCACCAGGTCTTGGGTCCAAAACACAAAGCTGTGTGGAGTGTCTGGAGAGGCCACTCGCTTGCTGGCTTGGGCACACTGGAAACCTAGGAGTTTTGCATACTGCAGCCCCAGGAATTCCAGCAAGGCAGGATATCCTATGCATTCCCCTGGGAAGGGGGCGGAATCAAGGGAGCCAAGTGGTGTCATTCTGTGGGCCCCACTCCCACAGCACCTCACAAGTTAAGACTCACTGGCTTGGAATTCCAGCTGCCCAGTGGCAGCAGGCTGGAGATGGCCTGAGATGGACTGTGTTCCCAGGAGGAGGGGCAGCCACCATATATGCTGTTGCAGTCTGCCTCTCTAGCCCTGCTGTCACTGGGGACCAGGAGGAACTCCCCACAACACAGCACAGCTGTTGTGCCTGATCGTGGCCAGTCTGCTCTTTAAGTGGGACCCCATCAGCCCTTCTCACTGGGTGGGGCCTCTCCACGGGAATTTCAGCAACTGCAGCCAAGGTTTATACAGAAGGAATTCCAATATCACCCTGGAACGGAGTCCTCAGGGGGAGGGTCAGCCACCGTCTTTGTGGTTCAGTCGACTTAGTCATTCCAGGCTGCTGGTTCTAGAGAGCCAGGCAGTCAGTGCACCACTCCTGCTCTGCCAAAGGGCAGCCAGACTGCTTCTTTAAATGGGTCCCTGATCCTATTCCTCCTGACTGGGTGAGACATCCCAACAGGGGTCTCCAGACACTTCCTATAGGAACATTCTGGCTGGTATCAGGTCGGTACCTGCCTGGGACAGAGCTCGCAGAGGAAGGAGTAGGCTGCCATCTTTGCTGTTTTGCAGCGTTTACTGGTGATACCTCCAAGTGTGAGAGGGACAGAGACAACTAGGGTCTGGAGTGGACCCCCAGCAAACCACGGCAGCCCTACAGAAGACTGGCTTGACTATTGAAACAAACAGACAAGCGGATGAAAAGAAAGCAACAACAACAACAATAACAAAAAGACCCCACAAAAACCACATTCAAAGGTCAGCAACCTCAAAGATCAAAGGTAGATAAGCCCACAAAGATGAGAAAGAATCCACACAAAAAGAACAGCATAATTTTGATACCAACACCTGGCAGAGATACGACAAAAAAAAAAAAGAAAACTTCAGGCCAATATCCCTGATGAACATTGATGCAAAAATCCCCAATAAAATACTGGCAAACTAAATCCAGCAGCACATCAAAAAACTTACCCACCATGGTCAAGTTGCCTTCATACCAGGAAGTGGTTCAACATATGCAAATCAATAAACATAATTGATTACAGAAACAGAACTAAAGACAAAAAAACACATGATTATCTCAAGAGATACAGAAAAGGCCTTTGATAAAATGTAACATCCCTTTATGTTAAAAACTCTCAATAAACTAGGTATTGAAGGAACATG
The DNA here is from genome assembly GCF_000001405.40 of Homo sapiens. Classification (NCBI taxonomy): domain Eukaryota; kingdom Metazoa; phylum Chordata; class Mammalia; order Primates; family Hominidae; genus Homo; species Homo sapiens. The sequence continues at coordinate 74,655,403 of NC_000023.11, read as the reverse complement.
CCTCAAAGTAATAAGAGCCATATATGGCAAACCCACAGCCAATATCGTACTGAATCGGGAAAAGCTGGAAGCATTCCACTTAAAAACAAGCGCAAGACAAGGATGCCCTCTTTTGCCACTCCTGTTCAACATTGAGTTGGAAGTTCTGGTCAGGGCAATCAGGCAAGAGAAAGAAATAAAGGGTATTCCAATAGTTAGAGAGGAAGTCAAATTATCTCTGTTTGCAGATGACATGATCCTATATCTAGAAAACCCTATCATCACAGCCCAAAAGCTTCTTAAGCTGATAAGCAACTTCAGCAAAGTCTCAGGATACAAAATCAATGTGCAGGCCGGGCGCAGTAGCTCATGCCTGTAATTCCAACACTTTGGGAGGCCAAAGCAGGCAGATCACCTGAGGTCAGGAGTTTGAGATCAGCCTGACCAACATGGTGAAACCTTGTCTCTACTAAAAATGCAAAAATTAGCCAGGCATGGTGGCCTGCGCCTGTAATCCCAGCTACTCAGGAGGCTCAGGCAGGAGAATTGCTTGAGCCCGGGAGGCAGAGGTTGGAGTGAGCTGAGATCACACCACTGCACTCCAGCCTGGGCGATGGAGTGAGCCTCCATCTCAAAAAAAAAAAAAAAAAAAAAAAAAAGTACAAAAATTGCTAGCATTCCTATACACCAACAACAGGCAAATAGAGAGCCAAATTATGAATGAACTCCCGTTCGCAATTGCTACAAAAGAATAAAATACCTAGGAATACAGTTAACAAGGGAAGTAAAGGACCTCTTCAAGGAGAACTACAAACCACTGCTCAGAGAAATCAGAAAGGACACAAACAAATGGAAAAAATATTCTATGCTCATGGATAGGAAAAATCAATATCATAGGCTGAGTGCAGTGGTTCATGCCTGTAATCCCAGCACTTTGGGAGGCCGAGGTGGGTGGATCACCTGAGGTCAGGAGTTCTAGATCAGCCTGGCCAACATGGTGAAACCCCATCTCTACTAAAAATAAAAAAAATTAGCCAAGCATGCTGGCAGGTGCCTGTAATCCCAGCTACTTGGGAGGCTGAGGCAGGAGAATCGCTTGAACCCAGGAGGTAGAGGTTGCAGTGAGCTGAGATTGTGTTATTGCACTCTGATCTGCACTCCAACCTGGGCAGCAAGAGTGAAACTCCATCACAAAAAAAATAAAAAAGAATCAATGTCATAAAAATGGCTATACTGCCCAGAGTAATTTGTAGATTTCAATGCTATTCCCATTAAACTACCATTGACATTCTTCACAGAACTGGAAGAAACTATTTTGAAATTCATATGGGATCAAGAAGGAACCCATATAGCCAAGACAATCCTAAGCAAAAAAACAAAGCTGGAGGCATCACGCTACCTGACTTCAAACTACACTATAAGGCCACAGCAACTAAAACAGCATGTTACTGATACAAAAACAGACACATAGACCAATGGAACAGAATAGATAACTTAGAAATAAGACCACACACCTACAACCATATGATCTTCAACAAACCTGACAAAAACAAGCAATGAGGAAAGGATTTCCTATTTAATAAATGGTGCTGGGAGAACTGGCTAGCCATGTGCAGAAAATTGAAACTGGACCCCTTCCTTACACCTTATACAAAAATTAACTCAAGATGGATTAAAGACTTAAATGTAAAACCCAAAACTATGAAATCCCTAGAAGAAAATTTATGCAATACCATTCAGGACAGAGGAATAGGCAAAGATTTCATGACAAAGACACCAAGAAGCAATCACAACAAAAGCAAAAATTGACCAGTGGGATGTAATTAAACTTAAGAACTTCTCAACTGCAAAAGAAACTATCATCAGAGTGAACAAACAACCTACAGAATGGGAGAAAACTTTTGCAATCTATCTATCTGCAAAAAGGTCTAATATCCAGAGCCTACAAGGAACTTAAATAAATTTAGAAGAAAACAAACAAACAACCCCATTAAAAAGTGGGCAAAGCGGGGGGACGGGCACGGTGACTCATGCCTGTAATCCCAGCACTTTGGGAGGCCGAGGCAGGCGGATCACCTGAGGTCAGGGGTTCAAGACCAGCCTGGCCAACATGGTGAAACCCCTCTTTACTAAAAATACAAAAAATTAGCTGGGAGTGGTGGTGGGCACCTGTAATCCCAGCTACTCAGGAGGCTGAGGCAGGAGAATTGTTTGAACCTGAGAGGTGGAGGTTGCAGTGAGCCAAGATCATGCCATTGCACTCCAGCCTGGGTGACAAAAGCAAAACTCCATCTCAAAAAAAAAAAAAAAAGTGGGCAAAGGACATGAACAGACACTTCTCAAAAGAAGACATTCATGTGGCAAACAAACATATGTAAAAAAGCTCAGCATCACTGAACATTAGAGAAATGCAAATTGAAACCACAATGAGATACCATCTCATTCCAGTCAGAATGACGATTATTAAAAAGTCAAGAAGCAACAAATGCTGGCAAAGTTGTGGAGAAAAAGGAATGCATTTACACTGTTGGTGGGAGTGTAAGTTAGTTCAACCATTGTGGAAGACAGTGTGGCAATTCCTCAGACCTGGAGGCAGAAATATAATACCATTTGACCCAGCATTCCCATTACTGGGTATGTACCCAAAGGAATGCAAATCATTATATTATAAAGATACATGCATTGTAGCACTATTCACAATAGCAAAGACACAGAACCAATCCAGTCAATGGTAGGCTGGATAAAGACAATGCAGTACATATACACAATGGAATACTATGCAGCCATAAAAAGGAATGAGATCATATCCTTTGCAGCGACATGGATGGAACTGGAAGCCATTATCCTTAGCAAACTAATGCAGGAACAGAAAACCAAACACTGCATGTTCTCATTTATAACTGGGAGCTGAATGATGAGAACACATGGGCACATGAGAGGGAACAACACACACTGGAGCCAGTCGGGGGAGGAGGGGCAGGGAGAGCATCAGGAAGAATAGCTAATGGATGCTGGACTTCATACCTGGGTTATGAGTTGATTTGTGTGCAGCAAACCACCATGGCACACATTTACCTATGTAACCAACCTGCACATCCGGCACATGTACCCCGGAGCTTAAAATAAAAGAATAAAGAAGAATAAAAAAGAAAAATGCCATTTGCATACTGAAGAATCCATAAGAGTCTCTCAACAGAAGAACTGATCAAACGGAAGAAAGAATGAGTGAACTTGAAGGCAAGCTATTTGAAAATACACATCAGAGGAGATAAAACTAAAAAAAAAAAGAAACGAAGCATGCCTACAAGATTCTGAAAATAGCCATAAAAGGGCAAATCTAAGAGTTATTGGCCTTAAAGAAAAAGTAGAGAAAGAGATACAAGTAGAAAGTTTATTCAAAGGGATAAAGCAGAAAACTTTCCAAATATAGAGAAAGATGTCAATACCCATGCACAAGAGTATTATGGAAAACGAAGCAGATTTAACCAAAAGAACATTACCTCAAGGCATTGAATAATCAAATTCCCAAAAGTCAAGGATAAAGAAAGGATCCTGAGAGTAGCAAGAGAGAAGAAACAAATAACATACAGGGAAACCAAAAAACATCTGGCAGCAGACTTTTCAGTGAGAACCTTACAGGCCAGGAGAAAGTGGCGTGACATATTTAAAGTCCTGAAGGAAAGACACTTTTACCGTAAAATCATATATCCAGTGAAAATGTCCTTCAAACATGAAGAATAAAGGTTTTCCCAGACAAGCAGAAGTTGAGGGATTTTGTCAAACCAGACCTGCCCTACAAGAAATGCTAAAGGGAGTAAATCAGAAAGAAAAAACATTAAGAAAAAATGAATAATCATCTGAAGGTAAAAAAACTCACTGGTAGTAGTAAGTACACAGAAAAACAGAGACTATTATAACATTCTAACTGCGATGTATAAATTACTCTTATCCTAAGTAAAAATAAATGAAGAACCAGTCAAAAATTATAACTACGACAACTTTTCAAGACACAGAGAGTACAATAAGATATAAATAGAAACAACAAAAAGTTAAAAAGTGGGAGGATGAAGTCAAACTGTAGAGTTTTTATTCGTTTTCTGTTTGTTTATGCAAACAGCATTAAGTTGTTATCAGCTTAAAATAATGGATTATAAGAGAATATTTGCAAGACTTATGGTAACCTCAAGCAAAATATATATAAAGGATACACAAAAAATTAAAAGCAAACAATTAAAACATACCATCAAAGAAAATCACCTTCACTAAAAGGAAAAGAGAAAGGAGAGAAAGAAGGAAGAGTAGACCATTAAACAACCAGAAAACAAATAACAAAATGGTAAGAGTAAGTCCTTAGTTATCAATAGTAACATTGAATATAAATGGACTAAACTCTCCAATCAAAATACATAGAGTGGCTGAATGGATATTTTAAAAAAATACAATCGATCTGTTGCCTATAAGAAACACACTTCACCTATAAAGGCACTCATAGATTGAAAATAAAGGGTTGGAAAAAGATATTCCATGCCAATGAAAACCAAAAAAGAGCAGGAGTCACTATGCTTATACGAGACAAAACAGATTTCAAGACAAAAGTATAAAGAGACAAAGAAGGTCACTATATAGTGGTAAAGGGGTCAATTCAGCAAGAAGATATAAGAATTATAAATATATATGCACCCAACAATGGAGTACCCAGATATATATAGGAAGTATCATTAGAGCTAAAGAGACAGATGGACTCCAATACAATAATAGCTGAAGGTTTCAGCATTCCACTTTCAGCATTGGACAGATCTGTTAGGCAGAATATCAACAAAGAATCATTGGATGTAATCTGCACTACAGACCAAATGAATCTATAGATATTTACAGAACATTTCATCCAAAAGCTGTAGAATATACATTCTTCTCAGCACATGGTTCATTCTCAAGAATAGACCATATGTTAAGTCACAAAACAAGTCTTAAAACATTTAAAAAAATTGAAATAATATCAAGCATCTTCTCTAACTACAATGGAATACAACTAGAAATTAATAACAAAAGGAATTTTGGAAACCATATAATTATATAGAAATTAAATATGCTCCTGAAAGACCAGTGGGTCAGTGAGGAAATTAAGAAGGAAATTGAAAATTTCTTGAAACAAATAATGAAACACACATATCAAAACCGATGGGATACAGCAAAAGCAGTACTAAGAGAGAAATTTATACCTAATAAGTACCTACATCAAAAAAGAGGAAAAACTTCAAATAAACAATTGAATGATGCATCTTAAAGAGCTAGAAAGGCAAGAGCAAACCAAACCTGATATTAGTAGAAGGAAAAGTAATAATAAAGATCAGAGCAGAAATAGAAGACATTGAAATGAAGAAAATAACACAAAAGATCAATGAAACAAAAAGTTGGTTTTTTTGAAAAGGTAAACTGGGTGGGGGGCGAGGAGAGGGAGAGCATCAGGACAAATAACTAATGCATGCGGGGCTTAAAACCTAGGTGATAGATTGATAGGTGCACCAAATCACCATGGCACATGTATACCTGTGTAACAAACCTGCATGTTCTGCACATGTATCTCACAACTTAAAGTAAAATATATATATACATATATATATATGAAGGCATATTATGGAGAGAAAAAAAGGTAAACTAAATTGACAAACATTTAGCCAGACTAACTACCCAAGAGAGAAGACCCAAATAAATAAAATCAGAGATGAAAAAGGAGACATGACAACTGATACTGCAGAAATTCAAAGAATCTTTGGTGGCTACTATGAGCAACTGTATGCCAATAAATTAGAAAATCTAGAAGAAATGGACAAAGCCCTAGACACATAAAGACTACCAAGATTGAACCATGAAGAAATCCAAAACCTGAAAGGACCAATAACAAATAACGAGATCAAAGCTATAATAAAGGCTGGCCCAGTGGCTCACGCCTGTAATCCCAGCACTTTGGGAGGCTGAGGTGGGCAGATCACTTGAGGTCAGGAGGTCAAGACCAGCCTGGCAAACATGGTGAAACCTCATCTCTACTAAAAATACAAAAAGTAGCTGGGCATAGTGGCGCATGCCTGTAATCTCAGCTACTAGGGAGGCTGAGGTGAGAGAATCACTTGAGCCCAGGGGGCAGAGGTTGCAGTGAGCTGAGACAACACCACTGCACTCCAGCCTGGGTGATAGAGCAAGACTCTGTCACAAAAAAATAAATAAAAAATTAAAAATAAAAATAAAATAAAATAAAGCTGGGTGCAGTGGCTCACGCCTGTAACCCCAGCACTTTGGGAGGCCGAGGCGGGTGGATCACCTGAGGTCAGGAGCTTAAGACCAGCCTGGCCAACATGGTGAAACCCCGTCTCTACTAAAAATACAAAAATTAGCTGGGCGTGGTGGTGGGCGCCTGTAATCCCAGCTACTCGGGTGACTGAGGGAGGGGAATCATTTGAATCCGGGAGGCAAAGGATGCAGTGTGCCGAGACTGTGCCATTGCACTCCAGCCTGGGCAACAGGGCAAGACTCCATCTCAAAAAAAAAAAAAAGCTGTAACAAAAACTTCCCCAGTAAAGAAAAGCCCAGGCCCCAATAGCTTTACTGATGAATTTTACCAAACATTTAAAGAACTAATGCCAGTCCTACTCAAACTATTCCAAAAAATATAAAGGGGAATACCTCCAAACTTATTCTATGAGGCCAGTATTACCCTGATACCAAAACCAAACAGACACATTTAAAATAAAAATCTATAGGCCAATACATATTCTCTGATTAATATTGATGCAAAAATCCTCAACAAAATACTAGCAGACCAAATTCAACAAAGCATTAAAAAGATCATTCATCATGATCAAGAAGGATTTATCACTGGGATGCAAGGATGCTTCAATATATACAAATCAAACACTGTGATACATCATATCAACAGAATGAAGGACAAAAACTATATGATTATTTCAATTGATGCTGAAAAACCATTTGATAGAATTCAACATCCCTTTAGAAAAAATAACCTCAAAAATCAGGGTATAGGAGGAACATGCCTCAACATAATAAAAGCCACATATGCCACATGGATAGATAGTATCATATTGAATGGGGGGAAATTGAAAGGCTTTCCTCTAAGATCTGGAACATGACAAGGATGGCCATGTTGACCACTGTTATTCAACATACTACTGGAATTCCTAGCGAGAGCAATTAGACAAGAGAAAAATTTAAAGAGCATCCAAATTGGAAAGCAAGAATTCAAAGTATCCTTGTTTGCTGATGATATGATCTTATATTTGGAAAAGCCTAAAGACTTCACCAGAACACTATTAGAACTGTTTTAAAAATTTAGTAAAGTTGCAGGACACAAAATCAACATACAAAAATCAGTAGCATTTCTATATGACAACAGCAAACAATCTGAAAAAGAAATTAAAAAAAAGTAATCCCGGACGGGCACGGTGGCTCAGGTCTGTAATGCCAGCACTTTAGGAGGCCGAGACGGGTGGATCACCTGAGGTCAGTAGTTCGAGACCAGCCTGACCAACATGGTGAAACCCCGTCTCTACTAAAAATACAAAAATTAGCCGGGCATAGTGGCACGTGCCTGTAGTCCCCGCTACTCAGAAGGCTGAGGCAGGAGAATCGCTTGAACCCGGGAGGCGGAAGTTGCAGTGAGCCGAGATCATGCCACTGCGCTCCAGCCTGGGTGACCCAGAGAGACTCCGTTTCAAAAAAAAAAAAAGTAATCCCCAGCCCAGCACAGTGGTTCAAGCCTGTAATCCCAGCACTTTGGGAGACTGAGGCGGGTGGATCACAAGGTCAGGAGATCGAGACCATCCTGGCTAACATGGTGAAACCCCGTCTCTACTAAAAATTCAAAAAATTAGCCGTACATGGTGGCAGGCGCCTGTAGTCCCAGCTACTCAGGAGGCTGAGGCAGGAGAATGGCATGAACCCGGGAGGTGGAGCTTGCAGTGAGCACAGATCATGCCACTGCACTCCAGCCTGGGTGACAGAGCAAGACTCCATCTCAAATAAAAAAAAAAGTAATCCCCTTTACAGTAGCCATACATAAAATTAAATACCTAGAAATTAACTGAAGCAAAAAAATGAAAGATCTCTATAATAAAATCTATAAAACACTCATGAAAGAAATTGACAAGGACATAAAAAATGAAAAAATATCCCATGTTCCTGGATTGGAAGAATCAATATTGCTAAAATGTTCATACTATCCAAAGCAATTTACAAATTCAATGCAATCCCTATCAAAATACCAATGACATTCTTCACAGAAATAGAGAAAACAATTCTAAAATTTATATGGGACCACAAAAGACCCTGAATAGCCAAAGCTATCCTAAGCAAAAGAACAAAACTACAGGAATCACATTACCTGATTTCAAATTATAGTTCAGAGCTATAGTCACCAAAACAACATGGGACTGGCATAAAAACAGGCACATAGACCAATGGAACAGAATAGAGAACCCAGAGACGTATCCACATACCTATAGTAAATTCATTTTTGACAAAGGTGTCAAGAACATACACTGGGGAACATACAGTCTCTTCAATAAATAGTGCTGGGAAAACTGGACATCCATGTGCAAAAGAATGAAACTAGACCACTATCTATCATCATATACAAAAATCAAATCAAAACTGATTGAGTGGTTAAATCTAAGACCTCAAACTATGAAACTACTACAAGAAAACATTGGGGAAATCTCCGGGACATTTGTCCGGGCAAAGATTTCTTGAGCAATACCCCACAAGCATAGACAACTAAAGCAAAAATGGACACATGGAATCGCATCAAGTTAAAAAGTTTCTAAACAGCAAAGGATACAATCAACAAAGGGAAGAGACAACCCACCGAAGGGGAGAAAATATTGCAGACTACCCATCTGACAACGGATTGACAACCAGAAAATATAAGGTGCTCAATCAACTCTATAGGAAAAAGTCCAATAATCTGACCAAAAAAATGGACAAAAGATTTAAATAGACATTTCTCAAAAGAAAACATACAAATGGCAAACGATCATATGAAAAGGTGTTCAACATCACTGATCATCAGAGAAATGCAAATTAAAACTACAATGAGCTATCATCTCACCTCAGTTAAAATGAATTATATCTAAAAGACAGGCAATAACAAATGCTGGCGAGGATGTGGAGAAAAGGAAAGCCTCATATAGTGTTGATGAGAATGTAAATCAACACAACCACTATGGAGAACAGTTTAGAGGTTCTTCAAAAAAACTAAAAATAGAGCTGCCATATGGTCCAGCAATCCCACTGCTGGGTGTATACCCAAAAGAAAAGAAATCAGTGTATTGAAGAGATACCTGCTCTCCTATGTTTGTTGCACATTGTTTACAATAACTAAGATTTGGAAGCAACCTAAATGTCCATCAACAGATGAGTGAATAAAGAATATGTGGTACAAGTACATATACACAATGGAGTACCATTCAGCCATAAAAAAGAATGAGACCCTGTCTTTTGCAACAACATAGGATGGAACTGGAGATCATTATGTTAAGTTAAATAAGCCAGGCACAGAAAGACAAACATTGCATGTTCTCACTTATTTGTGGGACTAAAAATCAAAACAATTTGCCTCATGGACATAAAGAGTAGAAGGCTAGTTATCAGAGTCTGGGAAGGATAGTAGGGGGCTGTGGGGGAGGAGTGGATGGTTAACAGCTACCAAAAAAAAGTTAGAAAGAATAAATAAAACCTACTATTTGATAATACAATAGGGTGACTATAGTCAATAATAACTTAATTGTACATTTTTAAATAAATTGAATTGTTTGTAACTCAAATGATAAATGCCTACAGGGATGGATATCTCATTCCCCATAATGTGCTTATTTCACATTGCATACCTGTATCAAAACATCTCATGTATCCCATAAATATATACACATACTATATACCTATAAAAAATAAAAATAAAATATAAAGACAGAGGTAAAAGTGAAGCATGGAAGAAGGAACTGATGCTTCGGACTCCATGAAGGCCCTGAGGTTAGAGACTGAATTTGTAAACACAACAACCTGCCTACTTAAGGGCTTGCTTAGCAGAGATCCACAACACAGGAGTAGGAGCAGAGAATTTAATGAGTGGATAAAATTAGGATGGGCATTTTCATAAGAGAGCTGTAACACAGGACAGAGTGCAAGAGAACTGAGTCATTCCTATCTCCATGCACCCTTGAATACCTAGAGCTATGAAGCCCTGTCCACCACAGACAAATACTGCCATAATCTGTTTGCTGATTTGCAAGGCAATCTAAACTATGTTGCATTTATTCCATTTTAAGGAGTGAATAATCTTGCCAAAATTCATACGTACTATATTTAAGCAATTCAATGATAATCTTATAAAAATAGCATAATATCATCAAGGCCTTACAAGTTTACATTCTTCTATTTTCTCAAATATAAGATGATGTATTACTAAAAAGAAAAATAAAACTAACTACAAAGCTATCAAGACGGTGTGTTACTAGCGTAAGAATAAGCATGTAGGCCAGGTGCAGTGGCTCACACCTGTAATCCCAGCATTTTGGGATGCCAAGGCAGGAGGATTACTTGAGCCCAGGAGGTCAAGACCAGCCTGGGTCTTGCAGTGGCACATGTCTGTGGTCCCAGGTACTCGGGAGGCTGCGAAGGGAGGACTGCTTATGCTGAGAGGTCAAGGCTGCAGTGAGCTGACATCGTGCCACTTTGTGACCTTGAGTTTGACAATGGTTTCTTAGACATGACACCAAAGCACAAGCAACAATGCAAAATGAATAAATTGGACTTTATCAAAATTAAAAACTTTTCTGTTTTAAAGGACATCATTAAGACAATGAAAAAAAACAACCCAGATAATGGGAGAAAATATTTGCAAATTACATATCTGATAAGGGACTATGTCCAGAATATATGAAGGACCTCTAATAACCCCACAATAAATAGGCAGGTAATCCAATTTAAAAACAGGCAAGTAATCTGAATAAATGATTCTCCAAAGAAGTATACAAATGACCAATAAGCACATGAAAGGGTGCTCAAGATCTTTAGTCACAGGGAACTGCTAATCAAAACCACAAAGAGATACTACTTCCCACCCACTAGGATTGCTATAATCAAAAAGACAAACAATAACAATTGTTATTGTTATTGTGAGGATGTGTATAAACTGGAAAACTAGAACCTTCATAAATTTCTGGTGGGAATATAAAATGATGCAGTCACTTTGAAAACAATTTGGCAGTTCCTCAAAAAGTTAAACATAGAAGTATATGAACTGGCAATTCCAGGAGAAATTAAAACATATCTCCACACAAAAATTTGTATACAACATTCATAGCAGCATTGTTCATAATAGTCAAAATAGTGAAAACAACTCAATTGTCCATCAGCTGATGAGTGGATACACAATATATTATATATCTATGCAATGGAATATTGTTCAGCCATAAAAATGAATGAAGGGCTGTTACATGCTACAATGGATGAACCTTGAACACATTGTGTTAAGTGAAAGAAGCCAGACACAAAAAAATACATATTGTAAGACTCCATTTATATTAAATGAGTAAGCAAATCCATGAAAACAGAAAGCAGATTAATGATTGCCTAGGACTGGGGAAAGAGATGGGAACAGGTAGTGATTGCTGGTCAGTATGGGGTTTCTTATTGGGGTGATGAAAGTGTTCTGGAATTAGTGGTGGTGGTTGCACATACTATGAATATAGTAAAAACCACTGAATGCTTTAAAATGGTAAATTTTATAGTATGTGGATTATATCTTAAGTTTTTAAAAACACACAATGAAATATCAATTGTGATAGGTTGAATAATTCTCCCCCTTCAAGATGTGTACATCCTAATCTCTGGAACCTGTGAATATGTTAGCTTACATTGTAAAGGGGGTTTTCCAGGTGTGATTACATTTAAGGATCTTGAGCTGGGGAGGTTATCCTGGATTTTCTGGATAGGCCCAATATATTCACCGGGGTCCGTTAAGAGGGAAGCAAGAGTACCAGAATCAAAAGGGGATGTGACAACAGAAACCATAGGTTGCAAAGATGTTATTTGAAGGTGGAGGAAGAGGCTATGCATGAACCAGGGAATGTACGTGGCTTCTACAAGATGGAATAGTCAGCAAGCAGTCTCCACTAAAGCCTTCAGAAGGAATGCAGTCCTGCCAACACCTTGATTTTAGCCCCCTAGGACTCATTATGTACTTCTTTTTAAACTTTTTTTCCATAGGTAATTGGGGTACAGGTGGTGTTTGTTTACATGAGTAAGTCCTTTAGTGGTGATTTGTGAGATTTTGGTGCACCCATCACCTGAGCAGTATGCACTGCACGCTATTTGTGGTCTTTTATCCCTTGCCCCTCTCCCACCCTTTCCCCCAAGTCCCCAAAATCCATTGTCTCATTCTTATGCCTTTGCATCCTCATAGCTTAGCTCCCATATATCAGTGAGAACATACAATATTTGGTTTTGTTTTTCTTTTTTTTTTTTTTTTTTTTTTTGAGACAGAGTCTCGCTCTGTCGCCCAGGCTGGAGTGCAGTGGCGTAATCTCAGCTCACTGCAACCTCCACCTCTCAAGTTCAAGCGATTCTCCTGCCTCAGCCTCCCTAGGAGCTGGGACTACCGGCGCGTGCCACTACACTTGGCTAATTTTTTGTATTTTTAGTAGAGATAGGGTTTCACCGTGTTAGCCAGGATGATCTCAATCTCCTGACCTCGTGAACCACCCGTCTCGGCCTCCCAAAGTGCTGGGATTACAAGCGTGAGCGACCGCACCCGGCCTGATGTTTGGTTTTCTATTCCTGAGTTATTTCACTTAGAATAATAGTCTCCAATCTCATCCACGTTGCTGTGAATGCTGCTAATTCATTCCTTTTTAAGGCTAAGTAGTATTCCATCATATATATATATATATACCACAGTTTCTTTATCCACTCGTTGATTGATGGGTATTTGGGTTGGTTCTTCGATTTTGCAATTTCAAATTGTACTACCATAAACGTGTGTGTGCAAGTATCTTTTTCGTATAATGACTTCTTTTCCTCTGGGTAGATACCCAGTAGTGGGATTGCTGGGTCAAATGGTAGTTCTACTTTTAGTTCTTTAAGGAATCTGCCCACTGTTTTCCATAGTGGCCGTACTAGTTTACATTCCCACCAGCAGTGTAGAAGTGTTCCCTGATCACCGCATCCATGCCAACATCTACTGTGTTTTTTTAATATTTTTATTATGGCCATTCTTGCAGGAGTAAGGTGGTATCACATTGTGGTTTTGATTTGCATTTCCCTGGTCATTAGTGATGTTGAGCATTTTTTCATATGTTTGTTGACCATTCATATATTTTCTTTTGAGAATTGTCTATTAATGTCCTTAGCCCACTTTTTGATGGGATTGTTTGGTTTTTTCCTTACTGATTTGTTTGAGTTTGTTGTAGATTCTGGATATTAGTCCTTTGTCAGATGTATAGATTGTGAAGATTTTCTCCCACTCTGTGGGTTTTCTGTTTACTCTGATAACTGTTCCTTTTGCCGTGGAGGATCTCTTTAGTTTAATTAATATTTGTTTTTATTGCATTTGCTTTTGGGTTCTTGGTCATGAAATCCTTGCCTGAGCCAATGTCTAGAAGGGGTTTTCCAATGTTATCTTCTAGAATGTTTATAGTTTCAGGTCTTAAGTTTAAGTCCTTAATACATCTTGAGTTGATTTTTGTCTAAGGTGAGAGACGAGGATCCAGTTTCATTCTCTACATGTGGCTGGCCAATTCTCCCAACACCATTTGTTGAAAAGGATGTCCTTTCTCCATTTGATATTTTTGTTCGCTTTGTCGAAGATCAGTTGGCTGTATTTGGGTTTATTTCTCATTTTTTTATTCTGTTCCATTGGTATATGTGCCTATTTTTATACCACTACCATGCTGTTTCAGTGACTATAGCCTTATAGTATACTTTGAAATCAGGTAGTGTGATGCCTCCAGATTTGTTCTTTTTGCTTAGTCTTGCTTTGATCGCGCAGGCTCTTTTTTCGTTCCACATGAATTTTAGAACTGTTTTTTCTAATTCTGTGAAGAATGATAGTGGTATTTAATGGGGATTGCATTGAATTTGTAGATCACTTATGGCAGTATGGTCATTTTCACAATATTGATTCTACCCATCCATGAGCATGGGGTGTGTTTCCATTTGTTTGTGTCATCTATAATTTATTTCAGCAATGTTTTATAGTTTTCCTTGTGGAGGTCATTCGCCTCCTTGGTTAGGTATATTTCTAAGAATTTTTTTTTTTTTTTTGCGGCTATTCTAAAAGGGGCTGGGTTCTTGATTTGGTTCTCTGCTTGGTTGCTGTTGGTGTATAGAAGAGCTACTGATTTGTGTACATTAGTCTTGTATCCAGAAACTTTGCTGAATTATTTTATCAGTTCCAGGAGCTTTCTGGAGGAGTCTTTAGGGTTTTCAAAGTAAACAATCATATTGTAAGCAAACAGTGACAGTTTGACTTCCTCTTTACCTATTTGGATGCCCTTTCTTTCTTTCTCTTGTCTGATTGCTCTGGCTAGGACTTCCAGTACTATGTTGAAGAGGAGTGGTGAGAGTAGGCATCCCAGTCTTGTTCCAGTTTTCAGAGGGAATGCTTTCTACTTTTCCCCATTCAGTATTATTTTGCGCCATGGGTTTGTCATAGATGGCTTTTATTACATTGAGGTATGTCCCTTGTATGCCAATTTTGCTGAGAGCTTTAATCATAAAGGATGCTGGATTTTGTCAAATGCTTTTTCTGCACCTGTTGAGATGATCGTGTGATTTTTGTTTTTAATTCTGTTTATATGGTGTATCACATTTATTGATTTGCATAGGTTGAACGATCCCTGCATAGCTGGTATGAAACCCATTTGATCATGGTGGATTATCCTTTTGATATATTGTTGGATTTGGTTAGCTAGTATTTTGTTAAGGATTTTAGCGTCTATGTTCATCAGGGATATCAGTCTGTACTTTTCTTTTTTGGCTATGTCCTTTCCTGGTTTTGGTATTAAAGTGATGCTGGCTTCGTAGAATAAATTAGCGAGGGTACCCTGTTTCTCTATCTTGTGGAATTGTGTCAAAATGATTGGTATCAATTCTTCTTTGAATGTCTCATAGAATTCTGCTGCGAATCTGTCTGGTCCTGGAATTTTATTGTTGTTGGTAATTTTTAAATTACCATTTCAATCTCACTGCTTGTTATTGGTCTGTTCAGGGTGTCTAATTCTTCCTGGTTTAAGCTAGGAGGGTTGTATTTCTTCCAGGAATTTATCCATCTCTTCTAGGTTTTCTAGTTTATGTGCATAAAGGTATTCATAGTAGCCTTGAATGATCTTTTGTGCTTCAGTGGTGTCAGTTGTAATATCTCCCATTTCATTTCTTAATGAGGTTACTTGGATTTTCTCTCTTCTTGGTTAATCTTGCTAATGGTCTATCAATTTTATTTATCTTTTCAGAGAACCAGCTTTTTGTTTCATTTATCTTCTGAATTGTTTTTTTTTTGTTTGTTTGCTTGTTTGTTTGTTTCAATTTTATTTAGTTCTACTCTGATCTTGGTTTTTCCTTTCTTCTGCTGGGCTTGGGTTTGGTTTGTTCTTGTTTCTCCAGTTCCTTGAAGTGTGAGCTTAGAATGTCAGTTTGTCCTCTTCCAGTCTTTTTGCTGTAGGCATTTAGGGCTATGAACTTTCCTCCTAGCACCACCTTAGCTGTATCCCAGAGGTTTTGATAGGTTGTGTCATAATTGTTATTCAGTTTGAATAATTTTTTAACTTCCATCTTGATTTTGTTTTTGACCCAGTGATCATTCAGGAGCAGGTTATTTAATTTTCATATATTTGCATGGTTTTGAAGGTTTTTTTTTTTTTTTTTTTTAGTGGATTTCCAGTTTTATTCCCACTGTGGTCTGAGAGAGTGCTTGATATAATTTCAATTTCCTTAAATTTATTGAGGCTCATTTTGTGGCCTATCATATGGTCTATCTTGGAGAAAGTTCCATGTGCTGTTGAATAGAATGTGTATTCCACAGTGGTTGGATGAAATGTTCTGTATATACCTGTTAAGTCCATTTGTTCCAAGGTATACTTTAAATTCATTGTTTCTTTGTTGACTTTCTCTCTTGATGACCTGTCTAGTGCTGCCAGCGGAGTATTGAAGTCCCCCACTATTATTGTGTCGCTGTCTATCTCATTTCTTGGGCCTATTAGTAATTGTTTTATAAATTTGGGAGCTTCAGTGTTAGGTGCATATATGTTCAGGATTGTGATATTTTCTTGTTTGGCAAGGCCTTTTACCATTATATAATGTCCCTCTGTCTCTTTTCACTGCTGTTGTTTTAAAGTTTGTTTTGTCTGATATTGAAATACCTACCCCTGCTCACTTTTGGTGTCCATTTGCATGAAATGCCTTTTTCCATCCCTTTACTTTAAGTTTATGTGAGTCTTTATGTGTTGGGTGAGTCTTCTGAAGGCAGAAGATAGTTGGTTGGTGAGATTTTATCCATTCTGCAGTTCTGTATCTTTTAAATGGAGTACTTAGGCTACTTACATTCAATGTTAGTATTGAGATGTGAGGTACCATTCCGTTCATCATGCTATCTGTTGCCTGTGTACCTTGGTTTTTTGGGGTTTTGTTTTTGCTTTTTAAATTGTATTTTTGTCTTATAGGTCCTGTGCGATTTATCCTTTAAAGAGGTTCTGTTTTGATGTGCTTCCAGGATTTCTTTCAAGATTTAGAGTTCCTTTTAGCAGTTCTTGTAGTGGTGGCTTGGTAGTGGCAAATTCTCTCAGCCATTGTTTGTCTGAAAAAGACTCTATGTTTCCTCCATATATGATGCTCAGTTTCACTGGATACAAAATTCTTGGCTGATAATTGTTTTGTTTGAGGAGGCTGAAGATAGGGTCCCTATTCCTTCTAGCTTGTAGGGTCTCTGCTGAGAAATCTGCTGTTAATCTGATAGGTTTTCCTTTATAGGCTACCTGGTGCTTTTGTCTCACAGCTCTTAAGATTCTGCCCTTTGTCTTGCCTTTAGATAACCTGATGACAATGTGCCTAGAGGTGTTCTTTGTGCTTCGTGTATTTGGATGTCTAGGTCTTTAGCAAGGCTAGGGAAGTTTTCCTCAATTATTCCCCCAAATATGTTTCCAAACTTTTAAATTTCTCTTCTTCCTCAGGAACACCGATTATTCTTAGGTTTGGTCGTTTAACACAATCCCAGACTTCTTGGAGGCTTTGTTCGTATTTTCTTATTCTTTTTTCTTTGTTTTTATTGGATTGGGTTAATTCAAAGACCTTGTCTTCGAGTTCTGAATTTCTTTCTTCTACTTGTTCACTTCTATTGCTGAGATTTTCCAGAGCATTTTGCATTTCTATAAGTGTGTCCAATGTTTCCTGAAGTTTTTATTGTTTTTTTTCTTTATGCTCTCTATTTCCTTGAATATTTCTCCCTTCACTTCTTGTATTGTTTTTTGGATTTCCTTGCATTGGGCTTTGCCTTTCTTTGGTGCCTCCCTGATTAGCTTAATATCTAACCTCCTGAATTCTTTTTCAGGTAAATCAGGGATTTCTTCTTGGTTTGGATCCATTGCTGGTGAGCTAGTGTGATTTTGGGGGTTTGTTAAAGAGCCTTGCCTTGTCATATTACCAGAGTTGATTTTCTGGTTCTTTCTCATTTGGGTAGGCTCTGTCAGAGGGAAGATCTGGGGCTGAAGGCTGTTGTTCAGATTCTTTTTTCCCACGGGCTGTTCCCTTGATGTAGTACTCTCCTCCTTTGCCTATGGATGTGACTTTCTGAGAGCCACGCTGTGGTGATTGTTACCTCTCTTCTGGGTCTAGCCACCCAGCAGGTCTACCAGACTCCAGGCTGGTACTGGGGGGTTGTCTGCACAGAGTCCTGTGATGGGAACTGTCTATGGGTCTCTCAGCCATGGGTACCAGCGGCTGTTCCAGTGGAGGTGGCAATGGGGTGAAATGAACTCTGTGAGGGTTCTTAGCTTTGATGGTTTAATGTTCTATTTTTGTGCTGGTTGACCTCCTGCTGGGGGGTGTCGCTTTCCAGAGAGCATCAGCTATGGCAGTATGGAGTGGAACCAGTGTTGAGTGGAGCCCTAGAACTCCCAAGAGTATATGCCCTTTGTCTTCAGCTACCAGGGTAGGTAGGGAAGGACCATCAGGTGGGTCCAGGGCTAGGCGTTTCTGAGCTCTGACTCTCCTTGGGCGTGTTTTGCTGCAGCTGCTGTTGGGGATGGGGGTGAGGTTCCCAGGTCAATGGCATTGTGTAGCTAGGAGGATTATGTGTACCTCTTCTGAGTCATACAGGTTGTCTGGGAAGTGGGGGAAAGCCAGCAGTCACAGGCCTCACCCAGCTCCCACGCAATCTGAAGGGCCTGTCTCACTCCCACCGTGCCCCCCCAACAGCACCAAGTCTGTTTCCAGGCAGTGGGCGAGCAGGGCTTAAGGACTTGCCCCAGGATACCCGCCTACCAGCTGTGAAAGAAAGAGGCTTTGGTTCTTCCCCTGCCTGTGGAGTCTGCACACGGGATTCACTCCCTCCCCCGAGTTCTGGCCAGGAGGCTTCTCGCTCAGTTCAAATTGTTGCAAATTTCAGCTGGAGACTTCCTTCTCCCTGTGGCGTTTCTCCGCGCCTCTGGCCACCCTCCTGAAGGATCCCTGTGATTCCAGGCAGGAATGGTCTGCTTGGAGACCCGCAAGCTTTCAGGGCCTTTCCCACTGCTTCCTCTACCCTCATATTTCACTTGGCTCTCTAAATTGACTCAGCTCCAGGTAAGGTCAGAAACTTCTCGCACAAACTAGACCTTCAGTTTCTCCAGTAGGGTTGTATGTTCTGGAGCAGAGGATCTCCCATTCCCATTTCTGCAGTTTGGGCACTCACAGTATTTAGGGTGTCTCCCAGGTCCTGCAGGAGCAGTCTGCTTCTTTCATAGGGTCTGTGGGTCCTCTTGGGATTCCTGGTTTGTTCTTGGAGTCATTCTAGAGCTAAAATTCACGATGCAAGCCTCCGCACACTGCTCTGTCCATCCAAGTTGGAGCTGCAATCTAGTCCTGCCTCCTGTCTGCCATGATGATCCCTGATTCTCTCATTTTGTACTTCTGATTTCCAGAAGTGTAAGATAATTTTTTTTTTTTTTTTTTTTTGAGATGGAGTCTCGCTCTGTCACCCAGGCTGGAGTGCAGTGGCGCAATCTCGGCTCACTGCAAGCTCCGCCTCCCGGGTTCACGCCATTCTCCTGCCTCAGCCTCCAGATTAGCTAGGACTACAGGCGCCCGCCACAACGCCCAGCTAATTTTTTGTATTTATTTTAGCAGAGACAGAGTCTCACCGTATTAGCCAGGATGGTCTCGATCTCCTGACCTCATGATCCGCCCGCCTCGGCCTCCCAAAGTGCTGGGATTACAGGCGTGAGCTACCGCGCCCGGCCCCGATAAATTTTTGTTTTAAGTCACTAATCCCTATACAACAATGGAAAACTAACACACCATTTAAATCCAATACATAAATAAATAGCTAAAACAAAAAATGATCATATTAAGTGCTGGTAAGGATGTGGAGCATCTAGAACTCTTACATGCTGCTAGTGGAAATGTGAACTGGTATAATCATTTTGGAAAACAGTTTGGTAGTTTCTTAGAAAGGTAAAACATATATCTACCATATGATCCAACCATTTCACTCCTAGATTTTTACCTAAGGGAACAGGAAACATATGTTTATATAAAGACATATACATAAAGATTTATAGCAGCATTATTAATAATAGCCAGAAAGTAAAAACAATCCAAATGTCTGTTAACAGATTCATGGATTAACAAAATGTGATATATGTATATAATGGAATACTACTTACGAATAAAAAGGAACAGACTATTTTTACACACTGAAACATAGATGAATCTCAAAGTAATTATGCTGAGCAAAACAAGCCAGGAAAACAGTACATAATGTTTGATTCCATTTATATAAAACTCTCAAAAATGTAAAATAATCTAAAATTTTGACAGTAGTTGCCTATGGACAGGGGATGTGGAGATGGGGGTTGGAAATTAAAGAGGGTTGTGAGGCAGGAATTAAACAACAGTATGAGGAAACTTTGGAGTGATGGATATATTCCTTATCTTGATTTAGAGATTTTATGGAAGTATACATATGTCAAAACTTTTTTTTCCAAAAAGCTCAACCTCAAGCATATGTCAAAACTTATCAAACTTTATATATATGTGTGTACATATGTATAAAATATGTATTATTTATACCCTCTCATGGGTATATAGCAGCTTAATTAATGCATATAAAATTGATTTGTACAATATGAAGAAAACAAAATTGACAAGGGATTAATAACTGGAATATACAAGAAGCTCAAACAACTCTATAGCCAAAAATAATAATAATAATACAATCTGAAATGCTCAAAAGATCTGAATAGCCATTTCTGAAAAGAAGACGTGCAAATGGCCAACAGATATATGAAAAAATGCTTAATGTCTCTAATAATCAGGGAAATATAAGTCAAAACCACAGTGAGATATCATCTCACCACAGTTAAAAATGGCTTTTATCAAAAAGACATGCGGTAGCAGATGCAGGTAAGGATGTGGAGGAAGGGAAACACTGGTACACTGTTGCTGGGAATATAAATTAGTACAGCTACTATGAAGAACAGTATGGGTGTTCCTCAAAAAAACTAAAAATAGAACTGCCATATGATCCAGCAATTCCACTACTGGGTATATATCCAAAAGAAAGGAAATCAAATATATTGAAGAGACATCTGTACTCCCCTCTTTATTGCAGCACTATTCACAAGAGCTAAAATATGGAATCAAACAAAGTGCCTATAAACAGATGAATGGATAAAGAAAATGCGGTATATGTACACAATGGAATATCGTTTAGCCATAAAAAGATGAAATCCTGTCACTTGCAGCAACATAGATGGAACTGGAAGTCATTATGTTAAGTGAAATAAGCCAAGCACAGAAAGACAAATATTGCATGCTCTTATTCATATGTGGGGGGTAAAAAAGTGGATCTCGTGAAGATAGAGAGTAGATTGGTGGTTACCAGAAGTGGTTCCAGGTTTCTGGTTAACCTGGTGGTTCCTGGTTCCTCTGGTAACCACAGAGGTGAAGAGAAGTTGATTAATGGGTACAAATATACAGTTAGATAGAAGGAATAAGATTTAGTGTTCAATAGATCAGTAGAGTGACTATAGTTTACAATAATCTATTGTACATTTCAAAATAGCTAGAAGAGAATAATTCAGATGTTTTTAACATAAAGGAAAGACAAATATTTAAGGTGATGGCTCTCCCAAGTACACTGATTTTATGTTTATAAATTATATGAATATATTAAATTATCAAGTGTACCCTGTACTATTACAATGAATAAAAAATATTTTAAAATAAAAGCTAAGTTCCTAAGAAAAAATTACATACAAACATGGACAACACATGGATTAGAAAACTAAAAGTGAAAGGTAACTGCTTTGTGCTGCTGTAACAGAATACCTAAAACTGGGTAATTTATAAAGCACAGAGAATTCTTTCTTACAGTTCTGGATGTATGAAGTCCAAGGTCAATGGGCCCCCATCTGGTGAGGGCCTTCTTGCTGCATCATCCCATGGCAGAAGGTGGAAGAGAAAGAGAGCACGCTTATGCAAGAGAGAAGAGAGAGAACAAGCAGAAGAGGAGGACAAACTTGCTTTTTTAACAAACTCACTCTTGCAATATGAGCTCACTCTCACGATAACATGAATCCATTCACAAGGATAGAGCCTTCATGTCCTAATCACTTCTAAACGGTCCCACCTACCAACACTGCTGCACTGGGAATTAAGTTTCCAACACATGAACTTTGGGGACACATTTAAACCATAACAGTAATACTATAACTTTAATAAGAGATGGAGAAAAAAAAATTTGTGAGCTGGGAGTGGAGAGTGAATTGGGGGAAGAACTTTTTAAACAAGATCGCAAAAGTGAAATTGTAAGGCAAATCTTTGATTCATTTGAATATGTTAAAATTAAGGATTTCTATTCAACAGAGAACATTACTAGGAAGATGATAAAATTGAAGAAAATGGGCACGGTGGCTCATGCCTGTAATCCCAGCACTTTGGGAGGCCGAGGCAGGCTGATCATGAGATCAGAAATTTGAGACTAGCCTGGCAAATATGGTGAAACTCCATCTCTACTAAAGATACAAAAAAAAAAAAGAAAGAAAGAAAGAAAAATTAGCCGGGTGCAGTAGCGTGTGCCTGTAATCCCAGCTACTTGGGAGGCTGAGGCAGGAGAATCATGTGAACCCAGGAGGCAGAGGTTGCAGTGAGCTGAGATTGTGCCATTGCACTCCAGCCTGGGTGACAGGGCAAAACACTGTCTCAAAAAAAAAAAAAATTGAAGAAAATATTTTCAATGTCTAAAACTGACAAAGAATTGATACCTAAAATATATAAGAACTCTGGAAAATTAACAATAGCAAAAACTCAGCAACTTCAGTAGGAAAAATGGGCAAATTATATCGATAGGCAATTTACATAAAAGCAAACACAAAAGACTGGTAAGCATATGTAGAGATGTTCAACTCATCCCTAATCACAGAAATGTAAATTTTTAAGAAACAATGAAATATAACTTTGTATCTATTAAGCTGACAAATTTTTTTTTTTATTTTTACAGAACCAAGGTCAGAAGAGATAAATTGACAAAATTTAGAAAGCAAGGGCCAAGTGCTGGTGGAGACTGGAAATATAGGAACTCTCATGCAGGTGAAAGTGTAGATTTGTACTATTATTCCAGAGAACTAACTGAAAGCAGACAGTTAAACTTGAGTCATGCCCCATGCCCCAGCAATTTTGTTCCTGAGTCGGTATCCCAGAGAAATTCTCCCATGAATTCAGGTACAGGTATGTTCACTGCAGCATGGTTTGTGGTGGTGGAAAGTTGGAGATGCTGGGAGAGTGGATGCATATTGTGGAGTACCATGCAGCAGAAGAAAGCAATGAGCTAGATTGGACATATGAACATAGCAACATGGATGAAGCTTTTAAACACAGTACTGGGGAGAAATGAGAAATACAACACGATGCCATTTACATACACTGAAAAATATGCATCCAAGATACTTAGTTTGCAAGAGTACCTAAAAATTAAAAGATATACATTAAACACATTAGAATAGCTGTATATGGAGTGAGAAAAGGAAATAGCTATTGAACATGGGGATGGAAAGGAATAACTAAACAAGGGATGGGCATAGCTCAGACCAATAATAATGCAAAAATAAAATACCAGAATATAAAATAATTCATCCAGCCAGGCGCGGTGGTTCATGCCTGTAATCCCAGCACTTCGGGAGGCTGAGGCGGGTGGATCACAAGGTCAGGAGTTCAGAACTGCTTGAACCCAGGAGGCAGAGGTTGCAGTAAGCCAAGATCGTGCCACTGCACTCCAGCCTGGGCAACAGAGTGAGTCTCCATCTCAAAAAAAAAAATTCATCCAGAAGGCAATAAAAGTAGCCAATGTATAGATTTCAAGAACTACAAAAGCCAAATGTCTAACTCTTCAAAAAGGTCATAGGATAAGGAACAAAGAGTGGCTATGTTAGTGGCTTAGCCTACAAGCTGAGCTGCTAAAGAAAATATCTAGAACTAATATCCTAGAAAGAGCTAACACTGCCGAATTTCAGAGTGAAGATTCCTTTCTTTTTCATGATTTATCTATCTTTGCCACTTCTGTGTTTAGATATAGAAACTATTTTGAATCTAGAGTCATATATTTGTGGAGCTGGGACTACAGTCCCTGCCTCTTGAGCCCATGAGTTTTGGAACTTAGATGTAAGAAAGAATTTTACACTGGGCCAAATAATTGAGGGAGTTTGCATCTCTGAAATCTTAAAAAGCAGAAAACACTGTAAGTTTTCCAGGTCAATTTAAAAGCTCTGGTCCATATGACATTTCCATGTCTCTAGCAATCCTGACCATCATTTACCTGACTTATCCCTTAAATGATCATTTTGTGTCTACTCCACTAAGTGCAATATGCAGAATGAGAAATAATATAATTCCTTTTACTTTGAAGTTTTATGTAGATCAGAAAATAAAAGTAAGGAAGTATTCTTCCTTCATGGGTAATTTATCATTTTTATTTACAAGTAAGGAACAATAATAAACATGGCAAGGTGCTTGGGTAGATGCTCAGATGCTCAGTGGTCATTTCTAGACAATCCCTTATTCAAGGATCTAGTCTCTATAGTTGGCCACACATTTTAAGATGGACTACATTTGGAAAACTCACTTATATAGTACTCAGCTTAACACTAGCAGGCACTGAAAAAGACCATCTTTCTTGATTCAAATATTCATTCATCTAACAAATGAATATATATTTAGTGCCTAATATGCCAGGGTGAGATGGAGGATAAAGTCAATAGATTAGAGGCTCTGAGTATATTCCATAAGGGCACAGTCTTCACCAATAGCATAGGAAATTCACAGGACAAGGGTATAAGTGGAGCCACCAGCTTTTGGACCAGGAAAGTTGTTTTTTAGTAACTGTATTGCTTAGAAATCCTAGAATTCTCACTTACTCTTGTGCTAGTCTGCACATTTCCTTCATAACTAGGGTAGCCCCTGCATCTCCCTAGAAAATGCAAAGTATAGGATTTTTAGCAGATAGCATTCCCAATGTAAGATCTGATGTGGTTGAGGGGCCTCAAAGTAGATTAGGGTTTTTAAGAGTTTTAATTATTTACAAACAACACTTTCTGGTTAATTTGATAAAGGAATAAATTTGAGTCACAAAAGACCTCACTAGTGCTCTATGCCATTAAATCTTTGCTGATATTGGGGATCCTGCTGCCAGGATTTTGGTGTGGAAGATTAACAGGGTTTGCTGATGAGCAAAGGGAATACTAAGCCAAGGTTTGCTGCACAGCGCTTTGGATTTTAATGGTGACATTTTATACCTCAACAGCTCAATAAATATGTAAGAAGATAGTGGCATTAGCGTGTCCCCAGATACAGCCTCCAATGGGTTAACATAATGAGGCAGTATAAATTCACAGTTGGTCAATCTGCCCAGATTTCTAAACTCCCCACTTTATTGTGTGGAAATTTCCTACAGGAGATTTCAGAATCAATAATTCTCTATCAGAGGCTTTAAGGAAGCAAAAGAAGCCTTACCCAGTTACCTGCTGTGTCTCTGAGGGGAGGCCAGAGTCATGATTAAGCCCCAACCCAACTCCTCAGCTCAGCTGCAGCTATAATTAAGGATAAGCCATAATCTGCCTTTAAAATATCTTCCACTTTTCATGCCTTCCTTTCACAACCATAACTATTTAAAAAAATCAAATCATCAAGGGCTCAAATTGAGTCTTTATCCTGTCCTCCTATTTCAGTTATCAAATGTGTAAATCTTTGAGCTCTGCTGTCTGATTCTGAAGAGCCTGTTCAAGTGCTTTTTAATAATTTAGTGATTTGAGGGATTTTAACACTCATTCTCCCTTGGGCACCTGCTGATATTCTGAAGTACAAACTTTGTACTCCAATCTCGGTTTTGATCAGAGTATAGAGTTCTGGAGTTGACAAATGAAATGTGACTAAAGACCTGCTAACCTGTCCTGCTTGCCAGACTCCCAACGGAAAAAGGTTCTTGTTACTGCAGCTGATTTGACACTGACTGTGACAAGGAGCCCAGAGTAGGCAGAGACAGCACATAGCCCAGTTGCAGTGGTATGGGACTTTTTGTTTAAACATTTTCAGTAGAGTGCCCAGACAGGCTAATTAGTAGAACCACAAAAAAGGTGGACCCAATCTCACCCAAAGGAGACAACCCAAGAAAATAATTGCTTCGGCTGAAATGGACAAACTTGATTGGTATGACCCCAAATATTTAATGATTACTCTGTACCCTTAGCCTTGGCAAGTACAGAGCACTGTTCCTTTCTCAACATATGGCAAAAGGCCCATGGCACTTTTCAAAACCCTGCCTTTCATTTTTTTTCTCATTACTGATGAGAAAGCAGTTGGTATATTTAAATATGCATGCCCACATAGGTACATAGGCTTATACGTATGCATATGCACGAATGCAGTTAGTCAACATTTATTGAATGCAGAACACTATGTGGCAGGAAGTACCAGGGGAAATTAAAAAAAAAACACCTAATCTCTGCCCACATGATAGTTATGGTCTGATGGACAATTTGTGATGCATAGGAAGATGAACAAAAATTGATTACTCTAGAGATAAAAGCCTCTCTGTCTTTTGTAACACTTTTTTTTTCTCGTGAGTACAAAAGTAATGCATGTTTCTTACAAAAACTTTGGAAAATAATCACCTGCAATGCCAGTGCCCAGAAATATATACTGTATTAACGTTTAAATATACATCCTTCAGACTTGTTTTTTCTATGTTCATAAAATGTCTTTAAAACGAAATTGGACTCATACTATTTTACAAACTGACTTTTTCATTTGACAATGTGTCATAAACATTTTCCATGTCATTAAACTTATAAAATATTTAATGATACTATAATATTTAATCATAAAATATGTGACAATTTATTAACAAATGCTCTAATACACAACAATGTGAATATACTTAATACTACCAAACTGTTCACTTAAAAATGGTTAAGGTGGTTTTTAAAATCTTTGAAAAACAGAGCTGGGCGCATTGTGGCTCATACCTGTAATCCCAGCACTTTGGGAAGCCGAGGAGGGAGGATAGCTTGAGCCTAGGAGTTCCAGATCAGCCTGAGCAACAGAGAGAGACTCTGTCTCCACAAAAAAATTAAAAAATTAGCCTGGCATGGTTGTGGGTGCCTGTTGTCCCAGCTACTTGGGAGGCTGAGGTGCGAGGATTGCTTCAGCCGGGGAGGTCGAGGCTGCAATGAGCCATGTTAGCACCACTGCACTCCAACCTGGGCAACAGAAGAAGACTCCATCTCATACACACATACACACTCACACACACACACACACACACACACACACACACAAACACGTAATTATTGAAGAATGTTAGGGTGTTGCAGCTTTTTGCTATTATAAATAGCTCCACAATGAAAACTCCTTTAGTGTTATTTTTGTGCATGTGCATATCCCTGATTCTTTCTTTAGGAAAAATTCCTAAAATTGGAACTGCTAAGCTAAAGGTATGAACAAAACTAGAAATGGCTTTTTAAATTTTTATTGACCTCTGTACAAACACAAAAAATATAAATGTTTTTATTGCTTATGATTATAAAAATAATTCATGCTTGTAATTTTTTCAGAAAATGGCAAAAAATATTTAGAAAAATGAATGTTACCTTTAACCACATGATTCAGAGATAAACACTATTAATATTTTGGTGAATATCTGTTCAGACTTTTTTCTCTTCATATGTATTATTATACATACTTAAAATAGGAGCATACTATATTTGGTAATCTATATTGTCATATTACAACATATCATAAATATCTTTCCATATCGATAAATAATCAATAAATATAGGCAGGCTTAGTCATATTTCATTTCTGTAATACATTTCACTATACAATTGTGCCATAAGTTATGTAAACAATACTGAACTTTTGAATATTTAGATTGTTTCTGGTTTTGCATTATTATTAACAACAATGTTTTGATGAGCAGTCTTATCTACACAGCTTTGTGCATTTATGTGATTATTTTTCAAGATAAGTTCCCAAACGTAGAATTCCTAAGAAAAAGGGCATACACATTTATTTTATTTTATTTGTATTGATATATAATATTTGTACATTTTGACATGCACATTTTTTTCAGGTTTGTCAAAGATCAGATGGTTGTAGATGTGTGGTGTTACTTCTGAGGTCTCTGTTCTGTTCCATTGATCTACATCTCTGTTTTGGTACCAGTACCATGCTGTTTTGGTTGCTGTAGCCTTGTAGAATAGTTTGAAGTCAGGTAGTGTGACGCCTCCAGCTTTGTTCTTTTTGCTTAGGACTGACTTGGCAATGCGGGCTCTTTTTTGGTTCCATATGAACTTTAAAGTAGTTGTTTCCAATTCTGTGAAGAAAGTCATTGGTAGCTTGATGGGGATGGCATTGGATCTATAAATTACTTTGGGTGGCATGGCCATTTTCATGATATTGATTCTTCCTATCCATGAGCATGGAATTTTCTTCCATTTGTTTGTGTCAGGAGGAGGTTTTTTTAAAAGAGACATAGTCTGGCTCTGTCACTCAGGCTGGAGTGCAGTGGCACGATCATAGCTCACTGCAGCCTTGAACTCCTGGGCTCAAGCAGTCCTCCTGCCTCAGCCTCTGAAATAGCTAAGACTACAGGCATACACCATCAAGACCAACAAAGTTGTTTAAAAAAAAATTGTAGAGACAGAGGGTCTCGCCTTTTTGCCTAGGCTGGTCTGTAACTCCCTGGTTCAAGTGATCCTCCTACCTAGGCTCCCAAAGTGCTGAAATTATAGGTATCAGCCACTGCACCCAGGACATTTTTTACATAACATGGCTTTATCCGTATGGATACTATTTTTGGACTTTTGTTGTTCAACGTTAATTAATTGCCTCAACATCACTGATTAAAAAGTAATCTATTATTCAGTTGATTTGAAATGCCATCTTTATCAGATATGTACTTGGAATATTTGTGTATGATTTGAGTTTCTATCCCCGCCCCACTATCTATTCATTCCTGTATCTAGCACTACTTCTTTGACATTCTCTTAAAATAATAATAGTATATCATGTTTGCTCCCAATTAAGTTCTTCTCTAGGCACTCAAGTTCACAGAACTAACCTTGCCTACAATGTGTAACTGCCTAGAGTGTGATTTGTTATCAAGCACTCCCACCAAAAAATGTCTTCCCTGCCAAACTGCTATGGCTCCCAGAAGGCCTCCCTTTAGGTTATACCAAAGTTCCCAAACAGGTTGCACATTCAAATTACTATTTTTTTAAATACAGATATCTTGACTCCACCCCAGACCTACTGAATCAGACTTGCTCTGGTACCAGTGATTTGGAGCTTTAGAGGTCACTGGTTTCAAGAACAAAAGGCAGCAAGTATCTCAAGCATGCAAGAGTTAAAACCCATATGTATTACCTGGAGTCTCCTCCAATCTTCTCTCCTAAACTGGAAATTGGTTTATCCAATCTGTGCTAATGAACACTTTCAACTAGGCCACTAAGGAGACTTAAACCCTAAGAGGAAAAACTACAGAACTAGCTTACTTTGGAAGGGAAGGAAGAAACATAATGTAGTAACTTCTGGACAGGAATGAGTTCCAGGCCAGGAAAGTCAATCCAAAAGAGTTTTCCTTGCTTGTTATTCAGCACGTCTTCGGTAATATTCAGATGAACATTCTGTAATTTTCCTCTGTTGCCCAGGCTGGAGTGCAATGGTGCGATCTCGGCTCACTGCAAGCTCCACCTCCTGGGTTCACACCATTCTCCTGTCTCCGCTTCCCGAGTAGCTGGGACTACAGGCGCCCACCACCATGCCCGGCTAATTTTTTGTATTTTTAGTAGAGACAGGGTTTCACCATGTTAGTCAGGATGGTCTCGATCTCCTGCCGCATGATCCATCCATCTCGGCCTCACAAAGTGCTGGGATTACAGGCGAGAGCCACTGCGCCCAGGCCAAACATTCTGTATTTTAATAATTATGTATTGATTTTTTGACTATCATCCATTTATGGCAAGTGATACTGGTTTTCCATTTGTAATAGTGATATAAAATATCACTTTAATTAATATATTTACATTTTAATAGGTAAGTCCTTTTCTAAAAATCAAGAACAAGATATAACAAAAGTCTTAAACATAGCTAAGAATAATTAAAGTTGGGTAAACACTGACAATGAGATTCCTGGGGTAGATGCTTGAAAGTCTAGTTGGGGGAGGGATGCTGAAAAGACAACCAAAATAGGTTTTGTCTATCTGACAAATTTGTTTAGGGTCAGAGCTAATATTAACTATATTGGTGTCTCTTAGGTCCCCCACCTCGTTTTGTATTGGCTTATAATGCATTTGTTCAGTGGGCAGTATGTCAAGCAGTACAATTTCAATTCCACATGAATGGAAAATGACCAATCTATCTATGCTGCTGCCTAAGTCTGATGTTCTATTTATGACTCTAGGCTTCTTGCTGAATCAAGTTCTAGACCAAAGAAAAGAGTAGGAGATTTAGTTATGTGCCTTACTATGATGATATTTTTATTACTGTGTATCTTTTTGTAGAAGATTTTAAAAAAACTGAACAGTAATCCAGGACTGTGGCATTCTGAGTCAGAGAAACTCCTCACTCTTTGCTCTTTGAAAAATAGACTGAATTCTATCTAAAAAGAAGACTTTTTAGGTGTTCAAAGTCAGGCAGATTCAAGCAATAATCCTTCCTTCAAAAGTGCAAGTGTGCCTTCCAGTATGGGAGTAACTGAGAGACCATGATGGAGAAGATAGTGCATTGAGTGAAAAGGAGCATGAAGTATTTCTTTTTCTCTGTTCAGTGATCAGACCAATGCAGGTCAGCCACTATAAATTTGAAAGGGCTATAAGGGAGATAGGCACTTAACATTTGAGAAACAAATGCATCTGTTGGCCCAGTGCTCTGTGGGGAATACAAAAGCATCTAAAGTAAAAATACTCAATTCCACTGCCTATTCTGGGTCACGTGGGTGTGTCTCTTTAATAAGCCACTTGCAGTTCTTTTTCTGTCTAAGGTGTGCTATTTTCCTGAGAGGCTGGTTTGTAGAAGTAGATAAAGTACTTAAACACATGGTCTGAACTCTAAAGTCAGACAGACTCAGTTTGAATCCCTGGGTCTTCCACTTACTAGCTGTATTACATTGCTAAAGTTACTTTAAACTTTAATTTTCCCAGCTGTAATATGGGTATAATAATACTTATGCCACAGGTTTATCGCGAGCCTTAAGTAAGATACTTAGTACAGAGGCTGACACATTTTAAATGTACAATAAATACTATTTTTATTAACTACTTATTACCATTTATGTAGGTAGTAAGGTGTATTTTTAAATAGCATATTTTATCCTTGAACTAAGAGTTGTAGAAGACTGATAGCCATTTTCTCACAGCTGGATTATCTAGAGTGCTTGAAAATATGTAGTGCAGCACTGCCAGTGCTTTCCCGAAGTCAGACACTGCATCCTTTTTCTAAATATTTCCAAGTGCTCTTGTTTTGCCAAAAAGAAAAAAGTAATGAACCTAGCCAAATAAATAGGTGACTTTGGCCGATTTCTGCCATAAGGAGAGAGAGAGGAAGAGGGGCAAGAGGTGGAAGGGAGAAAGGAAGAAGGAGAGAGAACTTATATTTGAAAAGACTATGCCAGCCGGGAGTGGTGGCTCATACCTGTAATCCCAGCACTTTGGGAGGCCAAGGCGGGAGGATCACCTGAAGTCAGGAGTTTGAGACCAGACTGGCCAACACAGTGAAACCCCATCTCTACTAAAAATAGAAAAATTAGCGGGACGTGGTGGTGGGCAAGCAAGACTCTGTCTCAAAAAAAAAAAAAAAAAAAAAAAAAAAACACCAAAGCAATCAAACAAACAAAAAACCATGCCCATTCAAGATCATTAGTATAAGGTATACAGATAGAACTTCTGAGGAAAGAAATTGCCAGCAGAGCCACTTCATCTATTAAATAATCTTTAAGAAAACATTTTTTAGATTTATGATTCATTTGAGACCTGGTTAGGAGCTAGGAGACCTGGGTTGTTACATGCAGCATGCACTTAGAGTCCAAACCTATCTCCTTTATTTACTAGTTGTGTGATCGCAGATAAATTTTGTTTTTTCCTGTTGTTTCTCACTGCTTTAGGCTTCATTTTCCTCACCTATAAAATGTTCATAACATCTTACAAGGTTTATTGGTGAGAAGTAAATGAGATAGTGTGCCTATTTCTGGCACATAGTAGGGCCATGATAAATGGTAGCTATTATTGATTTAAGTATATCCATCTTCCAAACACTTCTCTGCAGATAGCCTGCATCTGAATTTTCTGGGGAGTTTATTTAAAATGAAGATGCCTGAATTCCACCCAAAAATGTCTAAATCAGAATCCTAGAATGGGGCCTGGAATCTATATTTTAATTAAGCACCAGATGAGTTCTTGGGGGAGAGGAAGTTTTTTGGAAGCTGGCACTTTTCAGTCAAAGTGCTGAGAAGGAGAAGCTCTCTACCAAGGGACTAAGAAAGCTGGAGAATGTATTAGTATTGAATGCACTGTTCCAGAGGGCTCAGTGGAAATTGGTGAGAGGGTAAGGAACAATGTAAGTGGAGATGAAAGTGGAAGCTGACCTCTATGAAAATGGAAGTTTAGGTGGGTGTGGGACCAGATGGACTTGAGTTTTTTATGGTGACTGAGGAGAATCAAGATAAGAAGCAGGGATGGAGTCACCTTGTCTTTGGCAAAGAGAAACTTGGTGTGCAGTTGTTTGGTGTCAGAGGCAGTGCATAATCAACCTAGTCTACTGTAAACCTTTTATTCTTCACAATTTAAATAATTAAATGGCAAGGAACCTATTTATTAAAATGTATTACAAATTGGAGATAAAGTGAGTATATATTATCTAAATCCAAGCCTTTTGTCTTCTCCCTATTATACTCCTCTTAATTTGTTCTAGAAAGCTTACTTTCTAGTTGCTTTGGCATGAGTTGGAAAACTACCCTGTGCTTTCTAAACCAGTGCATCTGAAACATTTATGTTTGGATATGTAAGGCACTTGATATTGCTTCACTGGGCAAGTTACTTTTATATTCCCAGAAAGCACAGAATGTAAAGACAAGCCTTTCACTACCGCTTTAAGAGCTGGAGGAAAAAAAGACATGACAGTAAATCTGCTTCGAGTTCCCCGATACTAACATAATTAACCAGGTATGGCTACATATTTTATTTCTACTATATTTGAATATTTGCGATAACATTTCCTATTTCTAGAATATACTTTAATGGGAAATAACCTCAGTTAATTAAGTTACAGGGCATTTGTGGGAGGAATAATATGCATCATAATATACCTTTTCAAAGAGATACATTGAGCTTTAGAGAAACTAGAAGGTTTTCAACAACAATGCCAATATAAACAAGACATTGTGCTGCTAGAAACAAAGGCAACTGTAATCTTTTCTACTACCATAAAATGAATATATACGATGCTGTTTTAAGGCTTTTGGGTTCAAAATACCTTCTACAGATGTTAAGGAATAAAAGGGCTTTATTCTTAAGATTTGCATGCTATATTCTTTAAACATTGATTTATTTTTAAGATCTCTGACATTCAACAAGTACAAACCTCCTAAAGTGACTTCCTAAAGAGTGATACCTGGGCCCCTGCAATGAAAGCAACACATCAACTTTAGCTTTCACATACGTTTACAAAATGACTAGATGAAATTACATCCTACTAGGATGCCACTGTTCTCCTGGTTTGTGAGCATGTTCAGGGCAGACATCACAACTCCAGAGCCTAGCACAGAGTATTGGGACAAAATAAGTATCTATTGAATGGGTGACTTAACTGAATGAATAAATTAATAAATCACTGATTATCTTTCACTTGTCTCTTTCCATCTTGCTATTCCCCTCCTCAGGGCAAACTGAAGCAAACGCTTATAATCCATTCATATCTTGAATTTTATTGTGAACTCCTAAAGGTGCAAACTTTGGCAAAATGGAAGCACTAAGAGAAAGACATTGGTTTTCTTGTTAAATTGTTTTCCCAGTGATTCTTATTCAAAAGATTTAAAAAGCTCCCTAGCCATTAGAGGCAATACTTAAACTAAATAAATATTTTGCGGGTGTCTTTAAAAAAAGTCGAGTTGGCCGGGCGCAGTGGCTCATGCCTGTAATCCCAGAACTTTGGGAGGCCGAGGCAGGTGGATCATCTGAGGTCAGGAGTTCGAGACCAGCCTGGCCAACATGGCGAAACCCCGTCTCTACTCAAAATACAAAAATTAGCCGGGCGTGGTGGCACGCACCTGTAATGCCAGCTACTCAGGAAGCTAAAGCAGGAGAATGGCTTGAACCTGGCTTGAACCTGGAGGTTGTGGTGAGCCGAGATGGTGCCAATGCACTCCAGCCTGGGTGATAGAGCAAGACTCCATCTAAAAAAAAAAAAAAAAAAAAAAAAAAAAAGTCGAGTTTCTTAAAGAAGTATTGTAATCTTAAAACAGTGACCGTATTGACTATAAAGTAAAACAGTTTCAAACACATAGCAGCCAAGAAGATCTTTTTTTATTTTAAAAAACAATCGAATCAGATCATATGGGTTTTCTTTTAAAAACCCTTTAACAACTTCTCATTGCTCTTAGGATAAGATCCAAAATGTCTAATATGAACTACAAGCTAATTCGTTGATTAGTTGAAGAAATATTGATTGAGTGCCTTTTAGGTATTTTAGGCTGGGAAAATACTGCTGAGAGGGGGTGGGGCAAAGCCTCAGTTCTCACGGAGCTTACGCTGGCCAGAAGTGGGGGCGGGCCAGCAGAAACACTGATAGACTATAAACATATAAATACAATCAACAAACAAAATGAACAAATAACAAGACAAATTCCTTTCTGATGAGTGCTATAGAGAAAATAAAATAGAATATTTGCTAGAGAAACTAAGCTATTCTTTCAGTTCCCCAGTTTCCCTTCTCTCATCCCATGGAATTTGTACAAGTTATTCCCTCTCCCAGGGTTCATCTCTCATCTTCCTCTCATCCGGAACCATCATTCCGTCTTCAGATCTCAGCTAAAAAAATGGCAGCTTCTTCTGGTTAAATGTTCCTTTTACATACTTGCCATTGTACCCTTATGTCTCCTTTGTAATGTTCATTACATTTAAAAGTATCTTTTCAATGTCTTTCTTGCCATAGGGAAGGGTCTTCTAGTGTATGGTGTACTGATGGTGGTATGTCCCCAGCGACCAGAAGGTAGCAGATTATCAATACATTTTGTTAAAATGAACAGAAGGAAGATTGGGAAGATCTTTTCTTTTTTTCCTGTTAAGGGACACTTGACCAAGAATGGGTAAAAATCATTTGAAGGTCACACATACATAAAAAGAATATGGGGTTAGGTGCTGTGGCTCACACCTGTAATCCCAACAATTTGGGAGGTCGAGGCGGGCCGATCACCTGAGGTCAGGAATTGGAGACCAGCCTGGCCAACATGGCGAAACCCCGCATCTACTAAAAACACAAAAATTATCCAGGAGTGGTGGGTGCCTGTAATCCCAGCTACTCAGGAGGCTGAGGCAGGAGAATCGCTTGAACCTGGGAAGCACAGTTGCAGTTAGCTCAGATTGCACCATTGCACCTCAGCCTGGGCGACAGAGCGAGACTCCGTCTCAAAACAAACAAACAAACCAACCAAACAACATGGGAGGGAAATGCAATTAGGCTAAATAGAAACCAAACAAGTGTTTAGTAGTTGCTTTGGTAGGTTCTAGAGTGGCACTGAATGCTACCATGAGATAAATTGTTTTGAGAAGTACTTTCCTTGATATTGTAAGTAAAGTAGCTCCATGCTTATAAAAGAACACGAATGAATATGTGGAAAAGGAAAAGAAAGAAAGTATATTTGAAGCATGGAAAGAATAAGTGGTAAGGGAGATATGTAGTCTTCAAATTCAGGCAGATTTTTCTTTCAAAATAAAAAAGGTTCTACCCCTTTCCAATACCAAGTAATAATGCACATTGTAAAATGTTGAAGACAATACTGAAAGGGGTAAAGAACATAAAAATGGTCCCTGAGCGGTGGCTTATGCCTGTAATCCCAGCACTTTGGGAGGCCGAAGCAGGTGGATCACCTGAGGTCAGGAGTTCAAGACCAGCCTGGCCAACATGGTGAAACCCCCATCTCTACTAAAAATACAAAAATTAGTCGGGCATGGTGGCGGGCGCCTGTAATCCCAGCTACTCAGGAGGCTGAGGCATGAGAATCGCTTGAACCCGGGAGGCAGAGGTTGCAGTGAGTCGAGATCATGCCACTGCCCTCCAGCCTGGGTGACAGAGTGAGACTCCATCTCAAAAAAAAAAAAAAAAAGAACATAAAAGTGACTAAAAATGTATGCTCATCTAGGCTTTTTTCTAGGCATATTTATACATATCTTTTAAATAAAAATGGAGTCACACAAGCTGTATTGTAAATCGCTTTTTTCATTAAAAACGTAACCTGAGGCCGGACACGGTGGCTCATGCCTGGAATCCCAGCACTTTGGGAGGCAGAGGTGGGTGGATCACTCGAGGTCAAAAGCTGGAGACCAGCCAGGCCAACATGGTGAAACCTCGTCTCTACTCAAAATACAAAAATTAGCTGGGCGTGGTGGCACGAGCCTGTAGTCCCAGCTACTCAGGAGGCTGAGGCAGGAGAATCGCTTGAAACCAGGAGGTGGAGGTTGCAGTTAGCCGAGATTGTGCCACTGCACTCCAGCCTGGGTGACAGAGTGAGACTCCGTCTCAAAAAAAAAAAAAAAAAAAGTAACCTGAACGTATTTCCAGCTCTAGGTACTTATTTTTAATGCTACATGGTAGTCTATTATGTGGTTATACTATAACTAATTGTTGTTGGATGGTTATTTTTTCTGATTTGTCAATATTTCGATGTTATAAACCACACTGTAATTAGCATCTTTGCACATTCATTACATACATATTTGCAAATTTGTCCACTTCTTTCCTTAAAATAAATTTCTGTACCTGGACATGTTTGTCAAATACTATGAATATGAGTCTTTTGAAACACATTACCAAATTGCCTTAAGAAAACTGGGAGTGGTGGCTCATGCCTGTAATCCCAGCACTTTGGGAGGCTGAGGTGGGCGGATCACAAGGTCAAGAGA
The DNA here is from genome assembly GCF_000001405.40 of Homo sapiens. Lineage (NCBI taxonomy): Eukaryota > Metazoa > Chordata > Mammalia > Primates > Hominidae > Homo > Homo sapiens. The sequence goes on along the minus strand of NC_000023.11, from coordinate 74,618,504 downwards.
TCGAGACCATCCTATCCAACATGGCGAAAATCCGTCTCTAATAAAACTACAAAAATTAGCTGGGTGTGGTGGCGCACGCCTGTAATCCCAGCTACTCGGGGGGCTGAGGCAGGAGAATTGCTTGCACCCAGGAGGTGGAGGTTGCGGTGAGCCGACATTGCGCCACTGCACTCCAGCCTGGTGACAGAGTGAGACTCTGTCTCAAAAAAAAAAAAAAAAAGAAAACTGATATCAATTTGTCCCACTGGCAATACAAATGTGCCCATTTCATAGGATCTTCATCAACAATTAATATTATCGATTTTTTATCCTTGACATTCTAACAGGCAAAAAAAGGAACTTTTTAAAAAATTTTTTAGTTCATAAAATTTTTCTGTTTTGTTTTTTTGAGACAGAGTTTCACTCTTGTTGCCCAGGCTGGAGTGCAATGTCGCAATCTCGGCTCACTGCAACCTCTGCCTCCCGGTTCAAGCGATTCTCCTGCCTCAGCCTCCCGAGTAGCTGGGATTATAGGTGCCCACCACCACGCCCAACTAATTTTTTTTCTGAAGTTTTAGTAGATACGGGGTTTCACCATGTTGGCCAGGCTGGTCTCAAACTCCTGACCTCAGGCAATCCACCCGCCTCAGCCTCCCAAAGTGCTGGGATTACAGGCGTGAGCCACCGAACCCAGCTATTGTTTTTTAATTATTATGGATACATAATAGTTGTACCTCATTGTTTTTATTTTTGATTAATTACTAGTGAGGCTGAATATATTTTCAAGTACAAGGTTATTTACTAACAAGAAAAAAAGAATATATTGTCATATGCTTATCAGCCACGTGTTTTATCCTTTTATGAATTATCCATTCATGTTCCTTGCACATTTTGAAATGGAGGTATTTATCTCTTTTTTTTTTTTTTTTTTTTTTGAGATGCAGTCTTGCTGTTACCCAGGCTGGAGTGCAGTGGCATGATCTCGGCTCACTCCAACCTCTGCCTCCCGGGTTCAATCAATTCCTTTTCCTCAGCCTCCCAAGTAGCTGGGACTACAGGAGTGAGTACGCCACCACGCCCAGCTAATTTTTGTATTTTTTTTAGTAGAGACGGGGTTTCACCATATTGGCCAGGCTGGTCTTGATCTCCTGACCTTGTGATCCGCCTGCCTTGGCCTCCCAAAGTGCTGGGATTACAGGTGTGAGCCCCTGCGCCCGGCCGGTATTTATCTTTTTAAAAATCAATGTTTAACAACTCTTTATAGGCTGATATTAGCCATATGTGTTTATCACATATGTAACATTTTTGCTAGTGTTTCGTCTTTTTATTAAGTAAAGATATTACCCCTTGGCTCTAATATGTCATTATGAAATGATTTTTTTCAATTTATCATTTGTCTTTTAACTTTACCAACCTTGTATTTTGACATTTAGAAGGTTTACTTTTATTTATGAAGTTGTACTTATTAGTCTTTCCCATTATGGATTTTGTGTTGTATTTCAAAAGTGCTTCTGCATCCCCAAGGCTATAGAAATATTAACCTAGGCCTGGACAGTGGCTCACGCCTGTAATCCCAACACTTTGGGAGGCCCAGGCAGGCGGATCATGAAGTCAGGAGTTGGAGACCAGGCTGCCCAACATGGTGAAACCTCATCTCTACTAAAAATACAAAAATTAGCCAGGCGTGGTGGTGCATGCCTGCAATCCCAGCTACTGGGGAGGCTGAGGTAGGAGAATCGCTTGAACCCAGGAGACGGAGGTTGCAGTGAGCTGAGATCATGCCACTGGACTCCAGCCTGGGCAACAAAGCAAGACTCCATCAAAAAAAAAAAAGAAAGAAAGAAGGAAGGAAGGAAGGAAGGAAGGAAGGAAGGAAGGAAGGAAGGAAGGAAGAAAGGACAGAAATAGTAACCTGTATTTTCTTCCACTTCTTTTATGATTTTATATTTTAGATTAAGCCACATAAGCCTCAAGAATACGTTAAGGAGTGGCTAATGTTATTGCCATAATCAGAATATCAGGCTTAATGGCAATTGCAGGCTACTGAAGAATTCCTTTTACACGTTCTAGGTAATCGTTCTAGTACATGATTATGTAAAATAAGACAAAAACCTGAGTAGAGACACAGCGCCTAAATCATGTATCCCTCTGCCAAAAATGACAATATCAATGAGTCTTCTAGGGAGTTGGGCAGGTAAGTATGAGGGATATTGTTTTAACTGCTTGGAGTGAAATACTTATATTCCAGGCTGATATAACATCCATCATGGTGAGGGGGTAATTCTCCCAAAGTATTTTGAGGGCTTACTATGTGGTCGCTGGGGACACAACAGTGAACAAAACAGAGAGGTTTACTGCTCAGAAAGGGTGAAGTAAACAAACAAATAAATAACTTACTTTCAGATTAAGTGTTTTACAAGAAAAGTAAGCAGGTAAGGAGATGGGAGAAGTCGTTATTACTTTTTTCTTTTTTTTTTTTTCCTCAGACCTTTTTCCGCCTTCAGGAAGAAGTTATTTTAGGTAGGGTGGTCAGGGAAGGCTTCTCTAGGAAGTTAATAATTGCGAGGCTTGGATGATGAAAGCAAAGATATGAAAGTAAAATATTCCAGCAAAGGTAAAGTAGTTGAAGTAGGAAGAAGTTAGCTTTGTTGGAAAAACCGTAACAAAGCCAGCATAGCTGGCATGCTATTGGAAAACAGAAAAATTGGGAAAAGGAAAAGAATCTAAAAACTTGGGTAAGGTTTTCCTTTAACTGTGACAATGGGAGTGGCATGCTGTGTGGCGAGTTCCCTCAATTCTTTCAGGCATTACTACCTAAGAAAGGCCTTCTTTAACTGCCCTTTTACAAATCCCAACGTTATCAGATTTTCCCACCCTTTTACAATCACCGCCCTTTTTCGAATACTTTAGAGTTAATGCCTCAAAGTTATCAGTCTTTTAAACATCACGAATCCGTTTGTCCCTACAAGGAACTCTTCTGTCCCCCTTCCTTGATTTTTCTCCTTGGCATTTATCACTAACATGATATGTATTTATGTTTGATTTTTTCTAAATTATTGTCCCTGGCCCCTATAAAGACTCAAGAGAACTGGGATTTTGATCTGTTTTCTTTTTTTTTTTTTTTTTTTTTTTGAGACACAGCCTTGCTCTGTCACCCAGGCTAGAGTGCAGTGGCGAGATCCCGGCTCACTGCAATCTTCGCCTCCTGGGTTCAGCTATTCTCCTGCCTCAGCCTCCCGATTAGCAGAGATTACAGGCGCCCGCCACCACGCCCGGCTAATTTTCGTATTTTTAGTAGAGACTGGGTTTCACCATGTTGGCCAGGCTGGTCTCGAACTCCTGACCTCAGGTGATCCGCCCGCTTCGGCTTCCCAAAGTGCTGGGATTACAGGCGTGAGCCACCGAACGTGGCCTGTTTTCTTTCTTAATTTTGGTCTATTTTAATTTCCTAAGCAGCTACAATGGTGCTTGACATGCAGTTGGCACTGTGTAAATACATGTTGAATAAAACGCAGGCTACTTTTTGAACTGGTCTGCACGGATTGTGTGAACTGATGTGATGTCAGGGTAGACTAATATCACATTTCTCTCTCTCTGAAAATGTCTTCAAGCAGTCAGACCGTGACGTCCTTCAGTTTTCAAAATGGGAAAGCGAAGGTTCCCACAATTCTCAGAACGCAAATTTCTCGCCACAATTCAAAATGGCGGAGGAGGGTGGGGCCTGTCACATGGTGGGCGTCATAACAGCTTTCCTTTTCCAAACCGCCGCCCGCCTTGCCGCGTCGTCTGCCGTCCCCCTCCTCCTCCCGCGGAGCCTTTTCGAGGAATCGACTGGGATTGGCTAATAGGCTGGGAGTGGGGCTGCGGTGCCGGGACGCGGCATCATCACTTCCTGTTGTGGGCAGTCGTTTCCTGTCGCTGCTTGGTAACAATGGGGAAGATAATGGCTGCCTGAGCAACGTCTCCGAGCAGGCGCTGGGCTAGAGGCGGGTCTCAACCAGCTACTCATTGGAGGCGGGCTTGAGAGCGGCGGCCAGGGAGGTGCGGAGCAGCCTCGGCGGCGGCGGCCGAACCAACCGAGTCGGATCCTGACCCTAAAACCTAGTAAGTGAAGACTTGGGAATCCTGTGAGAAATGATGTAGAGCGAGAGGAAGACAGCGGAGCCGCGGCTGCCGCGTTCTCTCAAAATGGCCCGAGTGACGCGTCGTGGCAGAGGCTCAGCGCCGCCTCCGGACCCCAGGCCCGTTGCTGCGGGGGGCTCCGTGGCGTAGTCGCCGCTGCCATTTTAGTTGAGTGGTATAGTCGACAGGCTCTTTGAAGGGGAAGGAGGTGGGTAGTACTTCCTCTCGGTGGCCGCGCGAGCTGCAGCCCAGGCCCTCCGGAGCCTTAGGAAATCGGGGGAGGCAGTTTTTGAGTTTTGGCCTCAGGCGTCAGAATCTTAGAACGTCTCAGGCTTTTTCTTCTCTGTTCTCTGGAGGCTTCCCTGACCTCCCCGCGTTTTCCATGGCGGGCTTGGGTTTGGGAAAAGGGAAGTAAAAAATCAGGCTGCCCCAAGTGAGATGCTGGCAACTCTTGGGCCTTTAGATTTCCAAAACCTCATTTTGAGCCCTTCTGCAGGGTATTACCAATTAGGCGCCCCCTGGGGCCGCGATGACATCTTCCCTGAGGATCTGAGGCAAATGTGGTTTACTCCCTTGCTCGAATAACCCTGGCATATCCTTTGCCAGGTATCACTGGAAGGATCCCCCCGCAAAAGAGAGGGAAAAGCCGTTAGGTGTTTGTTGTGTTCTCCTGGATAAGGGATGGAATTGGGCCAAATTTTCAAGTTAATTTGTGTTTAATCCACCAACAACTCAATCCCTCCCCCATTAAAAAAAAAAAAAAAAGCCTAGGGGGGTCTCTGCTTCTGCAGACGGTACCTGCCACGCATGCCATAGCTTAGTAACTAGTATTAACCGGTTGGGCTTCTGCTTCCTGAATACTCGGTCCCTTTTTCCCTTATGCTGATTAATTTCAAGATGGAGGAGACAGCCACGTTCCTTCCCTAGACAGTTTCACCATACTTATTCCACAGGTTAGTCTGGGAATCTGAGGCCTAGCAGTCTTGTTATTGAGGTCATTTTTTTTTTCATTTTGGGGCAAGAGGAAGCAGTTGTATCAGATTGTCATCTTCCATTTGCAAGACCCCACAATGATTTTTTGCCAGAAGTAAGGAGCCCGCATTTCCTGAATCAGAATTAACCGCAGTGTTTTGGACTGATTGAAAGGGGGAAGAAATAATAAACCTACTGCTACTAATCATTTCTTTCATTCTTCGTGATTATAGACAGAGTAACTACTTATCACCCCATTAAGTACATTGTATCTTCCCTGGAGGACTGGCACAATTATAACCCCTCCCCCCCCATGACTTTTCTAAACTGTAGAAATATAGCTTAGGTAGCTAGAAAGACCAATCCACTTTTTAAAACTTGATTTTAGGACACACTCCACTTACTGAAAAATGTTACAAAGATTTTTTTAGTCCATGATGTTCTGATGAATTTTAATACTTTAGTTCCTACCTTAGGCTAGTGTAATGTGCCAGATAAGTCCTTGAAAGTGACTATCAGAATCTGAAAATAATTACTGGTCTGATAAGGAAAGGCTTATTTTAAGCAAGCTTATAATAAAACGTAAATTGTCTCTCAGTCTTAGAAGACATCTTTTATCTAACTCCTGGTCCCCTCTGACCTTCTTGCTCTCCCCAAATGCCCTAATACTAATATTGAATTAGGTTGGGTTATGGTGTGTCTGTATTTTTTTTTTTAGGTTGTGTCTAATTCAAAGAAAATGTGTATCTTTTTAAAGAGGAAGAATAATGGATTCTTTTTTTTTCTAGAGCAGAGTGAAGAAAACTAAAATCCAGTTTATTGTATTTCAATACTATGTCATAACAGTCAGGTAATTTATTTTTTGTTGCGTCTCCTGATGATTTATGTGTAGAATGCATGTTTACAAATATTTATTGTTCTATTTTGCAGGCCCTGTAATTGGATGGGCTCATTGATAGATGTTAGATGGTGTTGGGTATTCTTCATGATAAGAATGGGTACTTTTCACTGGGAATTAAAAGGGTAATGTTTCTGGATACCTGGAACTCACCAGTGCTTTATCTGTGAATTTGACTCTTTAAAATAATGTCTGAAGTTTACCAATACCTGTATAGAACAACAACAACAAAAAATTTGTTGTCTTATATCATTGTTGGAATGGCATGAGTATAAGTAAAATAACATTTAAATGTTCATTGGATAACTAAATGAAATATCAGAATAGCTTACGAGAGTATAATTTTACGTTACTTTGTGTGTGGTGGTTGATTTTTTTCCTTTAAGATTCAAAAATTCATAATTGATACATGATACTTTTAATTGATATTGACTCCTTTCATTATTATTATCATCATCATTAGGGTAACCACATAATTTATTGCCTAACCAAGACACTTTTAAGAACAAAAGGAACATTAATAATTCCTGGACAGCAGGTGCAAACCTTGATTGTCCCCGACAAACTGGGATGGATACTTAGCCTAAATTCATAACCAACTTCTGCTGAAGGCCTGTGGTGCTAGGCCATGTGCTTTATATGCATTATTTTATAATTCTCACAACAGAGCCTCATGAGAATGTTAACTTTTATAGAGGAAACCAAAAACCCAAAGAGGTTAAGTATAATTTGTCCTCAGTTAAATAGCTTTAAGTGGTGGAGCCCTCATTTTATCCCAGGCCTGTCTGACGTTATACTTCTGGGTTTGATTGCTGTCTAATTAGATAGGAAATGCAATGAAAATGAAAGGTTGTAGTAAAAAGTCTGTAGGTTATGTTGCATCAGAAACTTTTGTTAATACTTAAAGGTTATCCAGCAATCCCCCCTTTTCGTCTGTTACGTTCCTGTTTCAGCTATTATGCATGTTTACACATATTTATTGTTCTATTTCACAGGCCCTGTAATTGGATGGGCTCATTGATAGATGTTAAATGGATAGCTCCTTGTATATCATTTGATAAACTTAATTTAAAATCAGAAATGATTTTAAGAAATAGCTTAATAATTAAATGATCTGGAAATACTAGGCTGGTTGGATATCTTTGAGGTTAGTGAACATGTAGTGAGCCTTAATATAGTAGTAGGTCAAATGAGGCATCTGCATTTATGGAATTATATTATATGTACATTAATTTTTCCATGGCCATGGTGGATTAGAAATAGAGCAAATCACCAGCCAGCCTCCTGTTCTCTTCATTTACCATAGAGTGGATGACAAATTAGAGAATAAAAAGTCTTCTGTCAAACCCAAACCAATGAGGGCCTAGAATTTTGTGCCACTGCCTAGAACTGGACAGGTTTTTCTTTAACACAAAGATTTCTAAAACCTATGGCCCATTGATTTCAGAAAGTATCTAGTTTACATAATAAATTGAAGTTCTGATGTCCAATATAAGAAAGTAATAACACTTCTGTATCTATTTTTCTTTCATTTTTTTTTCTCAGCCTCAAACATGAAAGTTTCCCAGATAATCCAGCAATTCATTTCTCTTTTTATCAATTGAGGTATTTTTATTTATTTATTTTTTATTTTTTTATTTTTTTGAGACGGAGTCTCACTCTGTCGCCCAGGCTGGAATGCAGTGGTGCACTCTCGGCTCACTGCAACCTCCACCTCCTGGTTTCAAGCAATTCTCTTACCTCAGCCTCCCAAGTAGCTGGGAGTACAGGCGCTCTCCACCACGCCTGGCTAATTTTTGTATTTTTAGTAAAGATGGGGTTTCACCATATTGGCCAGGCTGGTCTCGAACTCCTGACCTTGTGATCTGCCCACCTTGGCCTCCCAAAGTGCTGGGATTACAGACGTGAGCCACCGCGACTGGCCAATTGAGGTATTTTTTAAATATACCTCAATTGGGGGAATATATTTATGAACTTGTGGTTTTTCTCCTGACATATATAGTTGGTATTTTTGCTCTAGATTTTCTTATATTTTAATGTTCCAACACAAGGGTTTTTTTTTTTTGGTTTTTTTTGTTTGTTTGTTTGTTTGTTTGTTTGTTTTTTGGTTAGGAGGGCAGGACGAGTTTTGCTCTGTCGCCCAGGCTGGAGTGCGGTGGCACGATCTTGGCTCACTGCAACCTCCGCCTCCTGGGTTCAAGCGGTTCTCCTGCCTCAGCCTCCCGAGTAGCTGGGATTACAGGCACGTGCCACCACGCCTGGCTAACTTTTGTATTTTTACTAGAGATGGAGTTTCACCATGTTGGCCAAGCTGGTCTTGAACCCCTGACCTCAGGTGATCCGCCCGCCTTGGCCTCCCAAAGTACAGGGATTACAGGCCTGAGCCACCGCGCCTGGCCACCAATCCAAGAGTTTAATTTCATTAGTCACAGTAGCACCTACATATCTGTGAGACAAATAATCTGTAGGCAGAGAGCACTTGGTGCATTACATAGATTGGTGGATTTCTTGCAATAATTTTGCAACTACAGGTTGGTTTGCTTTTATAACATTTGAGAGTCTAATGGCGTTTCCATGATGATGAACATGTTACTTCCTGGGAGAAAGGAAGTATTTGTGTTTGATGTTTAAAATTTTTTTCTGGAATGACAAAAGGTCCCTTCTGATCTCCCCTTGACTATAGGAGGAAAAGTGTTAACTACAACTTTTGTTTTTTATTGACCAATGATCCCTTTAGTGCTGATTATAACTAAGGAGACCATATGAATTATCTAAACTGGGACACTTTTGAGAGTGAAAGGGAGAGCCATATTACTGATTACTTCAGTACAAGTGTAAACCCTTACTCTTCTGGACAAACCAAAGATATATTGTCACCCTCTTCATGTTATTTTTATGTAGGTATACTAGTTCAGGAAGGACAATTGTCAGCATGGTTGGTCTTAAATACAAAATTACTTCCTCAAATAACTGATTGGTATAGATAATACTTTCTTTTTTAGTTAAGTGATTTTAATTTTTTTTTTTTTTTTTTTTTTTTTTTTTTGAAACGGAGTCTCGCTCTGTCGCCCAGGCTGGAGTGCAGTGGCGCGATCTCGGCTCACTGCAAGCTCTGCCTCCCGGGTTCACGCCATTCTCCTGCTTCAGCCTCCCGAGTAGCTGGGACTACAGGCGCCCACCACTACGCCTGGCTAATTTTTTTCTATTTTTAGTAGAGACGGGGTTTCACTGTGTTAGCCAGGATGGTCTTGATCTCTTGACCTTGTGATCTGCCCGTCTCGGCCTCCCAAAGTGCTGGGATTACAGGCGTGAGCCACCGCACCCGGCTAAGTGATTTTAATTTTAAAAATTGGCTTCAATCTTTAAAAACCTGATTTTTGATGGAAAAATCTTAGGTCCTTAAAATAGTGCCTTAGTTACTGATGAACACCAACATTGTCAGTTATCAGTGATTTTTACCTTAGTAACTTAAACACATGCACTCCTTGGGTTTTTGAGTCATTTTCTTTTTGACTTCTTAGGAATAATGAGAGAAGCAAGTCAAAACGAGTTTATGGATAAGACCAAATTATAATTTAGTGGCATAGCTTGATAATAAAAGAACATAAAACGGGTAATTGAAGATTAAATTCACTGTCTAGATTAAAGTATTTGACTGAGATGAAATGTCATAATGGTTTCCTTTTTTAACTAACTTGATCCTGTAGATCAACCGCATTTGGCATGGTCTTCAGTCCTTTGATTTACTGAAGTTCTTAACACTCTTTCAGTTTTAACTGTTTTAGAGCGTTTTAGTAAAAGTTGTTTGAGCTGCAAGTCGGTGCGTACATGAGGAACATTCCTGAGTCCTTTTAGTTTTTCTCTGCTGTCCTTTTCAACTGGTAAAGATAGAAGAATGTAAGTGGAGGCTAAGCTAACTGCCATTCAGATATTTTATAATCTCTTATTGTTATGGTAGCATGAGCAGTGGGGGATACCTTGGTAGCATTTTCTGATAGGCCACTCTTGGAAATTATCAACAAATTTTTTAGTTGGTGAGAGGTATCATGCAATAAGGAAAGTCAGTGAGACATTAACCCTGCCTGTTCTTTTTTTTTTTTTTTTTTAGGAATGCTTTATATTTCTTTTCAAAAAGATAACTGCGTGAGTGGAGATAGAAGTACATTGAGTGAAATGGTAGTGAGAAAAGCAGAGCTTATAAGCTTATGTCCTAGTTATTTGTGCTGTTTCCTAAACTTAATATTTCTTAATATCGTAATGTGGTGTAGGTTATATCTTATTTACAGTTACAGATTCATAGAACTGGAAAGTACCTTGCAGATGGTTTAATCCAATACTCTAATATTGATGGAGACTTCTCTGGCACAAGAGGTTAAATGAATTGGCCAAATCCACATAACCAAGTTACAACCAAGACTGGATTTCAGTATCTCTTTTTTCCTTTCACAGAGCTGAGTTTCACCCTGCTACCCATGTGTAGAATAAAAAAAGATACCTGGTTGTTAGCAAATATTTTTCTGTTACAAATACCATAACATTTTAATTAAACATTCTATATATGAAGAATCCCCAACACTTTTGGTGCCTACATACGTAATGATATGATGGTACTTTTTGTTTTCTGGCCTTAAATTCAGCAGTTCTTTGTGATTTAACTTTTAAAAAACTGAATAAAGTATTTTTCATTTTGGTGATGGTATTTAACATTTTCTTCATTGACACAGATCACATGTCACTAGTTCTTAAAGGACTCCTTTATGAAGTTCTTTTTTGTTTTTTTTGTGTGTGTGTGTTTTTGGTGTGTGGTTTTTTGTTTGTTTGTTTTGAGACGGAGTCTCGCTCTGTCACCCAGGCTGGAGTGCAATGGCACGATCTCTGCTCACTGCAACCTCCACCTCCCAGGTTCAAGCAATTCTCCCACCTCAGCCTCCTGAGTAGCTGGGATTACAGGCACCTGCCATCATGCCTGGCAAATTTTTGTATTTTTGTAGAGACAGGGTTTCACCATGTTGGCCAGACTGCTCTTGAACTCCTGACCTCAGGTGATCCGCCCGCGTCGGCCTCCCGAAGTGTTGGGATTACAGGCATGAGCCACTGTACTCAGCCTCCTTTATGAGATTCTTGATGAAGCTCTGTTGCAAACAAAATGGATTGCCCTTCTCTTGTCAGTGTGACACATTTTTGTGTTCATACCCATAATTTTTTAAAAATTGGCATGTCCTGCTTTAGAACTTTATTATAGAATTTGGAGCTTGAATGAACACATATGCACAAGGTGAAATATTCAACATGATTTAGTAGTTAGTTGATGTTACGTTACCTTAATTCCTCCCTCCCACCCACCCCACTTTTTTTAAAAAACGAGGTAATTTCTTCCATATGACTTTTTAAATTTTGATATGGAGTCTCTGTCACCCAGACTAGACTGCTGTGACGTGATCTGAGTTCACTGCAACCTCTGCCCCCAAACTCAAGTGATCCTCCCACCTCAGCCACATCAGCTCCCAAGTAGCTAGGACCACAGATGCGCGTTACCATGCCCAGCTAAGTTTTTGTGTCTTTGGTAGAAACGGTTTCACCATGTTGCCCAGGCTGGTTTTGAACTCCCGGGCTCAAGCGATCCGCCGACCTCGACCTCCCAAAGTGCTAGGATTACAGATGTCGGCCACCACACTCGGCCAGCACCATGCCCAGCCAAGATGACTCACTTTTTAAAATTGGTTTTTACACAGGCATTTCACTTGGTGTTTCAGAATTTAGTTTTGTAAGGTCTGTTTTATTAACAGTATTTTTGGATGCCTTAAGTCTCCTTAATTGGGTACTATAATGTAGTGTGTCCATCAAATATAACATGCCTGTGTTTATACTTAGCACCAGGTCTCCTGACCTGTTAGTACTGAACAATATGTTTTAAATAACTTTTTGCCTTAACATTATAACAATTAAATTTTTTAAAAGTTTGGTGTGCATGGATTAGAAGAATTAAATGAGATACTACATTTAGCAGTAATCAGAAACAGTCATTTGCATAATTTATATTAATATATAATAATGACTAGAAGAAGTTGAGATTATTAACAATACTTTAAAATTCTCAAAGTGAATAAAATCTGTTTTAAATAAATCTCAGGGTTGGTGTTCTTGCTGGCCTTTCCTCCCCAGAATTAAACTTACTGGATACAGTCCCATTCATTGACCAGATGAGTAGCTCTTTGAAACGATTGGGCAAAATTTCTCATTTGGTTTCTTGTTTCCAGGAATGGATTTGGATATATTGGCACACAGTACTCTAAAAGAAATAAGGTTAATAAAATATGCTGTTTATCTAAGGAGCAACTGTATTTTTAAAAATTACTAAAAGTTGACTTATTTAAAAATAAGTCCATCTAGGTTTGTGCTGCTTACAAAAGGTGTTTTGTCATTTTGGAATTTTTCATACAGGGAGTGAACATGGTATAAAAAGCTCATAGATTGAATAGTTTAGTCATACCTATTGGGATTGAAGGAAGGAATGTGTTTTAAAGTATAGAGTCTTGGGATATGTTGGGAGGCAGTTGTCTTAGTGAAAAGTTGACTGGATTTGGAATGCAGAGACCTGGATTTAATTACTGGCCCTTTCCCACTTACTAGTCACATGGTTTTTGGTAAATCACTTTCTTTCTCTGTGCTTCTGTTTGTCACCTGTAGAGGTGGTGATTCCTAATTCATGGGATTATTGTGAAGATTAAATGAAATACAGGTGTAAGGGCTATGTAAATACAGGGTGATGAGTATTGCTTATAGCCAGAGAGAGACCTAAGTGACTTCAAAACAGTTATATTTCATTGTTTAAATTACTGTATGTTTCACGGGTAATCTTTTCATAGAAAAACAGCTGATGCTAATCATATGCTGAAGTCAGAATTTCTGACTTATCTGAGATAACTAAAGAAATGGATTTATGACCTTCTCTTTTACGATGATGTTGAAAGATCCCAGCGGTGTATAAGGATTCTCTTTTTCCTCTTGCTACTTAAGCTAGAAATGTACCACAATGTTACTCACTGCAAAGTAGAATCTGGAGACCTGTTTTGTTAATGTTATTCTTCACTAATATTTTCACACCCAAAATGGAGATAGAGCTGTATTTGATCATTTGGAGTATGGTTTTCTGGTATTTTTGGCATGCCTAAACTTTAAAATGTTTGTTTGCACTTAGTAAACAATAGTGGCAGATTATATCTACCTGGGGCAGAACTTGTGGTTTTTAGATTTATTCCATTTCTTTCTTTTATGCCGCTTAGATAGTGAAGGTCTGCTTAAAATAAGACCAGGCTCATTGGGTGTGTGAGAGTAAAATTAGTTTACAAGGCATTTGAGAGCATTGCCTTGATTTCCATTTTCTTTGCAAATGTAATTATGTCTAGTCCAGGGGACCTCTGCAGGTATTGTAGCCATAGCTTACTCTTTGAATTCCCTTATAAGGGAGGGAGTGCCTTGCCAGTGCTGAAATCTCTTGACCCCCAATTCCAGCCCAGGGGAAATGCTAAGTTAAGGCAGAAAGGATGGAGGCTTTGAAATAAGTGTGTTGCAGGAGTATCATGGGGAAAATATTTTCCTTGATTGTCTCTGGCATATATATGGAAGGGTAGCAGGAAAGGAGACAGCAGCATATTATTATTATTGAAGAGGTAGTGATTTGGATTTGTTCACATGTTGCTTTATGAGTGTGTCTCATTAAAATTTTGAATTAAATAAAATTTAGAATTCCCTCTTTCATGGAACGGAATCCAAGCTCATCAAGCAGGAGCTGTTTAGGATTCAAAAATCTCTGAAATCAGTGTCAGGAAAATTTTGAATGGAGGTAAAATGTTTTGTCTCTAGTTTCTATGTAGGAAATGGTAGAAATTCTAAAAGGTCAAGAATGAATCTTGAAGATTCATGAGCATAGGAAAGACTTATCTATCCCATGAGTATTGAACATTGTAGAGTATTGAACCTTATTGTTTTATTTTTGGAAAACATAAAGGGGATGCAAATAGTGGGTTTGTAGAGCATGAAAAATATATTGGGGACATTTGAAACTCTCCCTATTTGGGATTTCTCTATCTTACAAAGAAATACTTTAAAGCTGTGCTGCCCAATATGGTAGCCATTAACCACTATGTGACTGTTAGACACTTGAAATAAGACTAGTGAAACTGAAATTTTAAGTTTTTTTTTTATTTTAAGCTTAAAAAACTGAAGTAGTGTAAAATGTTTTTCCACTAAACACAACTGTATTGTTTTGCTGAACTACATTCCATTTTATCTGTCGAAAATTTAGCATCCAACTTGTGATAGGCTGTAAGTGTAAAACACACACCAGGTTTCAAAAACAGTATTTTTTAATGTAAAACATCTAAATTTTTTTTTATGTTGAAATGATTTTTTTTTTTTTTGAGACAGAGTCTACTCTGTCGCCCAGGCTGGAGTGCAGTGGCTTGATCTCAGCTTACTGCAACCTCCGCCTCCTGGGTTCAAGCAATTCTCCTGCCTCAACCTCCTGACTAGGAGTAGCTGGGACTATGGGTGCCTGCTACCACGTCCGGCTAATTTTTGTATTTTTAGTAGAGACGGGGTTTCACTATGTTGGCCAGTCTGGTCTCAGAACTCCTGACCTTGTGATCCGCCCACCTCGGCCTCCCAAAGTGCTGGGATTACAGGCATGAGCCACCGTGGTCAGTCAGCTGAAATGATTTTTTTTGATTATGTTGAGTCAATAAGATACATTACTAAGATTAATTTCACATGTTTTTACTCTTAGTGCAGCTGCTTGGCATTTTGAAAAATTACATATATGGTTCAAATTGTATCTCTTTTGGACTGTGCTGTTTCAGAGAGATTACTAAGGGAAATGAACTCAGTGTTCACATTGGATTTCTTTCAGTCATTTAAATATCCACAATGTGCAAGGCATTGTGCTAGTGGCATTTGGCAGAAGTTTTAAAGGGACTGTAATTCTGGTTTGTTCCCTAAAAGAAATCTATTTGGGAAGAGAAGACACATACACTTCAAAAATATAAAACATTATGGAAGGCAGGAAGTGCCACTCTAGTAGCATAGACAAGTGCTATATGCAGAGATGGATGGAAAAATTGCTAGCTGAGATAGTAATAGCTCCTTAGGAGGGAAGATCTCGTTGGATCTTTAAGGGTTGGTGAAATAGGGAGAAGCTAAGAGGGGACTGAGGGGAATAGCAGTACATTGTGACGGTGGTAAAGCACAAGGTATGTTGGGGGAGGGGAGTATGGGGTAGAGGTAACCTAAGTGGATTGGTGTTGCCAAGAAAATGTTGTAATTTTGTGTCACTGGAGTATGTAGCTTACTATGACCCTAAGCCCAGAATAGAAGACCAAGAGACTTCACTACCCTTAATAGCATTTTAGTCCAAATGGTCTTTTGGAATCAGTCTCTTCTGGCTCTCACCTAATAAGGAATCCTCTTTTTAATATCCAGCTTCTGCTTGATTATCTCAGGAGACAGGAAGTTTGCTTGCTTCAAGAGACTGGTAGCATCTCTATTTTTTTGACAATTTTGTTAGATTGTTTTACTAAAAGGAAGAATTATTTGCTTCTGCATGTCTTTAACTATTGACCTTAATTTAACCCTATGGTTGTGCTCTCCTTCATGTTATTCCTCTCTAAATATTTGAAGATGGTAATTGTGTCCATTTTTAGTCTTTCTCCAGGCTAACTACCTCCAGGTAATTCATCCATTTCTTTTATGATGCTCCCAGGCTTCTCACTCGTGTTTCACTTACTCTACATGTAGTCTGCTTTTGTTTTTGAGACGGGATCTCCCAGGCTGGAGTGCAGTGATGCAGTCTTGGCTCACAGCAGCCTCTGCCTCCCAGGTTCATGCCATTCTCCTGCCTCAACCTCCCGAGTAGCTGGGACTACAGGCATGCGCCACCACGCCCAGATAATTTTTTTGTATTTTTTTTAGTAGAGACGGGGTTTTGCCATGTTAGTCAGGCTAGTCTCAAACTTCTGACCTCAAATGATCCGCCCAACTCGGCATCCCAAAGTGCTGGGATTACAGGTGTGAGCCACCGTGTCCGGCCTTCTACATGTACTATGAACAGCAGGTTTCAGTGGGGCTGTTACCTGCTTTTATTTGAACACCGTGGTCTATGAAAGCAACTTGTGATTCTCGTAGGTTTCATAGCCAGGTCAAACAGGCTTTTTATTGAGCTTGTGTTAGCCAAAAACTTGAGGTATCTTTCATGTGAATTGCCAAGACAGGTTCTTCCCCGACTGTGTACTTTTACTATGGGTTATTTTAGCTTGATAGCCCTTCATAAAGTGTCCGAGGTAGGATATTTACCATTGTTTTTATTTCAGCCCATCCTAGGAATCCACTGATAATTCAGAATAATATTTATTATATACATCTTCTGTGCTAACTCACAGCTTCGAGTTGTTTATGGATTTGTTTACCATGTCTTGGGTGGATTCATCCAACTGGTTCATTTAAAAATGCTAAAGTTTACAGGGCTGTTTGCAAGTTAACATTGCTTTGTAATCTTTGAGGGTGGTGTTCAACAACTGTGAATCTGTTTAACTGTATTGTCATCAAGCTCCTTACTACTCAGAGTATGATTCTAGGTTCAGCATCAACATCACCTGGAGGCTTAATAAAAATGCAGAATCTCAGGCCCTACCCCAATCTACTGAATCAGAATCTGTATTTTAACAAGATTTCCAGATAATTCCTATTACACTGGTCTATATTTCTTCTTAATAGGAAGAAAAACCTCAGATCCTGTGCAGAAATCAAGTCAGTAAGTCAGCAGTGTTATCCTGATGTCCCTATCAAAGAGGTTCTCAACCCTGACTTTCAAAATAGAATTACCTGTGGAATTTAAAAAATATCCATGTCTGACCAACCCCAGAGAAAGCTCCCCAAGTAATTCTAATGTGCAAGCCAAGGTTTAGAACCATCCCTATGTGAAGCAAATAAGGTTAAATAAGGTTAATCTTTTTGGGGGGGGGTTTGTATTTTTTTAAGTTGACCAGCAGTGAACTCCACTTCTTGTGAACATACTGTCTTCTACATGTTTGCAGTTTATCTGATAATGTATTTGCAGAATTTTCCCCTAGATGTATTGTCACATTTTACTGCTCTGTAGTTTGTAGATCTCACTTTTTTTGAAGATTGGATCATTTAGCATCTCTCCTGTTCTCTATGACATCTCAAAAGATTGTCATTAGAAATTACGCATTCTTGGCTTTTGATTTTCTTTGAAAAGTTGTTTTTTCCACTCTTTCCAGTTAGAAGATGATTCTCATTGTTGAATAAAATAGAAACAAAATGGAAGTTGAGTGACTCTTCCGTCTTCTGTTAATATACCTGATACACCCCCCTCCATACTCAGTACAAGACCCCTTTCTTGCTTCACATTCAGTGTTTTAAATCTTTCCCATATTTTTGTAAGTTTCTGTTCCTTCTGGGCTTTTACCTCCCTGATAACTTTTTTTTTTCCTTTGAGACGGAGTTTCATTCTTGTCACCCAGGCTGGGGTGCAGTGGCACGATCTCGGCTCACTGCAACCCCCATCTCCCAGGTTCAAGTGATTCTCCTGCCTCAGCCTCCCTCCCAAGTAGCTGGGATTACACGCATGGGCCACCACGCCAAGCTCTTTTTTTTTTTTTTTTTTTTTAAGTAGAGATGGGGTTTCACCATGTTGACCAGGCTGGTCTCAAACTCCTGACCTTAGGTGATCCACCTGCCTCCGCCTCCCAGAGTGCTGGGATTACAGGTGTGAGCCACTGCACCCAGCCCCCGATACTATTGTTAAAGAGTTTGTGCCACTGCTGTAAATGTCTTTGGCATGTGAGTTTTCTCTTTTATTTGGTTCATGTCCTTCAAATGTCAGAACTTAACCAGATATCTTTGCCTTCTTTGGAAGATTTATATTTTTCAAGCCTTTTAACCCTGCAGTTGTTTTCAGAACAATTTACCTATCCTACACAAGTGAATTTTGTCTTAACTTTCATGCATTAGCGTTCAAACTACTAACCGCTTTATTAAGAACATTAGTTAAATGTTCTTAGCAAATTTGAGAAATTATGGCTGACTTTTTTTTTCCTTTGTGCTTTTCTATATTTTTAAAAATCGGCTGCCTTTACCACTTCTAATACCAAGTTGTATTACTTGAGATTCATGTGGGAAAACTTGGCTTCCTTTTCAGGGTTTTTTTTTGTTTTGTTTTGTTTTGTATTTTTTTAGTGCCTGTTTTTTGTGCGTGTTTTATTTAAGCTGGTGATTTCTAGTGTCAAAGTTTCAAGTATTATAAAGTAACCATTTGTCAGAAGTTTATGTAGTATAATCTTATTACAGTTAAGCAATCTCAGTTATGAGATTAAGAAACTCCAAAAATATTATGATCTCCCCCCCACCACCACATTTCTTGACATACTCATCTTAATTAAACAAGATAGGATAGTTCTAAAAATAATGATCTAAGGAAAACAGTGGAGATCTAGGTATGCCTCTGTCTAGACTAAAATTTATTTAGGCTTAGCAAGCAGGCAAGGTTTGACAAGACAGGCTTCTTTGTGTTTTTATATCTGGAGTAAGACTTGACTTATTTTTCTCTCTAGGATTGAATTGTGAACATTCCGGCACTTCAGGTGTTGTGTGTGGGTGTATGTGGGATTAAGTCATAGTACCAATATAGACTACCCTTTTTCCATAAATTTTTTCGTATTGTCCTAGTCTGTTCAGGCTGCTGTAATAGAATATCATAAACTGGGTGGCTTATAAACAACAAAAACATATCTTTCACAGTTCTGGAGACTAGAAAATCCAAGATCAGGGTGCCAGCAGGTTTGATATATGTTGAGGGCCCAATTCCTCATAGACAGCTGTCTTCTCACTTTAACCTCACATGGCAAAAGGACAAAGGAACTCTCTGGGGACTATTTTATAAAAGCGTTAATCTCATTCATGAGGGCCCCACCCTTATGACCAAAGGCCCTACCTCCTAATATATTCACCTTGGGATTTAGGATTTCAACATGTGAATTTGAGGGGGACAAACATTTGGTCAGTAGCACATATGTTCATGGAATTTAGTTGTGTTCGTGGGGAACATAAGGGGAATCTGGGGTTGTAAGGTAAAGAATTAGAGGATGAACATTTTTGTTTGTAGTCTCCCTGTATTTTAGATTGTTGACTACCATTGTTTTTTATTAGTGTGCAGTTCATTGATGAGTATGTGTGGAATGTCTGCCAATATTCTGGTTTCCTTAAACTCGTACAAATAGTGAATGACAAGAATTTTTGGCTAAGTTTATGTATTACCTAGAACAGGAGTTGGCATCCTTTTTCTTTAAAAGGCCAGATAGTATAATATTTTAGGCTTTGCAGATCAAAAAGCAAAATTGAGCATATTGTCACACAAAAGAGAGAAACCAAATTCTCACAGTTTTTCCTGATAAAACTCAAAATGTAATAACAATAATTGAGTACAGTGTTTCGTGAGATAGGTTTACTAATGAGAAGAATGATACTCTTTTGAGGGTAACATTTTGCTTAATTGGGATTCATAGCTAGTATTCCTTATTAGTCATTTGCAAATGTCCATTTATTGCTGACTTAAATATTTAATCTTTGAAAATATCTTTTCATACATATAGGTATTGCTATCTTAAGCAATCCACAAGTGTATGATTTTAGTGAAGCATATATAGAATTTTGTTAGATTTTTATCTTTTTTTTTTTTTTTTTGAAACAGAGTCTCACTGTGTCGCACAGGCAGGAGTGCAGTGGCGCGATCTCTGCTCACTGCAAGCTCCGCCTCCCAGGTTCATGCCATTCTCCTGCCTCAGCCTCCCGAGTAGCTGGGACTACAGGCGCCCGCCACCACACCCAGCTAATTTTTTTGTGTTTTGAGTACAGGTGGGGTTTCACTGTGTTAGCCAGGATGGTCTCTATCTCCTGACCTCGTGATCCGCCCACCTCAGCCTCCCAAAGTGCTGGGATTACAGGCGTGAGCCACCGCGCCTGGCAATTTTTTATCTTTTAATTTAATTTAATTTTTTATGAAGATGGGGTCTCACTATGTTGCCCAAGCTCGTCTTGAACTTCTGGGCTCAAGTGATCCTCCCACCTCGGCCTCCCAAAGTGCTGAGATTACAGGTGTGAGCCACCACACCCCAGCCAGATGACTTTAATATTTACCTTTTGGCATATTACCACTGCAGAGATGTCACTTCTAGTTGAGGGTTAGATGGAAGCTCCTCAGTTGCACAGTTAAATGGATTTTGAAATAAGGAAATTTATTTTGTGCTTACATTGGGGTCTGCAAAACAGTTCTGGAACTGTAGTTTGAGCTCAGAAAATGTATGTGCTACAAATTTGTGTGGGAATGGAGCTCTCATTACTTTGTCAGGACATGAAGTATATAAAACAGCTTGACATTACATGTGATACCAATGTTGTTGCTGAAATGGCTTTACCACAGTATAAGTTTCATATATAAGTATTTTTTGCTTTGTTGTTTTAGGATGGATTCATTAAGAAACATTATCAAGTCTGCAGGAAACACTAATTTTCCAAGCTATTTATTGTTTGATAATAGTAATTGAGAGCGGTTCTCACAGAAAATAAATCCATCTTTGCCTTGAGCACAACAAATCACAATAAAACTTTACCAATATTAGCCCATCAAATGTTGTGTTGTAGAGCAAGACAAAATTTCTGACAAAAATTCATGGAACTTGAGCTTAAACCAGAGTTCATAAGAGAGAAGTTTATCATTAGTGCTACTGGTTCAGTAATATGATAGATTGAAATTTTCTTCAGATCACTTGATGATGAGTAATAAAATATATAACCATAAACGTTAAATACCTTACATTTTCATAAACTTTGTAAATTTGTCCAACTAGGTCTTTTTCCATTCCATATATATTTTTACCATTCCAGTAGTAACATATCTTATTATGAGATTCTGCTTCAGGTTTTGCTGAATTAGTTTTCTCAACTTTGAAAATATTCTCACCTATGATTATTTCATGTAGACTACACATAGGGGCTACTTCTGCAGTTCAAACTCCTTGAATAATCAACACTTGGCTCTTTGAATAAACAATAACTTAAGTAGTATCAGTTACATTTGTCAACAAATCAAGAGCCAAAGAGAAAACCACTCCATCATTTACCTTATTTTTCAGTTGATTAGTGACATTGCTTTTCAATATTCCCAGCTTTTTGGACCACTATACTTACCAAAAGTCCAATATTATGTTTATTTTCTCTGGACACATTTCTTCAGCTTCTGCACTCAAACATAATTTCACTAACTCACCATCAATAAACAGCTTTCCTCGTTTAGCCAATAAATGAGCCCCTGGGAAATTTACTTTGATTGAAGCCTCATTTTTATTTTTGTGAAGAAATATTTTGTGATGAGATTTCACTTTAAATTTTCTAACTTTTTGAACTGTAGTTTTCCTGTGAATTGGGAATATTGTCACTAGTGTTTAATAGTGTCAGTATATATTGTATTTAGTATATAGTATTTTTTGCATAATCATGCATTCTTTGCCATCTAATCTGATTTTTGAAAAACCCATCCTCTGCTGCACCTTTAAGCGTGACATTCAGAGTCCACTTTTCTCTTTGTTTGAGATGATGAGTGTATACTCAGTTTTTTTTAATGTCCAGTGTGAAGGCACTTGAAATGCTGTCATTATAGCTACATCACTGCAACTTAAGAGTGCACAGAGCAGCAGTCCAAAGCAATGGGAGTGCCACATACAGTCTGTCACAACTGCTCAACTCTGCCATTATAGCACAGAAGCAGCCATAGATAACATGTAAATGAATGTGTATGGCTGCGTTCCAATAAAACTTTATGAACACTAAAATGTGAATTTCATTGCATTTTCATATGTCACAAGATAGTCTCTAAAAACCATTCTTAGGTTGCAAGGAGAATAAAAATATGCAGCACGAGGCTGGGTGCGGTGGCTCATGCCTGTAATCCCAGCACTTTGGGAGGCTGAGGAGGGCAGGTCACTTGAGCTCAGGAGGTTGAGACCAGATTGGGCCAACATGGTGAAACCCTGTCTCTACTAAAAATACAAAAATTAGCTGGGCGTGGTGGCAGGTGCCTGTCGTCCCAGCTACTTCGGGAGGCTGAGGCAGAGAATCACTTGAACCCAGGAGGTGGAGGTTGCAGTGAGCTGAGATCGCACCACTACACTCTAGCCTGGTTGAGAGAGCGAGACTCCATCTCAAAAAACAAAAAATACCACAGTATGGCTGGATTTGGCCCAAGGGCTTTAGTTCGCCAACCCTGTCTGGTTCAAGGGCTGTAGTTTGCCAACCCTTGACCTACTCTTAATATAACAGTGCTTTTCAGGAGTTTTTGTTAGGAAATTTCATTTGAGGTCTGAAAATCCATCTCTAGACCTACATTCTGGATTTTCACATAATTAAAACTTGTATAGAATACATAGTGACCTTTATTTTCAAGATTAGTCTCTTTTCTCTTTTCAGGTATTTTCCACTTGTTCATCAATATGGAAAACTCAGATTCCAATGACAAAGGAAGTGGTGATCAGTCTGCAGCACAGCGCAGAAGTCAGATGGACCGATTGGATCGAGAAGAAGCTTTCTATCAATTTGTAAATAACCTGAGTGAAGAAGATTATAGGCTTATGAGAGATAACAATTTGCTAGGCACCCCAGGTATGCTTACATATATTTAAGGATTTATAAGTGTAAGTTGCTGGTTTAAAAAAAAATGCTTGAACCTGTTTTAAAAATCCATTTCTTTAGCCCTTATGAAATATTATTTAACATAGGGGATATGGAATGACATTTATTGCTGTATTTATTACCTGATTATATTTACTGATGTTTGGAATTACACTATATCAGAGAGATTTTTAACTTATGAATTATGAATTTTTAGCGAACTGAATTGAAAAGAATGGAGCTAAATCTTTTTTTTCTTAGTTAGCTTTATCTAACTTACTAGATAAGAATCCGAGTGTGGAATAGCTAATGGGAACTTAGTTTTTAGGAAAGACTTATTCTGTTATCTCTGATTTTCTGAATATGTCCCAGTTGTAATCCTCCAGAGCTAGCCTTGGGTAACATAGCAATTAGAAGTTTGTGCTTAATTATCTTTTACCCCACTAAGTCCCATTTGATCCTAGTTAAAAGTCAGTATCTGTCTTCCTCTTCATTTCTGTTTAATTCTACTTACCTTTGAGTAATTGCTTAGATTTTAAAAGGTAAGGTTTTAGCATGACTTTTAAGAGAGGGAGTGTGTTTTTAGCCAACAATACCAGGCTTGAATCAGAATGCTTTAGGTGGAGTTCTGGCCCTGCTGTTTGGTGTGGCTCCTGGCAAGCCAGTCTGTCGCTCAGTCTGTTTCTTAATTTTAAAATGCAGATAACAATATCCTCCTCTCAAAGCTGCAATTCTTAAAAATTACTTACTTATTTATTTTTGAGACAGGGTCTCATGTTGCCCAGGCTGGACTCAAGGGATTCTTCCGCCTGAGTCTCCCAACGAGCTGGCACTACAGATGTGGTACCACTGTGCGCCCAGCTTAGAATTGCCTTTGCCTTTTTTTTTTTTTTTTTTTTTTTAAGCAGAGTCTTGCACTTTCGCCCAGGCTGGAGTGCAGTGGTGCAGTCTCTGCTCACTGCAACCTCTGCCTCCTGGGCTCAAGCGATTCTCCTGCCTCAGTCTCCTAAGCAGCTGGGATTACAGGCACCTGCCACCATGTCTGGCTAATTTTTGTATTTTTAGTAGAGATGGGGTTTCATCATGTTGGCCAGGCTGGTCTCGAACTCCTGACCTCCGGTGATCCACCCGCCTCGGCCTCCCAAAGTGCTGGGAGTACAGGCGTGAGCCAAAGTTAGATGTTATATGCAAAAGAACTTTGTAAATTGCTTTTAATATGTTTCCAAAGAAGTGAATTTTTCCCAGGACCTACCTACTCCTTGGTTTTTCTTTTTGGTTTGAAAAAGTTTTCTCTTTTAAAAATATGATTTTTTTTCTAATCATCTTGTGTCAGATTACTGTGAGTCACTGATAAAGTATTTGATTGTCATACCCCTAATGTCATCTTTGCCCTGTGGTGTTAAATTTCAGGTGAAAGTACTGAGGAAGAGTTGCTGAGACGACTACAGCAAATTAAAGAAGGCCCACCACCGCAAAACTCAGATGAAAATAGAGGTATGTTTTGGTTTTGGTGGGGAGGTGGATAGACGATGGGATGATAGGAACTTTGTAATAGTAAATGTCAGCCAAAGATTATCCAGATTTGGCACAAATTAATTTGGTGCTAAGTAACTGCTCATAAAAAGAAAACTGACATTTTCTTGATACTTAGAATGTCAGCATTTTTTTTCTACCTCACCTTTGAGATGTTTATGTTAATTGGAACACAGTGAGAAATGGCCCATTTAAATGTGATTTTGTTTGTTTGTTTGTTTTTCACCTCCATTGAAATTTATTCCTACTTAATTCCTTCTTTATAAACATGTGACTTCTTCACCAGCAAAAAGAAATGTCTAAACCCAGTGGTTCCTAATGAGATATAATTTTGCCCCATGTGGGACATTAGCAACGTCTGGAGACATTTGTGTAGAGGGCAGGAATGCTGCCAAACATCCTGACATGCCATAATGCACAACACAGCCCCCATGACACAGAATTAACTGGCTTAAAATGTCAGTAGTACCACTGTTGAGAAATCCTGCTCTAACCTCAGGTCTGGTGTTTCCCTCCCAGTGTCAAGTAGGGATTTTGATTGTGCAACCTGAGAGGCTACGATAATAATTTGGTTCTTGAACATGCCATTATATGTGCTATGCAAGGTTCAGACTACTTATTTGATCTGATCTTTAACTTCATGTCCATTGAAAACCTTGGTAACATTAAGAAATATTCAAATGCTTTTAAACCTATAAATCTTGTTTGTATTTTTCTTATGGCTACAATAAATAGTCCTGTATTTTAAAACAACCTCAAATGTTATCAAAGGCACAGTATGTAGACTAATAAAAATTTGACAGAAATGTAGCTTGAACTAAATGTGACTGTTCGTTAAACACTGTTTCCTTACCTAGTTTGATTACATTAGTATTTTGGCAGAGGACTGAAAAAACGTCTTCTGACCATCCCACAGTGGTATGCTTGGCTCTGTATATGATAAAATACTGAAAATAGACTTCCTCCAGATTCCCTTTAAAAATCAAATAATTCTCTAAATTTCTCTAGTGTAGCTTGCTCTTTTCAAATGGAATTAGAATTTTCTTACCTTATAAATTTATGCAGTATAGTTTGTAAAAATCTGTAATTATGAAATGTGTTCCGAATTTTTAAGTTATTTAATGCAGAGTTTCAGAGCACTTATATGATTGTCCTCATTTTAGTAGTTCCTTTTTCTCCCTCTCCCCCTCCTTTGTTTTGAACAGGAGGAGACTCTTCAGATGATGTGTCTAATGGTGACTCTATAATAGACTGGCTTAACTCTGTCAGACAAACTGGAAATACAACAAGAAGTGGGCAAAGAGGAAACCAATCTTGGAGAGCAGTGAGTCGGACTAATCCAAACAGTGGTGATTTCAGATTCAGTTTAGAGATAAATGTTAACCGTAATAATGGGAGCCAAAATTCAGAGAATGAAAATGAGCCATCTGCAAGACGTTCTAGTGGAGAAAATGTGGAAAACAACAGCCAAAGGCAAGTGGAAAACCCACGATCTGAATCAACATCTGCAAGGCCATCTAGATCAGAACGAAATTCAACTGAAGCGTTAACAGAGGTCCCACCTACCAGAGGTCAGAGGAGGGCAAGAAGCAGGAGCCCAGACCATCGGAGAACCAGAGCAAGAGCTGAAAGAAGTAGGTCACCTCTGCATCCAATGAGTGAAATTCCACGAAGATCTCATCATAGTATCTCATCTCAGACTTTTGAACATCCTTTGGTAAATGAGACGGAGGGAAGTTCTAGAACCCGGCACCATGTGACATTGAGGCAGCAAATATCTGGGCCTGAGTTGCTAAGTAGAGGTCTTTTTGCAGCTTCTGGAACAAGAAATGCTTCTCAAGGAGCAGGTTCTTCAGACACAGCTGCCAGTGGTGAATCTACAGGATCAGGACAGAGACCTCCAACCATAGTCCTTGATCTTCAAGTAAGAAGAGTTCGTCCTGGAGAATATCGGCAGAGAGATAGCATAGCCAGCAGAACTCGGTCTAGGTCTCAGACACCAAACAACACTGTCACCTATGAAAGTGAACGAGGAGGTTTTAGGCGTACATTTTCACGTTCTGAGCGGGCAGGTGTGAGAACCTATGTCAGTACCATCAGAATTCCCATTCGTAGAATCTTAAATACTGGTTTAAGTGAGACTACATCTGTTGCAATTCAGACCATGTTAAGGCAGATAATGACAGGTTTTGGTGAGTTAAGCTATTTTATGTACAGTGATAGCGACTCAGAGCCTACTGGCTCAGTCTCAAATCGAAATATGGAAAGGGCAGAGTCACGGAGTGGAAGAGGAGGTTCTGGTGGTGGTAGTAGTTCTGGTTCCAGTTCGAGTTCCAGTTCCAGTTCGAGTTCCAGTTCCAGTTCAAGTTCCAGTTCCAGTCCTAGTTCCAGTTCCGGTGGTGAAAGTTCAGAAACTAGCTCAGATTTATTTGAAGGCAGTAATGAAGGAAGCTCATCATCAGGCTCATCAGGTGCCAGGCGAGAGGGTCGACATAGGGCCCCAGTCACATTTGATGAAAGTGGCTCTTTGCCCTTCCTTAGCCTGGCTCAGTTTTTCCTCTTAAATGAGGATGATGATGACCAACCTAGAGGACTCACCAAAGAACAGATTGACAACTTGGCAATGAGAAGTTTTGGTGAAAATGATGCATTAAAAACCTGTAGTGTTTGCATTACAGAATATACAGAAGGCAACAAACTTCGTAAACTACCTTGTTCCCATGAGTACCATGTCCACTGCATCGATCGCTGGTTATCTGAGAATTCTACCTGTCCTATTTGTCGCAGAGCAGTCTTAGCTTCTGGTAACAGAGAAAGTGTTGTGTAATTAAGATCTGAACTCTCAGCTATGTAGCTGATATAGTGATGGGCAAACAGGAATCACTTGCTTTTATGTCCACTTTTTGAGTGGTACTTAAATGTAAAGTAACAACCTGAATTGAGTCATTGCTTTCTGAAGGAATCATTGTCCTTTCTCCAGTTTTTGTTCCAGAATAAAAGGAAATATTTTAAAAGCCACGTTATAGGACCTAAAAATCTGATTTCCGTACCAGTTAAATTGGTAGCATCACTGTTACTGATAATTTATCATATACACTTGTCAATTTTTCCTTTGTTATCTTAAAAGATCTGCCTTAGCAATGGCTCCTTTTTCATGTTGATCTTTAAATTTTCCCACACCATAAGAGAGGAGCAAAGGAAATTACCAGTTTAGACTAAGTTACAGTATGTGTTTCATAAGTGATTAAAGCTATATCATTCCCAGTTATTAGTTAACACAAATTCAGCCACATTCTGAGTATTGTTTGTTCACCTTTCAGACTTGGTGATACTGGACATGTCAGTGTAAATAACACTAAGGTTAGGATCTTCTAAGTGTATAACTGTCTCCTAAGCCCATCACTGTGGCACACTGTAGAGTGAGCTTATAGTTTAATTGAGATATTTATCTTGTGGAAATATTAAAAAGCCTATGCTTGTGTAAGTGAAAAAAAATCACATTCATTTGTTTAAAAATGTAAAGCTATTTTGTAGAGGCTCAGTACTTTTCCAATGCACTGTTGTATGAATGCATTAAAAATTGTAAAGTACCATGCTTAGAACTGAGAAAACTGCTTTTTGTGAGCCAACATAGTAACAAACACACCAAACAAAGTACAAAGCTGCTTTTGTAAGTGTGTAGATGTCAAGAGCAGAACATATCTATAATATTTAATGTGTGAACAGCTACTGTGACATGCAAAGGAAAGGACAGTGCAGAATTAAACCGTGTTGAAGACCAGTGGAAATTGTATAATTTAACTTGGATTTAGGCAGGAAGTGAAATATGGGAGGAGTAAAGAAAACTGAAGAATTTAAAGTTTTCCTGAAGACAGTAATAATGCAGACACAAACTGGTTTCATATGGTGAGAGCAGCCACAGCAGCAGCTTGACCTGGTATTCTACCTGAGTAGATGAAGCAGAAGATCAGCAAGTTTGGCAGAGTTTTGGTTTAAGAAAAACAAACCACTACTACCTAGCACAAGTTAAATTTACAAGTCTGCTCCTCAAAAATGAAAAAATGGAGGAAAGAGACTATAAAACCACTTTTAGCATATGAATTGCAGTTGGTACACATGTGTGTGTTAATAGGAAAGTCTCGAATTTGTGTTGTTTTTGAGATTTGTCATTTAAGGTACCAGTGCACACTTGATCATATTTCATTACTATCTCTAACACAGTCCTAACATCTCAAATTTAAAGACCAGTTGAAGATTAAGGGATTTTTATCCTTTGTTGAAAGTCATGTTGGGTTATTTGAAATTCAAATTTTAATTGTGCTGCCCATATATGAAAATGAGACTGCTGACTCGCTATCTATGGACATGCACTTTATGTTGGTTTCTTAGTAGTAAGAGTAACTTCATGATAACCCCAGTCTTCTTGCCTAATTTCTTTTTTGAGACTAGCTGGGGTTAGGATTAGAATGACTATGGAGCAGATATTTGTTCTTCTGGGAAAAGCTTTAACAGGCCAAAATAGGGATTGAACTTGTCCTTGGCCTTTATCAAAGCAAGCTAGCTACCCAGACGTAGTCAAATACTCTACAAAATAAACAAGTCTGCTTTAGGAATTGTCTGGGTACCTTCACTGTTACCAACTTAGCTGTAAAGATTATTTCAAAGCTCACTCTTCCATGATTTCTTCTGGCTTTCAATCCTATCTAAGTATCAAGGAAATTAACTTGTAAATATGGTAGTTGTTTACTAAGGATATGTACTGCTCTTGCAAGGAAATAATGTCCAAACAAAGCTTCACTTATTTTTTTTAATATAAGCAGATTTCACTGTTTATGGCGCTTATGTAATACATTTTATCTTTTTAAAAATTTGTCCGTGTAAAAGTCAGGATTCCTTTATATTTGTGAGCCTCCTTTTCTCCTTTCCTAAGGATGTAATCTACAGTTTTCAGATCTGCAGGGTAGTCTTGATTGGCTAAAAACAAATCAATTTTCTTCTTGGCATAAAGTGTTTCATTATTATAGGGGTGTTCATTTTAAATAGTTTAAAAACAATTGCAGCACATTCTAAGCATAAGAGAAAGTTATTGACAACAGGTACCTTCCTAATCTCCCAAGACGTACTTACTCATTTGTGAAGTATTAAAGTAAGAGGTAACTCAAGCAGAATGCTGGCTATGAATGTAGATATTGAAGCTATTCATAAACACTGGAAATAGAATTTTAAGCTTTTAGCCTTCAGTGGAATGCACATATTGGACATGTGCATGTGAACACCTTTTTCAGTAGCACTCACGGATTTCCATTCGATTGTATAGAATGAATACAAGTGTTTTAGTGGAATTTGCTACTTAATTTTTAATCTTGCGATGTCCGTGATTATTACATGCTTACTAGTGTTGTGGACATTGAAGACAAGGTCATTCGTAGGTGTCAGATTACAATGGAGAACAAAAATCGTTTTCCCCCCACCCACATCCAAACACCATTCTCGAGGGAGCATTTCTTGCAAAACACCTTACATTTCATTTTCTATCTTTGCACTTTTTCTTAAGTACAGAAAAGTTGTCTTTAAGACCTAGTTTGAACTTCATGCAGTAAGAGGAACAAGGATAAACAATGTTGGGAGTTCACATTGTTCAGAGCATAAGGAAAAGTACCAAAACCCAAATTTTCTTGAATATTTCAGATGTTTTTAAAAACTCACTTCTAGTCTGAAACATTTGAATTGTTTTAACTCTGAGCAGCTGACAAAGTTGAGGTTTTTTTGTTTTGTTTTGTTTTGTTTTGTTTTTTTGAGACAGAGTCTTACTTGGTTGCCCAGGATGAAGTGCAATGGAGCGATCTCGGCTCACTGCAACCTCTGCCTCCTGGGTTCAAGCAATTCTCCTGTCTCAGCCTCTCGAGTAGCTGGGATTACAGGCGCATGCCACCACACCTGGCTAGTTTTTATATTTTTAGTAGAGATGGGGACTTCACCGTGTTGGCCAGGCTGGTCTTGAACTCCTGACCTCAAGTGATGTGCCTGCCTCGGCCTCCGAAAATGCTGGGATTACAGGCGTGAGCCACCATGTCCAGCCAAAGTTGAGGTTTATTAGTACTATTAGAAACAAAATTGAGCAAGTTAAGTTAAAAGTTTGCTGACTTTGTATCAACACTATAGAAGATGAGCCACCTTGTTAATTTGGAATATTTGCTCTGAAAAGAACATGTTAGTTACACCTTAATGGTGTTAATGGAGGTGGGGATTGAGAAAAGTGTTCACATTAGTGTTGGAATGTAGGTAATTGTACAGTTTATAAGACCTTTAGCACCAGGAAATAAAATATGTGTGTGTACACACACAGTTTTTAAAAACGATTGGAATTCATCCAAACCTTAAGATTAGGAAACTGATTGGCTGTAAGTGTTGCCTCAAGTAATGTGTCCCCCGCCCCATAACATGTCTTTTCTGTGCCAAGTATCCTCTCCTAGTGTCAGTGTCTCAAATTATATTTATGAAGGGTTATCACATAATATGCTTTGTATTTAACTACCTGCTTCCCAGGCGTCCATGACATGAAATGGGTGAAGCATCAGCCATGACTTTCGGTCAGTTCCCAAAATACCCAAATGATAGGGAGGTAAAGATTGCAAAATTCCTCTTAAAAGGCCATTTTTACAGCTTGCTAAAATACAGTGGCACCTTATGGTTGTTAATATTTTTTCTTTTAAAGATGGAGAATGTTTTTATTCTTCCCCTTTTCTCCTTTGTTCTTTTGCGAACAAAAAAAATTATAATCTGCCTTATTTGATTTTTTTTTTAAGTTTTACCTTACAGGCTTCCCTGTCACATGTTTTACCATATTAAGTACATAGAAGCCATGTTTGCAGGGCACTTTTATTCTCCTAGTCTTATAAGACTATGCTAATTGTTACTTTCTGAAGTATTCTGTACCTTAGTATGCAAGATTGTTAAGGCACATGTTAAAGTGTCAGGTGTGTTTTTTTCCCTTTAATTCTTCAGTATGTTTATATTCAATAACAGTATTGTAATTCATTGAGTTAACTAGTAAATTGTGTGCTTTTGAAAAAACATGAAAAATGTAAATTGACAGCATACTTCATTTGGAAAAAAGTAAAAGATCCGAGGAACTAGTATGTCACTTATTTATTTTTATTTTATTTTATTTTTTACTTTTTGAGACAGGGTCTTGCTCTGTCACCCAGGCTGGAGTGCAGTGGCATGGTCACAGCTCACTGCAGCCTTGACTTCCTGGGCTCAGGTGATTCTCCCACCTCAGCCTTCCAAGTAGCTGGGACTACAGGCATGCACCACATTGCCTGGCTAATTTTTTGTGGAGATGGGGTTTCGCCATGTTGTCCAGGCTGTTCTTGAACTCCTGGGCTCAGGCAATTTGCCTGCCTCATTCTCCCAAAGTGCTGGGATTATAGGCGTGAGCCACTGCGCCCAGCCTTACTTATTTTTAAATCAGATTTTTTAATCAACTAAAACAGCTATGAGTTAAGTACCTGCCCTGCAAAAATTTTTAGAAAAAGTTTTAGGATTATGAAATTAAGAATTATTTTCCTTAACTGGAACAGTTCTAAAATTTATCTGATACTTCTCTAACAAGTGAGTGATCTCATGTAACCCCAGTTTGTATCTTAAAGGCTGCAGCATAGAATTGAGCTGTATAACAGTGTTAGAACTGTCAAGTGATAATCACAGAACAGTTTGTATCGGTTTTATAATTCTCATGTCTTGATCAGATCTGAAGGAAATAGGCATACCCTCCAACATTCTAAAAATTATTTATTTTTATTAGGATTTGTTTATTAAAGTTCCACGAGCTGCTTTATGGTCAGTTGGGCTGAGTAGTAGATATCTTAAAGACATGCAGTGAAAGTGAACCCTGTCATATCATGGTGCCTCT
The DNA here is from genome assembly GCF_000001405.40 of Homo sapiens. Taxonomy (NCBI): domain Eukaryota; kingdom Metazoa; phylum Chordata; class Mammalia; order Primates; family Hominidae; genus Homo; species Homo sapiens. Next base: position 74,586,351 of record NC_000023.11, on the reverse strand, counting down.
TTCAAGGTTCCTCTGTAAGTTCCTCATCTTGCAGAATTATTTCAATACCAAGGTATGGTTGAACCAGCTGTCCAGCCTTAACTCTATTTAGTGCCCCATTACTAATGTTCTTTTAACTGGTTTGTATGTGTTTTAACTGTCCAGTGTTTGGATTTTACCTCTTGATAGCTCCATTTGTCCCTGGTGCTGCTTTTAAGGATGTAGGGCCATGTGATCAGGTATCAAGTTGAGTAGGTACGCAGTTGGCCTGGTGATGTATCTGTGCCTGTTTTATCTTCTCCCAGGAAGAGCTGCTTTGGTATAGTTGTTTACTTGGATTCATACAAAGAACAGGGCAGCAATCTTGGAAAGCTTTCTGAAGCTTATAAGAACCTGAAGGGGTTTGGAGGGGGAACAGTAACAAAGGCTGCCTTTATGTCTTTGGTCACAAAGCACATAGATGTATGTTCTGTAAAGACTAAAGTGATTGTTATACCAGGGCTTCCTGACCTTCGGGAGAGACTCAAAAAAGCAGAGAGGAGCACAAAGTGAAGTTAATTTGGTTGGCTTGCTTTATCTGGTTTCTCATTTTCTTTCAATTTAAACCTGAACATAACACCCTTCTCCGATACCTATCCAGCAGACTCCTGGTTGGGAAGCCCTGTATTAAATTTTGAGAATGTACACAGTTTTCTTTTGTACAGTGCTTTACAACTGCTAAAAGTTAACTTGTTTAAAGCAAAACAAGACCTTGAAAGGTCAATCATATTAAAGCTGGTTTGATTATTAATAGTTATCTTTTAGGAAGAAGCTTTTTTCCCTATGTAAGATGTCATACTGCAGATTTAAAATATAGACTATCAATAAAATGCATGAAGTGATCATTTGTGCTTGATCATCTCTCCTTGGGTTTTTCTTTAAAAAGGGGAATCTGCTATAAAGGTTCTGTTGCTTCAAACCAATGTCAAATAGACTTGATTTTTAGAGTCATGGAATTACAGTGCAACCTTGATTTTTATTCCCCTCACTGCTATGAGTGTGGGCAGGTACTGGTTTATATGTTATAACTTCCGTTTTATCTGTGTTGTGTAGTTGAATGGCTTAATCGTTGAGTGGTAAAATAAAAGATTATATTCCAATACAAGAATCCTGGAAAGATTTATGTGAATGACATTTTAAGTAGGCGCATCTTTGCTGTTTCTTGTATTCTCGCCATTGCTCTGACCACTCCCTTGCTTGCCCTGTATATATACAAAAACTTGTAGGTGTGCACGTGTGCTTGTACTTCTGTCTTCCATTTCTATCTTAATCTCTTAAACATATTGCTTAAGCCACTAAGATGTCCTTGTTTCAAGTAAATCGTCACATTGTGACACCTGGTGTATTGTATTATAGTTTCATTTCCTCTGGTGCCTGCAGAGCTATCTGTCATTGGCATCATAACTCGGTTTCTCAGGATAGTTTTGATGTAGTCAGCTCTTCAACTCATGACCTTCCCAAGGTTTTAAGTTTAGTGTCATTCATGATTTTATTATTTGAAACTCAATACCACCATCAAAAAGTTAGTGCTCTAGACAATGAAGCCAAAGCACAGGCATCTTAGGTCAGTGAAAAGGATCCAGACATAAATTAGCCAGGTGTGGTGGTACACAGCTGTGGTCCCAGCTACTTGGGAGGCTGAGGTGGTAGAATCACTTGAGCCCGGGAGGTCAAGGCTGCAGTGAGCCATGATCATGCTGATGCACTCCAGCCTGGGTTACAGAGCAAAACCTTGTCTCAAAAAAACCCCCAGATACCTAGAAGAAAGGATTCGATAAATCTGGGTGGATTATAAACTGAACTCTTAATGGTCATTTTAAAAAATAAGAAAGCAAGGGTCCAGTTTCTTTGAGGTCTTTGAATTTAGACAAGATTTAACTATAAGGCCTTGCATGGATTACTAACTATAATTAAATTAGCTAAACTTTTCTGGTTGCTGTCAGGCATTGTATTAAGTATTCTATATAAATTATTTAATCATCACAGTGACTGTGAGGTGAAAGTATACCACCCATTTTATAGGTAATGCAGCTGAGATACAGATGTTTGGTAATTTGCCCAGGTCACATAGTAAGTAGCAGATTATTTGCAATCATCTTTGATGCAGTCATCTTCCTTGTGCTCTTAATCCCACTACTATATGACTTCTAATTTGTTTCTTAGTATTTATCCCAAGCCCTAGACTAGATTGCTTATGAGGTGTGATTTCTTAGGAAAAACATCAGTTTTGGCTGGTTTGCCAAGAAAAAAAAAGGCCAAATTGGTTTTTGTTTATTTTTTTGTTTGTTTGAGATGGATTCTCGCCCTGTCGCCCAGGCTGGAGTGCAATGGTGCGATCTTGGCTCACTGCAACCTCTGCCTCTGGGTTCAAACGATTCTCCTGCCTCAGCCTCCCGAGTAGCTGGGATTACAGGCGCCCGCCACCACGCCCAGCTAATTTTTCTATTTTTAGTAGAGACAGGGTTTCACCATGTTGGCCAGGCTGGTCTTGAACCCCTGATCCCATGATCTGCCCGTCTCGGCCTCCCACAGTGGTGGTATTACAGGCGTGAGCCACCACGCCCGGCCGCAAATTGTTT